>NC_000003.12:64252424-64555454 GCF_000001405.40 Homo sapiens | reverse complement strand
AGCCATGGAGGCTGCCTCCCGGGGCCCCAGCATAGACCTTGGCTCATTGTAAAATACTGATTGATTGAATGAATGAATGACTTTAAAGTTACAAAGTGTCTCCATAGTATTATTTCTGCCTCCTTCTCCCCACCGCACCTCCTAACAAATATATACTATTTGGGAGCAAAAATGTCTAAATTCTGTATACCTGACTTTAAAATGAGCTTTAAAGTAAGGACTGCTTTTTTCGTTGTTGCCATTTAAAGCAACGCTAGATAAACTGATTTGTCATTGCTGCTTCTCATGACATAAAAACCCAGGAACCCTGTGGTTCTGTGAGTTGCCGTCCATACACTGTGCAACAATGGTAACCCAGCACTAGAGAAGACAAGGTCTTTCATCCATGGAGAAAATCAACAACCTTAAAAGGTAGAGCCTGTGACTCTCAAGCGGTTTTCTTCCCCCCATGGTTAGGGAATTGCACCAAAAGATATATTTGAAAGTGTAAAGCAACTTGATTATAATCTTTAAGCAAAGAAAATTTCTACCCATTGCATTAAATGATCCTTTTCAGACCATCACTCTGTGGCCAACCTACCTGGCTGAATAAAATACCACCTTCAGGGTTTACTTTAGGTCTTCCTCACCCTCAAATTCGGAGAAGTTCTTTTCCCCCTGTTAATTTCAGCATATTTAAAGGCACATGTAGCTTGCAGAACAATGGGCGAGCTGCCCGATTTAGTCCAGCACTGTGATTATTTTCTTTCTGAATTATAGTGTGTGATGAAATGCAAGGAGGCTGGTGGTGTTACTTGTGTTAGAGATTTTTCTAAAAGCCATACTGAAATTAGAGAAAACCTTTTGGAAATTAAAATGAGGCTAATTGAACTTTCCAACTGTTTTTCAGAACATTCTAGATCATATTCCAGGACAGGGGAAAGAGTCATAAATCGTAGAGGGTTGAGGGGGAAGCCATATTACAAAAAGCTGATGAAACCTGATAGCATGGACTCGATTTGTTTTCTGATTACCCAGCCCCCATACCCTAGTTAGGATTTAAGATTCCAGGAGAAAACCCTTGCCATGTGATTTTCAGAGCTGCTGTTGACTAATTTAGGAAACACTGGGCAAGTCACTTATTTACTTAGTTTAATTTTTAATTTTGTAAAAGTTATATTCAAGGTAAATTTTTCCAGCTCCCCTTTCCACCGCTGGCAAAATAGTCTTTACAGTAGTTAACCATTCTTTAAGACTGAGAGAGAAACGCTTAACAAGCATAAAGTATTTAGGATTCATTGTATTTCTGCTCTGAACTGTTACTTATTGATGCAGATTAAAGCCTTGTGGATTAGTGAAAACAAGAGAGGATACTGGAAGGTTTAGTCCAGGTTTAGCTGCGCAATAATTAGGATCTTCTCAGAGTCACCTAAGTCCTAATTTTCTAAGGAATTACTTTTTCTATGGGTGGTTAAGTATTTGCATATATCTACACATCACAGATTAAATTTTTCTTTTCTTTTCTTTTTTAACATTCGGTGGCCCTCTATCTCACCTTTTTAATGATGAAAAAAACACTTTTTTTCTAGGGGAATAGAGAACCCCAAAACCACTGAGCTAGGGATGAGCTAGGGAACTGGGCTCAGCCGGCCTCCTGCACTAATTTGAAATGATTCTGCTCCTCCATGCTCACCTCACAGTGGTTTCAAGTTATGTTTATGCTCCAGAAAAATGAGGACTGACTCCATATTCTAGATATTGAGGTTTACTCCCAAGCAGCAGAAATTTTAAGTTTAGTTTGCAAGTGACAAGGGGCTACCAGGAAATGCCAGCATATCCCTTCTCCTTCCTAAAGGAACAGGGTAGCTCACGAAAGGCACGGGGCATACTATATGACCCAGCAATTCCACTCCCAGGTATATATACCCAAAAGAATGGAAAATAGGTGTTTAAATTTGTACATGAATGTTCATAGCAGCACTATTTACAATAGCCAAATGAGAAACAACCCATATGTCCATCAACTGAGGAATGGATAAACAAAATGTGGTATATCCGTACAACAGAATCTTATTCAGCCTTAAAAAGGAGTGAAATATTGATACATGCTGCAATATGGAAGAACCTCGAAAACATTAAGGGAGAGAAGTCAGGTAATAAAGGCCACATATTGGATGATTCCATATATGTGAAATACCCAGAATAGGCAAATCTGCAGAGACAGAAAGCAGACTGGTGTTTGCTAGGGGCTACAGGAAGGAAGGAATGGGGAGGGACTGGTGAACGGGTACAAGGCTTCCTTTTGCAGTGATGAAATATTCTGGAACTAGATGGGGTGATGGTTGCATAATATTGCAAATGTCCTAAAGGCCACTGAATTCTATACTTGTGATAGTTAAAATGGTGAATTTTATATTTTGTGTATTTTATCACCAAAAAAAAAAAGACATAGGGCATATCATAGAAGACATTTCTGAGTGAAGCTGAGTTCCAAACATAAATGCCTTTGAGGCAAGGCAGGGATAAAAGGAAAGGCTGCCCATTAGATGAAAAAGAGAGGTGGGGTCTGTAGTTCTCCGTAAAGAGACTAAAATTAGACATTTTAAAAGACAGTGTGCTAGCTGGGCATGATGGCTGACGCCTGTAATCCCAGAACTTTGGGAGGCCAAGGCAGGAGGATCCCTTAAACCCAGGAGTTCAAGACCAAACTGGGCAACGTAGTGAGACTCATCTCTACAAAAAATTTAAAAATAAGCTGAGCGTGGTGGCTCATGCCTGTAGTCCCAGCTACTTGGGACTAAAATGTAGGAGGGAAGTCGAGGCTATAGCAAACTGTGATCACATCACTGCACTCCAACATGAGCAACAGAGGGAGACTTTGTCTCAAAAAAAAAAAAAAAGGAAAGAAAAGAAAAGACAACATTCTGACCACACAACAAAAATCACAGTTGTTAGATAAGCCCGTTGCCAACAGGGTATTCAATCCCTGGCCTAAATTAAGAAACTGCAGCAGTCCTTGGTACAGGTTTCACTTAGCTCACTGGGGCTTCCCAATGAGTCTTGAAATGTTGGGTGACACAGAGGCTTTAGATACAATAGGCTTTCAGTGACCTTTAGCAACACAGGGCACTAAGGATAAACTTCAGGGGTGGGGTTTGGTGTTGGCTAAAGCAAAACAAATAAGAATCTGTGGACATAGAGATTATCCTAGAATGAAACATACCACTTGCTCTGTAATCATCCCTTGGCTTATGGGAATAAACATAGCTGTCCCGTCTACCTCACAAAGAGATGTGTGACCTGGGGCAAGTAACTTAGGCTCTCAAAGTCCCATTTTCTTCATCTGGAAAACGGAATTACAGTAATTGTTAAATCTCACTACCTAGCTATCTTCTTTGTTGTCTGCCTTTGCTACTAACATATAAGCTCCTCTCTGAAAACAGAGAATGTGCCATTTGTGTGCACTCTTGTTCACCCAGGACCCGTCACAGGGCCTGACACCTAGTAGGAACTTAGTGAATATTTGCAGAATGATGTGGCATGAGAGCAGTTCCCCTGGAGAAGAAAAGGCACCTGGGGCTAAAGGAAAGCCCTCTTCAAATAGCTGAAGGAGATTACTTGTGAGAGCTGAAACTTTCCTTTATGCTTTCCTGGAATGGAAAACTAGGACAGGGGCCTGGAACATACAAAGAGATTTGTTTGGTTCCATGTTATGAAATGAGATGGCTATCTGGGAAGGTACTGATGTCCCTGATCCTGGAGGTATTTAGACACCAGCTTGGTAAACATTTGGCCATAAGTGTCAATATCAAGTCACTTGTGAGTAGGTGTTTGAAGTAAATAGGATTTAAGGTCCTTTCTAAACTGAGATTGACTCATTTATACTTTCCTTCCTTCCTTTAGACAGCTGGGTGGTGAATGCCAGGAACAGAGTTGTTAGGTAACTGGGGTAAAATGAGGAGTTCTCGGCCGGGAGTGGTGGCTCACGCCTGTAATCCCAGCACTTTGGGAGGCCGAGGTGGGCAGATCACGAGGTCAGGAGATCGAGATCATCCTGGCTAATACTGTGAAACCCTGTCTCTACTAAAAATACAAAAAATTAGCCTGGCGTGGTGGCGGGCGCCTGTAGTCCCAGCTACTCGGGAGGCTGAGGCAGGAAAACGGCGTGAACCCGGAAGGCAGAGCTTGCAGTGAGCCAAGATCGTGCCACTGCACTCCAGCCTGGGAGACAGAGCAAGACTCCATCTCAAAAAAAATAAAACCAAAAAAACAAAAAAACGAGAAGTTCTCTGGCAATCCCTGCCCTCAGGGCTCTTATGATCTTAAAGGCTATGTAGACAGGTAAACACATAATTACAGTCATAGGATATAAGGAACTACGGTTTATTCTTCTCTTTTGCTTGTATTTAACAGTGCACCAAGACCTGCGGCGAAGGCTCCAGGTACCGCAAGGTGGTGTGTGTGGATGACAACAAAAACGAGGTGCATGGGGCACGCTGTGACGTGAGCAAGCGGCCGGTGGACCGTGAAAGCTGTAGTTTGCAACCCTGCGAGTATGTCTGGATCACAGGAGAATGGTCAGAGGTACCGTCCTGGGAACTGTAACCATCGTCAGCTCAGCCATGGCCTGAGAGTGGCAGAGGGATGAGTGGAGGGATGAGTGCAGGAATGTGGGAGACTTGAGGCTACCCGCCCGATTTGCCACTGTGAACTGTGTGTTTTCTGACAAGTCCTCAGCTTTCCCAAGCTAGAATTCCTTGTATGCAAAGCGGGAGAGATGTAAGAGATGGTCTCTAAGTCCCTTCAGGTCTACATTCTGTGATTCACCTTGATGTCCTATTGGCATAAAGAAGAAATTATTACAGGGGCTGCAAACTCATAGGATGCTGTGAGGTGCCTGAAGACAGTTAAGTATAAGAAAATACTGTAGTGCCAGGGATACAACAAGGAGAGATGGCAACTGTGACAAACTAGCACATGCTGTGTGAAGGGAGCAGAATCTCTTTCACTCCAGCTGTGGCCATGCAGAAATGTGGTCTAGCGTTACCAGACCTGATTTTTCAAGAGAGGCTAAAAATCTGGACTAGTATGTGAGATTTCCTAACTTGAAAATGGGGGCTGAAATTTTTGGTTTTAAAACATTGTAAGGGGCAAACAAACCCCTTTCATGAACCAGATGTGTTGTGCCTGTTTAACAAACAGCTTCAGAGGAAGAAAATAATTTTCTATAATATCCGAAGTATCTCAAGTACCATTTTTTCATATATCTTCCTGTGCACAGTGCTTATCTAGACCCTTTTTAATGGTAATAAACCAGTAGTAATCATAGCATGATTATATTATTTTCAAACATCGTAATATGTTCATATCTGTATGAGAGATCTGTAGCAGTCAAACCAGTTGTCATTTGCCCAAAAGCATTTAGAGATTCGAAAGGGAGGCATCTGGACTCACAGTAAAGGTATTGAAAATTGTTAGGTAATATGATTGCTGCCACTGGGTCTCTTCAAAGTTTGACAGGCAGCAATTTCACATGTTAATGAGATGAATATTTGCATTTAGATGATGTGTGTGTTGGGTGTTGAATTGCTTCCTGCACTAAAGCTGATCCCAAAGTCTTTTCTAATTATCTCGCCCTATCCTTTATTCCTGTGAATTTTGTCCTTCGAGGGGACATTTGGCAGTGTCTAGAGACAGTTTGGTTGTGACAGCTGGGGAAAGGGGACCCTACTGGCCAGGGTTGGAAGGTGGAGGCCAGGGATGGGGCTAAGAATCCTATAGTGCGCAGGGCAGCCCTCACAATACAGAATTATCTGGCCCAAATGTCAGTGGTGCTGAGGCTGGGAAACCCTGCTCGACCCCAACCCTGCATCTTCTCGGTATGCCCTGAGTAGTACCGCATGCCCTTAGAGAGTGAAGAGGAGACATGGTTCTGATCTTTACGACATTGATTTGCTCTTGGCCAGCCAGGAACATGTGGAATCCAAATGAGTGTTCAGAATAGTTCTTGATATTGGGTTTGAGGCATAGGTTCCAACCCATCCAGATCCCAACGCAGGGGGATCTCACCTTTCACCTGGCCAAGATTGACATCTTCATCTTAGCTTATCTCTTGTGTAGCACTTTTATTATGGGACTTGAGTCATATTACTCCTATAGCTTTAATATAACCATAACCCCCAAAAGATGAAACAGGGAGAAGATTGAAAAGAAAAAAGGAAGCCTTCCACATTTCTGTAAATTTGCAGGTGTATCATGAATTGAAAAGTCTGCAAATTTATGGGCAACAACTACAGGGCTGGAAACAGTATTTAGCACAGATACAGGGACCACAGGGAAGGAAACCTGCAATGAGGGGAGAGGGGCCGAAAGGGACTGGCACCAGCATCCTCTCTAGAAAAGAAGACATGCCTTCTCTCTGGGACCTCTATTACCTGGAGGCTTCTTTGTGTGTTTTTCTCTGAGCTCTACTCCACCTGAATTGGCGGAGGCCCGAGCTAGACTGGCAAAGAAGAGCTCTGTCAGTCCTGATTGACACATGCATTTTCTAGCAGGGCCTGAAGTGTACAGCTCATGCAGGGAGCCCACAGTCTTATTGTTTTGCTTTGCTGTTATTTTCAATTTAGAAAAGTAATACGTGCTCATGTGGAACCAAGCACATACACCAAGGCATGCAGAGTCTACAGTATGAGTTTCTCTCTGAAATGGTTTGAGGAAACCAGCAGCAGTCAACATTTTCACAATGCTGATATCAGCTAGCTGAGAGCATCTGTTCTTGCCAGCTTCTTTATAGAGATGTGGAGGCCTCTGTGTTTAGCCTGACCATATTTGGGGCTCAGTTCCATCAGCAAATGCCTGTCTCCCACTGGGCTCCCCCCCACATAAATAGCCAGGGGACGACTTTTGCTCCTGGTTTGTAGGGGTCAAGAGTCTCATTCCTTGCCCCTCTCAAATGCACAACTTTGTTTAAGTTAGTATGGACTGTTGTCAATGCATGCAACACTGGGTCAGACACTAAGATTACCCACAGCTTGGACAGAGTTTGTTAGCCATCTGCATGAAACACCCCGGGCTGGCCTTACACTTTCCTGGCCTGGCGTCAACTTGGCCTTCAAACATTTGAACAGCAGCAGCCAAAGAAGGAAGAAATGTACACAGAGCATTTCTATGTCTCGAGCCAACTGGAAGGGAAGGCCTAGGGATGCTCTGCGTGCCTCTAGCTGGACTTGTTCTCTCCTGCCTCTGGGATTTCTTCAAGGAGAGCCTTTTCCCTGGAAAAGTTGCAGGAGAAGAAAACTATGTGACTAAAAGCAGCAGGAGACATTAGGGCAGAGCAGACACTGTGGCTTCTCACTGCCCTTGAGAATTGATGAAAGCTGTGGTCCCTCACCCCAGAAAAAGCATAACACACCACATGTGGCATACTGTTTTGGGGTATTTATCCCACCCTCACCCAAGAACCGTAAGTCTAGAGAATACCGGCACTCTACCCCAAGTTTATGAAGCACATTTACAAAAGATGACCAGTTATTTGATGCTGTTGCCTAAAAATATCATCAAAACTAAATTAATTGTAACTCTGTTTTATTTTTTATATAGAAAATGATAAAAAAAAAAACTTAGCTAAGGAGGTTGAAAGTTGGGACACTATAACGATGTGTATTTCTTCTGCATTTCTGTATTGGTAGAGTATGTTTAAATGCCATAGACTTAGGATAAAAGAGTACAGATGAGGGCGTGATATAGAGCAAGAGGTAGAAAAGCAGAAAGGTAACATGCCAGTCAACATCTATAGCCTAGCTGGGTGTGGTGGCACACACCTGTAATCCCAACTACTTGGGAGGCTGAGGCATGAGAATCACTTGAACCTGGGAGACGGAGGTTTCATTGAGCGGAGATCATGTCACTGCACTCCAGCCTGGACAACAGAGTGAGACACAGTCTCAAAAAAAAAAAAAAAAAATCTATAGCCAGGGAGAGAGATAGGAGAAAGAAATTAAATGGAGGGCAGGTAGGAAAGCCAACAGCACCACGGAGGGAAGGAAAACAGTCCCAGAGTCCCCGTTGGCTCAGTGCTTGGATTTCACACTCAAAATGCCGACTCACGGGTCAGCTGCTGCTGTCTCCTCTTCCCTTCCCAATTTGGTGGTCATCATAGCTTTAGAAAAGAGCAGTTTGCCAACCTGTGCAGTTGGGCTGAAGATGCAAACTGAATGAATGACAGCTGGAGCACCTCCCCCTCCTCCTCCCTTCGAAACCTCCAGAAGGGGTTTGAGGCAACCCCACCTGCAGTGGGGGCTGAGAAGATGCCAGTGGAAGCACCAGATCCCAGAGGCACCCTGTAGGGTTGCCTGTCTCCTGTGCGCTCAGGGCCTGCCACTTGAAATGAATAAATAAGCTAATGAAGTGGGAGCTTTCTGCAGCATAGTCACACGGTCAGCGCTTGGTGTGGAGGTCAGGGGCCTATTGTGGGCTGCCCCCAGGAACTGCTCGAACCTCTCCTCTCAATCCCTGTCTTTGCAGTGCTCAGTGACCTGTGGAAAAGGCTACAAACAAAGGCTTGTCTCGTGCAGCGAGATTTACACCGGGAAGGAGAATTATGAATACAGCTACCAAACCACCATCAACTGCCCAGGCACGCAGCCCCCCAGTGTTCACCCCTGTTACCTGAGGGACTGCCCTGTCTCGGCCACCTGGAGAGTTGGCAACTGGGGGAGCGTAAGTAGAAGACTGAGCACTCAAATCTGAAAGCCCTTGGATCTCAACCCCGTCTTAAACATGTCCTGCCTAACCCGCTCTCCTTAGTAACTCTACTTCCAGGAGAAACCCTGGAGTTAGCAACTTGAAATGGGCTAACAGGGATCAAAGGGACTTCTTTCTGTTTACCAAAGTGGCTTTGTGCTTAGAACATGGGCTCTGAAGCCAGACAGTCTGGATCTGAACCCTGGTTCTGCCACTTCCCAGGTGAACAACCTTGGGCAAGTTGCATAACCTTTGTGTCTCAGTTTTCTCATCTGCAAAACTGGTAGTTGTGAAGATGAAATGAGTTTACACAGATTGAGCATCCCTAATCCAGAAATCCAAAATCCAAAATGCTATAAAATCCAAACATTTTTTAGTGTCGATATGACACCATAATGAAATGTTCCTTGGAGCATCTTGAGTTTCAGATGCTCAGATTAGGAATATCCAACTAGTAATACTGCAAGTATTCCAAATCTGAAAAAAAAAAAATCTTAAATGCAAAATACTGCTGGTCCCCAGCACTTCCAATAAGGGATACTCAGCCTATATATAAAAAGCACTTAGGTTATAATGGCAAATGTTTTATATATATTTTACTGCAAATTTGTTTTAAAAAAATGCTTAAAATCTGATACTCATAAGAGTTACAGAAGGAGTAGTTATTGTTGCTTATGTTGTTAAGAAGTCTGTATGTTCTAGTGCTTCTATGTAAGAAATACTTCATTGCACTGGGATACAACAAGGCAGAATATTTTAAATTGGGACTGCCCTGGAAGACTGTCACAGCCCCCTGGCTCTGGACCAGGCAGCTCTCAGTCTTGAAAAGTTGTCAGGCAGCCAGGCATGGTAGCTCACACCTGTAATCCCAGCACTTTGAGAGGCCATGGTCGGCGGACCATGAGGTCAGCAGATCGAGACCAGCCTGGCCAACATGGTGACATCCTGTCTCTACTTAAAATATAATTTTTTTATTATTATACTTTAAGTTCTAGGGTACATGTATACAAAGTGCAGGTATGTTACATATGTATACATGTGCCATGTTGGTGTGCTGCACCTATTAACTCGTCATTTATATTAGGTGTATCTCCTAATGCTATCCGTCCCCCTGCCCCCAACTCCATGACAGGCCCCGGTATGTGATGTTCCCCACCCTGTGTCCAAGTGTTCTCATTGTTCAGTTCCCACCTATGAGTGAGAACATGCAGTGTTTGGTTTTCTGTCCTTGTGATAGTTTGCTGAGAATGATGGTTCCCAGTTTCATCCATGTCCCTACAAAGGACATGAACTCATCCTTTTTTATGGCTGCATAGTACTCCATGGTGTATATGTGCCACATTTTCTTAGTGCAGTCTATCATTGGTGGACATGTGGGTTAGTTCCAAGTCTTTGCTATTGTGAATAGTGCCACAATAAACATACGTGTGCATGTGTCTTTATAGCAGCATGATTTATAATCCTTTGGGTATATGCCCAGTAATGGGATGGCTGGGTCAAATGGTATTTCTCGTTCTAGATCCTTGAGGAATAGCCACACTGTCTTCCACAATGGTTGAACTAGTTTACAGTCCCACCAACAGTGGAAAAGCGCTCTTATTTCTCCACATCCTCTCCAGCACCTGTTGTTCCCTGACTTTTTAATAATCGCCATTCTAACTGGTGTGAGATGGTATCTCATTGTGGTTTTGATTTGCCTTTCTCTGATGGCCAGTGATGAGCATTTTTTCATGTGTCTTTTGGCTGCATAAATGTCTTCTTTTGAGAAGTGTCTGTTCATATCCATCGCCCACTTGTTGATGGGGTTGATTTTTTCTTGTAAATTTGTGTAAGTTCTTCATAGATTCTGGATATTAGCCCTTTGTCAGATGGGTAGATTGTAAAAATTTTCTCCCATTCTGTAGGTTGCCTGTTCACTCTGATGGTAGTTTCTTTTGCTGTGCAGAAGCTCTTTAGTTTAATTAGATCCTGTTTGTCTATTTTGGCTTTTGTTGCCATTGATTTTGGTGTTTTAGTCATGAAGTCCTTGCCCATGCCTATGTCCTGAATGGTATTGCCTAGGTTTTCTTCTAGGGTTTTTATGGTTTTAGGTCTAACATTTAAGTCTTTAATCCATCTTGAATTAATTTTTGTATCAGATATAAGGAAGGGATCCAGTTTCAGCTTTCTACATATGGCTAGCCAGTTTTCCCAGCACCATTTATTAAATAGGGAATCCTTTCCCCATTTCTTGTTTTTGTCAGGTTTGTCAAAGGTCAGATGGTTGTAGATGTGTGGTGTTATTTCTGAGAGCTCTGTTCTGTTCCATTGGTCTATGTCTCTATTTTGGTACCAGTAGCATGCTGTTTTGGTTACTGTAGCCTGTAGTATAGTGTGAAGTCAGGTAGCATGATGCCTCCAGCTTTGTTCTTTCGGCTTAGGATTGTCGTGGCAATGCAGGCTCTTTTTTGGTTCCATATGAACTTTAAAGTAGTTTTTCCCAATTCTGTGAAGAAAGGCATTGGTAGCTTGATGGGGATGGCATTGAATCTTTAAATTACCTTGGGCAGTATGGCCATGTTCATGATATTGATTCTTCCTATCCATGAGCATGGAATGTTCTTCCATTTGTTTGTGTCCTCTTTTATTTCGTTGAGCAGTGGTTTGTAGTTCTCCTTGAAGAGGTCCTTCACATCCCTTGTAAGTTGGATTCCTAGGTATTTTATTCTCTTTGAAGCAATTGTGAATGGGAATTCACTCATGATTTGGCTGTTTGTCTGTTATTGGTGTATAAGAATGCTTGTGATTTTTGCACATTGTATTTGTATCCGGAGACTTTGCTGAAGTTGCTTATCAGCTTAAGGAGATTTTGGGCTGAGACGATGGGGTTTTCTAAATATACAATCATGTCATCTGCAAAGAGGGACAATTGGACTTCCTCTTTTCCTGATTGAATACCCTTTATTTCTTTCTCCTGCCTGATTGCCCTGGCCAGAACTTCCAACACTATGTTGAATAGGAGTGGTGAGAGGGGGCATCCCTGTCTTGTGCCAATTTTCAAAGGGAATGCTTCCAGTTTTTGCCCATTCAGTATGATATTGGCTGTGGGTTTGTCATATATAGCTCTTATTATTTTGAGATATGTCCCATCAATACCTAATTTATTGAGAGTTTTTAGCATGAAGTGCTGTTGAATTTTGTTGAAGGCCTTTTCTGCATCTATTGAGATAATCATATGGTTTTTGTGTTTGGTTCTGTTCGTATGATGGATTACGTTTATTGATTTGCATATGTTGAACCAGCCTTGCATCCCAGGGATGAAGCCAACTTGATCATGGTGGATAAGCTTTTTGATGTGCTGCTGGATTCGGTTTGCCAGTATTTTATGAAGGATTTTTGCATCGATGTTCATCAGGGATATTGGTCTAAAATTCTCTTTTTTTGTTGTGTCTCTGCCAGGCTTTGGTATCAGAATGATGCTGGCCTCATAAAATGTGTTAGGGAGGATTCCCTCTTTTTCTATTGATTGGAATAGTTTCAGAAGGATATGGTACCAGCTCTTGTTTGTACCTCTGGTAGAATTCGGCTGTGAATCTGTCTGGTCCTGGACTTTTTTTGGTTGGTAGGCTATTAATTATTGCCTCAATTTCAGAGCCTGTTATTGGTCTATTCAGGGATTCAACTTCTTTCTGGTTTAATCTTGGGAGGGTGTATGTGTCCAGGAATTTATCCATTCCTTCTAGATTTTCTAGTTTATTTGCATAGAGGTGTTTATAGTGTTCTCTGATGGTAGTTTGTATTTCTGTGGGATTGGTGGTGATATTCCCTTTATCATTTTTTATTGTGTCTATTTGATTCTTCTCTCTTTTCTTCTTTATTAGTCTTGCTAGTGGTCTATCAATTTTGTTGATCTTTTCAAAAAACCGGCTCCTGGATTCATTGATTTTTTGAAGGGCTTTTTGTGTCTCTATCTCCTTCAGTTCTGCTCTGATCTTAGTTATTTCTTGCCTTCTGCTAGCTTTTGAATGTGTTTGTTCTTGCTTCTCTAGTTCTTTCAATTGTGATGTCAGGGTGTCAATTTTAGATCTTTCCTGCTTTCTCTTGTGGGCATTTAGTACTATATATTTCCCTCTACACACTGCTTTAATAAAATACAAAAATTTGTTGGGCGAGGTGGTGCGTGCCTGTAGTCCCAGATACTCGGGAGTCTGAGGCAGGAGAATCGCTTGAACCTGGGAGGCGGAGATTGCCGTGAGCTGTGATTGTGCCATTGCACTCCGGCCTAGGCAACAAGAGCAAAACTCTGTCTCAAAAAAAAAAAAAAGAAAGAAAGAAATGAAAAGTGATCAGGCAAAAGTGTATAACGACTTGGAAGCAGTTAGGGTTTGAATCCTGGCTCCACTATGACCTTGAACAAATTCCTTAAATTTGAGCCCCAATCTCCCACCTGTAAAAATAAGATAATGGTAATACTATCTCATAGGGGTACTGTGAGGCTTAAATGAAAAAATTATGTGTGTGTGTGTGTGTGTGTAAAATTACACATATAAGTGTTTTATACATATATATGTTTGTATAAATGCATGAACATGAATCTATAAAGCTTACCACAGGGACTGGCCCATAGTAAGTGCTCAGTAAATGTCAGCTTTTTGTATTCAGCGACACAGGGTCTGAAGTGACACCCTGTACATGATGACATCAGGGCTCTGAGCTCCACACCACCAGAAGCCTATGCCTCCCACATTCCATAGCCACACCGCTGACTCTCATTTGTCTTACAGTGCTCAGTGTCTTGTGGTGTTGGAGTGATGCAGAGATCTGTGCAATGTTTAACCAATGAGGACCAACCCAGCCACTTATGCCACACTGATCTGAAGCCAGAAGAACGAAAAACCTGCCGTAATGTCTATAACTGTAAGTTGGCCAACTGAAGTTATCTTTCTTTAGCATGAAGAACAGGATGTCTTTGTTCATTTGATTGCCTGCCCTTTTTAGAAATATAGAATTTTTTCTGAAGGAAATCATTCGCTTTGCTAAAAAGTTTTAGTGCGAACAATGTCATTCATTCTATAGGCAGATAATTCACATCTCGGATCATCACACCCTATTTTTTGTGATTGGTGTTTTCTAGGTGAGTTACCCCAGAATTGCAAGGAGGTAAAAAGACTTAAAGGTGCCAGTGAAGATGGTGAATATTTCCTGATGATTAGAGGAAAGCTTCTGAAGGTGAATGTCAGACACCAGTCATTATTTCAAGAATGTTTTTAGAGTGAGTGATCACCGCTCTCATTACCTCATTTCTGAGCCACTCTTCATGGGTTATTTATGGTCTTTCAGATATTCTGTGCGGGGATGCACTCTGACCACCCCAAAGAGTACGTGACACTGGTGCATGGAGACTCTGAGAATTTCTCCGAGGTTTATGGGCACAGGTAGGAGAGCCAGGCTCAGAAGATCTCAGAGGCCTGGAGATCCCTGGAAATGCTTTCCCATCCTTACCAGAACATTCTCTGTATAATTTAGGTTACACAACCCAACAGAATGTCCCTATAACGGGAGCCGGCGCGATGACTGCCAATGTCGGAAGGATTACACGGCCGCTGGGTTTTCCAGTTTTCAGAAAATCAGAATAGACCTGACCAGCATGCAGATAATCAGTAAGTTAGTGAGGAGTCCTTTGGGAACGTGTGCGTTCTTCTCTCCATTCAGACAGCAAGCATGTCTTGCACATTGGCTAGCAGGGAGGTGCGTATTGCACATTGCACATTGCACATTGGCTAGTATGGAGAGGAAGAACATTGGGAGCTTACAGTGCAGCGAGGATAGTCCTGCAGGCAGTTTTGTCTCTTTTGTTCACTGCTGTATTCCCCAGTGCCTGGAAAGTGGCTCGCACAAGGCAGGTGCTCTCTCCGATTTGTGATGAATGAACTGAATGAATGAATGAATGAATGAAGTAGGTGAAAGTGCATGAAAGAAGCACCATTGAAATGTGGGAGGTCAGGGCAGCATTCCAGAAAATATGACATTGAAATAGAGACCCTAAGGTCAAGTTAGGGTTAGCCAGGCACAGGGGTCAGTGTGGGGGAAGCAGAGCTGGTAGCAGAAGTGTTCAAGGTAGAATAAACAGCAGATACAAAACCCCAAAGCCAAGAAATTCATGGGCAACATTCACCACCCCCAGCCCAGCTTTCGCCAGCACAGTGTACATGCTTACACAGACGTAAAACTAATTTTATTCAGTCGTCAATGTGCAGAAGAAAAATGGAACACAGAATTACCTTTTCTAAACTAGCCTGTGTGTGGGCTGATTTCATACTCTCGCCAACACTGCATCTCTGTTGGGGACATTAATCATAGGAGTGGTTAAAGACAGCTAAAATACCTCAACATGTTCCCTTGCATAAAGGAAAAACAGAAATAATGAATAATTAATTTTTCCTCATTAACATTATACCCATAATATTGCATTCCTTTTCTCTTGAGATAGATTAAACGTGATTTGTACCAAGATACTTTAAATTTCCTTGAGCTAGAATGATGAGGGGTAAAGGCAGAGGGTCTGCAGTTTCTCCACTTAGGAAAACACCCCAGCTAAGACCCAAGGGTTCTACATGCTGAAGCAGGCAAGGTCCCCTTTCCTTGCAGAATGGAGCACTGGGATTTCCCTCTCACCAAAGTGTAGTGAACTGTAGGAAGATTAAGGCCATTCCTGAAAGACGAGGCAGAAAGATGAAACCTGCCTCTGGCCTCCAGTCTCCCTGGCAGACAGCTTTTGCAGGATTCTCGGGTTAACTCCTCCCTTTGCATGTGCAGAGCTCATCTCAGGAGCTACAGTAGGGGTTAACAACGTGCACTTTGGGTTAGCCTTGTATTTATTGGCTCTTTAAAAAATAAAAAATTACAGGCTAGCCCCGAACTTGAGAAACTGCTGTCAATAATTTCAAGATGGGGGTTCTAATTGCGCCACATTTTGGCAATAATACTGCCTAGGCAACAGGAGGACAGAGGAAACCTCAGGGAATCGCTCCTAAGTAGCTGGAAATGCTCTCTTCCTGGCTTATTTCCCCCTGGCCTGAAGCCTGTGATGCAGGATAACAGGAGGTTCTCAGCCAGCCAATTACGCTACATTTAAGTGAGGTGATTCACATATTTATTTATGTAGGAATCAATTCCAAAGTCATTTGAAACCCCCTTTTTGGCTTCCATACTGTGGGGAGACAGACATTCGGGGCTGATGAAGCTCGGGGAATGAAGCTCGCAGAACCACAAATATAATCAGGAAAAAGCAAGTGAGCATCTGGATCCATTTACCCACTAATATTTCACATTGCTTCTTTCTCTCCCATTCCCTCTTATTCTTCTTCTTCCCTTCTGTCTCCTTGTTAATGTCCTGTTCCTTCCTTGCCTTTCTCCCACTCTTACCTTCCCCTGCCTTTAACCCCTTCTCCACCCCACAGCCACTGACTTACAGTTTGCAAGGACAAGCGAAGGACATCCCGTCCCTTTTGCCACAGCCGGGGATTGCTACAGCGCTGCCAAGTGCCCACAGGTATGTCCTTGGTGCCTTCCCCCTTGCCAGGGATTCACCTCCCACCTTTCCCGGGAACATCCTCAGTTGCATCTGTTCCTGGGAATGTGATTAGAACAGTTGCTCTAGAGGGCAGTTTGGCCACATGTATCAAGACCCTCTCAAATGCTCTGGAGTCTAATCTCGTAATTCAGCTCCTGAAAGTGGGTCCTAAGGAAATGATCATAGCTACATGCCTAACTTCTGCATTCAACAAAACACGCCAACTTAGAAACAAATTAGATGTCGGTTAGCGAGGGCTTGGTTAAACAAATTATGGTGGTAAATAAAATGAATATTGTACAGTCAGCGGAGTGCTAGTAAATATTTAATGACTGACACTTCTAAAAAAAAAAGGTCCTGCTTTGTAACATTTGTCAATTGCCATGGTGTAAATATTCTCCCTATAATTGATTTCAAGCCGTCAACATTATGTCACTAAATGGAGGGCTAGGAAGAAGGCAGACAGTTGACTCTCAAAAGCCAGTTCAAGCACGTGCCAACACACCACTGTCAGCCTTTATGAATCTGAATATTGCATGATATAGAAAAACACTTTACATGGATTAGACAGAAAAAACAAGATGCAAAACACTACATGCAGTATGATCCCATCTGTATTTTCTTTTAATGTATAAACAGAAAAAGTCTGGAAGGACTTTTTCAAAATATTAGTTGGGTGCATTGGTAAGGTTTTTTTTTTTTTAATTTAATGTTTAACTTTGCCGGGTTTCCTAAATTTTTCAGAGTAAGCATGAAACCAATTTTTAAAAAAATAAATAAAAGTTGGACGGGGAGATCTCAAAATTTTCAAGACTTATCTGGGTTTCCTTTGGTTCCTGAATGGTAGTCAGAAATGGCTCTAGAATAGTCTTAGCAACAAAACAGCTGACCTTTCTCAAGTGCTCACTTTGTGCCAGGCACCATCCTTTTTACTGGAGACTCACAAACATTCATCCCTTGAGAAATCTGTAGCCTATTAGAGAGGATGACAGGTTAACGAATATCCATGAGATAATAATATATTCTAGAAGTCCTCCGGGACCAAGGCTTGCGGCTCTGTGGATGTCATTGACTCAACCTGTTACCCCTACTTCAGTTCTACAACGTCTGCAGTGTTCGGACCAGAAGTGCAAATTCATCATCTTCTGTTGGATGGCTTTTCAGCGGAGCCACTCAGCAGCAATCTTTCTGCCCATTCTGTGGTTCTACACTTTCTTGCCTGAGAGAGGCGTGGCAAGTTTTAGCTTGTCTTTTGAAACATTTTGTCATAATCAGCTCGGGCTAATTTTGCAAAGCAGACGTTAGTCTTTACAAGAAGCTTCTGCCCTTGGAAGGCAGGACAAACATAATGAACTCAGTGATTCTGGGCAGGAGAACTTGGCCAGTTTTCTCTTAGGTTTAAAGGAGGTCTTCACAAAGCTGTTGTTAAACTCTGTCAAGAGTTTCTTACTTTGCCTGTGAACCTTCAAAAGTCTGAAGACTGGGATTCTGTGACGCGTTCAGAATCCCAAGCCCTGTCTCCATAGGATGGATTTACCCCCAACTACAGAGAACGTCCGAAGACAAACACATCTGAACGTTGTTTTAACGAGGCGTTTTTTCGGCCTCAAGCTTTAGAAGAGCATTGCTAAACGTTTTAGAGAAGTGGAGAGGAAGCTCTCAGGAGAGAAGGAAAATAAACAAAGGACATAATGGTAAAAAGAGCCTTTCTTCCATTACCCAGGAATCAAAAACTTTTGAAGTACAGTTTTTTTTAGGGCAATTGATGGCTTCAAAAACCCCATTGGTATCTGTTGCATTTTAGTGGCTAACAGATTGGCCCTGTCCTGCCTTTTTCAAATGTCTCAGGATTTTCTTGTTTCTATATGCACATCCTTTGGGAAGCTTAAGTAAATGAAAAGTAACTTGCATTCATTTATTTTAATAATTCAGAGACAAATGAACTGATTGATTTGCTAAATCCTGACAATGAAGCAATTCCTAAATGAGAAAACCCAAAGCTTGAGAGAGGCTAATTTGTATTTTTTCCCAGCTCATTCTTCAAACCATATTGGGTACTTTAAGAATTCAATTCCTTAGACACATATTGAGCACCAGCTACACTGATGCAAGATGTGAGTTTTTCAAATCAGTTTTCCAGGAAAAGGTTTGTAGAAAGCGTGATTGTGGAGACTGCTTCGGAGTAGGTGGTTCAGCCTTTGACCTAGTGATTGCACAGAAATCAAAGCAGAATGATGTTGTGTTTGAGAATTTCTTTCTTTTACCTCATTGACCACTATTGCTTTGTGGATGTATTTATTAATAAGAGTGGATTCCCCGACAGCCCTCATCTTGAAACATAACCAGAATATTTTTTATCCTGATGACAGTAGATGTGACACTATTATTATTGATGGTATTAATAGCTAGCATTTATTATGCGTCTTTGCTTTAGTCACTGTACTCAGTATTGTCTACTCAATGTAGCATTTAAATCACCACAGTATTCTATGAAAATGCCTCCTTTTTAAAGAGGAGGAGGGTAAGGAGTAGAAATTGGGAGGATTTGCCCAAACCTACACAGCTGCCGCTCAGTAGAGTCTGGATTTGAACCTAAGTGTGTCTGAATTCATATCCATGATAGTAGACATGTCTTTTTGATTCTGTTTTCAGGCAAGATTTCTGCAACATTTGCTCCTGTACAACAGAAAACAGGATTATCCTTTGGTCTAAGCACATCTTTTGCAAACCTTTACGGACCAACTAGTAAACGTATAACTCTCAATCACTCTTCTTTAGAATAGGCAACAGAAGGTGGTATTTACAACTCATGTGCCCTTTAGACCTTGAAGATAAGGCCTTTAAGGGCAAAGATGTCCCAGAGCAGAGCCAGAAAGAACATTAGGTCTTTACTTCTCTGGTGGAACTCAACTTTCAGAGTGCTAACAATCAGCTAGGACATTTGCTGAAATGCAGATCCCTAAACTGGAAAGGGCAGAAGGAGAATGAGGAGGATGATCTCCTGTTGCATCTGGGTTCATCAACCCCTCTGGGAAGGCAGACTTAGTAGACGTATATATTGAGCATGTTCAGACACTGGACGCCCAGGTCGGCTGGGGGCATTGTCCAGAAAGAAGCTGGGTCAGCCGCCTGGACCTCCGGAAAACTTCAGTGCCAAAGCAGATCAAGTCTCCTTTCTCTTGCAGTGCAGGTGGGACAGGCAGTCTGAGTGGAAAGCAGAATGGAGGGAGAAAAGAGGGACATTCTTGGCACTAGGATGGCCTGGGCACTTTGAGTTATGTGGACCCACTCCTGGGGGCAGGAATGATAGTAAGATAAGAAAATTTTGGGGGGAGGGGGTGGCAGGTGCGGTGGGTCATGCCTGTAATCCCAGCACTTTGGGAGGCTGAGGGAGGTGGATCACTTGAGGTCAAGACCAGCCTGGCCAACATGGTGAAACTCCATCTCTACCAAAATAAAAATTAGCTGGGCGTGGTGGTGCACACCTGTAGTCCCAGCTACTCAGAAGGCTGAGGTAGGAGAATCATTTGAACCCGGGAGGCAGAGGTTGCAGTGAGCCAAAATTATGCGACTGCACTCCAGCCTAGGTGACAGAGTGAGACCTTGTCTCAAAAAAAAAAAAAAAAAAAGAAAAGAAAAGAAAAGAAAATGGCCAATGGAATAATGCAACATACAGAATCCGGTGTCTGAGGGGGCTTCAGTGCAGCTACAATCAAAAACACCTGAGCATGGCAGCCATGCCACATAAGAACCATGAACCTCTGTAGCATATTGTCATAAAAATGTCATATGTATATATATGTGAGATGGAATCTCACTCTGTTGCCCAGGCTGGAGTGCAGTGGCACAATCTGGGCTCACTGCAACCTACACTTCCTGCCTTCAAGCTATTCTCCTGCCTCAGTCTCCCGAGCATCTGGGATTACAGGCACACACCACCATGCCCAGCTAATTTTTGTATTCTTAGAAGAGATGGGGTTTCACCACGTTGGGCCAGGCTGGTCTTGAACTCTCAGCCTCAGGTGATCCACCTGCCTCAGCCTCCCAAAGTACTAGGATTACAGGTGTGAGCCACCACACTCAGCCCAAAAATATTTTTTAAATATTACCTACTGTCTGCCAGGTAATGCGTGACGTGCATTGTGCCTTCTGTCTAATCACCTCCTATTCACAGGTTAAGTCTTACTAATCCATTTTACAGATGATCTCCTTGCCTGAGGTCATGCTGAAAGTAAAGAAGGGAGCAAGATTCTAGGGTAAATCTACCCTTTGTACCAGGTTTTCAATCAGCCTCAGCACTTTTCGGGCTGGAGAATTCTCTATTGTGGGCTGTCCTGTGCATCGCAGCAGCATCCTTGGTCTCTACCCGCCAGATGCCAACAGCAGCACCATTCCCTGCCCCCCCACAGTTGTGACAAACAAAAATGTTTCCAGACATTGCCAGATTTCCCCTGGGGTCAAAATCGTGCCCTGTTGAGAACCACTGATTTAGTCCAAACTAAGTCCTCTGGTCACCTCTATCTTGTGGAATCTAGCACTCCAGAAGTGTTTATAAACTTTTGTTAGTCAATATTTATGGAACTGGCATTGAGAGACCTCTAAGCTACACTTAGTCCTGGAAATCTTAATTGAGGAGCTGGGATATAATATTTAAGTGGCTAGTCGTATGTTACAAACCATAGCTGATTCAATAAACAAAGCAATAGTAAGGCCCTGCTCTCAATAAGCTTACTGTTACATTGAAGAGATCACACGAACACTTACAAAACAATTAGAAAATGTAAGACAGATACCATCTTTTTGCATATCTACTAAGCGCCAGCCATAGCTGATTTCTTTTAGTCCTCTGTACGGTGCTCAGAGGGAAGAGAGTTTTAGTGCTTTCCATTTTACAGATGAATAAACTGAGGTTCCAAGAGGTGAGAAAAGATCTGGCCAGGATCCAATCACAGGTGAAAGAATTTTTCTTACACGCGGGTCTGATCAGCTGTGAGCTCCTCCTTGCCTCTCTTCTTGTTTATAAAAGACTGTTTTGACAAAGTGCTGGTTTGTCAGTTTCAGAGAGAAAGCAATCAGGAGTGTTCATGTGGAATATTTTTAGCTCTGAAACTGCTCATTGTGGAGTAGGAAGCCTCAAGAAGAAAGTATTTCAGATGCCTTTGCGAGTCATTTTTGAAAGAGAGAGTGAGAGAGACAATTGGAGAAAGCAGCGAGAGGGTCTTTCTGCTGCACCGTCTCTTTAGAAATCAATATTGAGGCACCAGAGGCCATGTTCTGAAAGGCACCCTCGGAGGGGAGGGGTTTGGGAGATCTCCCTTACCGGAGCCTGAAAGCCGCATCCTCCAGGCCCAGGTGGTCTTGAGCAGGCCAACCCTGCCCTCTGCTGACCGTCCTGGGGAAAGCGCCTCTTCTTTGAAGTCCCGCCCTGCTGTGCTTAGTACGCGGTGTGCTAATCGCCCCAGGGAGCTGGAAGCCCAGGAAGCTTGGCACCAAGATCTTGTTAGAAAAATTACACTGTGACATTTTGTTCCTGAAGGAATCTGATAATTGTGAGCAACATCAGGACTGCTGTGTTAGGGAGGCCGAATGGAGCAAGGACTTTGAAGTCAGGAGGATGTGAGTTGGACTCCTACCGTATCCTGGAGAAGTTAATCACTTCCGCTAAGCCTCAGTTTCCCTATCTGTAAAGAAAACCTCCTTCGTAGAGCTCTTTCGAGGATGACTAACATGATGCATGAAGAATGGCTGGCCCTGAACAAACAAAACTAAATACTATCAATAATTAGTAGCTATCACAATTAATCAACATCCTTCTCTTTTCCAAAGTACCTTTTATTGTATCACCTTTGCCTTTGCTTTTTTGAGGACATCACATGGACTGAAAATCTCTTTTGTTGGTCGTGTTTTCCAGGGTCGTTTTAGCATCAACCTTTATGGAACCGGCTTGTCTTTAACTGAATCTGCCAGATGGATATCACAAGGGAATTATGCTGTCTCTGACATCAAGAAGTCGCCGGTAAGGTTCTACAGATGGGTTGGGAGATGAATTTTTATTTCTTTCTTTCGTTCTTGTCTTTATTACTGTGGTAGTGGTGCTGAAGGAGCAAACGAATGTGCTTTCCCACTTAAGCCATTTTGTAGTGTCAGGAAGACCATTTAGGAAATAAACCTAGGGTGCAGTGTTTACACGTGATTAAAGTGTGAGAGCCTTGTTCACTTCTGGTGAATTCTTCCTCGAGAGGTGAACATATGAACCATCCAAGTAATTAGAAAAACCACCTAACCAGGGAGGTAAAAGCAGGAAGAAGCCTCTGTCGAGAGTGTGGCTCAGATATCTTTCAGTTAGCCAGCTTGCGGTTCGTTCTATGAACCGAGGGGAAATGACCTCTTCTTTTTATTTAGAAAAATTGAAATACAGATGGAGCTAGAAGACAGATAACTTATTAAGCGATATATCTGGAGAATTAGAGATACACAGGGTCTACAATAATAAGTTTTTCACCCTCTAAAATCTGGGTGGTTAAGGTGTGGTCTACGCAGTGCATCAGTGTCACCTGGGGGCCCGTTGGAAATGCAGGTTCTGGGTCCCAGACCCTAGTGAGTCAGAGTCTACAGCTGAACAGTGTCTCAGGTGGTGATGGGCACAGTACAGCTTGAGAAACACTGTGCTGTGCAGATGGTCCCTGACTTACGACGGTTCCACTTGATTTTTCAACTTCACCATGGTTCAAAAGCAGAACACGCTCGGTAGAAACCCTACTTCAGGTACCGATACAGCCGTTCTGTTTTTCACTAAGTACAGTATTCAATCAATTACACAAAATATTCAACACTTTATTATAAAATAGGCTTTGTGTTAGATGATTTTGCCCTGCTATAGGCTAATGCAAGTGTTCTGAATACATTTAAGGTAGGCTAGCCTAGGCTGTGATGTTCAGAAAGTTAGATATATTAAATGCATTCTTGACTTAATGATATTTCCAACTTGCGATGTGTTTATTGAGACATAACCCCATTGTAAACTGAGGAGCGTGTCGACTGTGTACTGTTTCTCACCGTGGGTGTATAGTAGAATCACCTGAGGAATTTTTAAATGCACCTGCCCAGGTCCTTCCCACACAGATGAGCTGAATCGGAATCTCTAAGGGTGGGGGGACCTGGCAGGAGTAGAATTTAAAGCTCCCCAAATGATTCAAATGTACAGCCAGGTCAGAAACCGCTGCCACTTACAGCCTTCCCTCTGAAGTCCTGAGAACGTGGGGCAGAAACCCGGCTCGTGGAAAAATGTCTAAGTTTACCCAGGCATGGCCCATTTCTCCCGTCCCATCTCAGCCAGGAGCCCTGCCTGGGGTTGCCTCAGAAATAGGGGAAGACAAAGAAGAGAGCTGGGAAAGTAGGGTTTTATTACAAGGCAGAACGGCCAGATAAAATACAGGACACCCAGTTAAATTAGAATTTCAAATACACAGTGAGGATCGCCTGATCCTAAGAGTTCGAGACCAGCCTGGGCAAGGTGGTGAGACCCTGGTTTTGCAAAAACTTTAAAAATTAGCTGGGCATGGTGGTGCATGCCTGTAGTCCCAGCTACTTGGAGGTTGAGGTGGGAGGATCCCTTGAGCCCAGGATGTCAAGAGGGCAGTGAGCCATGATTGCGCGACTGCACTCCAGGCTGGGCTGCAAAGTGAGACACCATCTCTTTTTTTTTTTTTTTAAGTACACAATGAACACTGTTTACAATAAGTGTACTGTTATCACTACATGGGACATAGTTATACTAAACATGTATATGTTGTTTATCTGAAATTCATACTTAACCAAGCATCCTGTATTTTTATTTTCTAAATCTGAAAACCCTATTGCAAATACTTCTACCTAATCAAAATAAGACTATAAAAAAGCAGCTCAACCTGCCTCCCTCACCTGAGAAAGAGGAGAAACGTCCAATTGGGACATTCCAGGAAAATCTGTTTCCTGATCTCTTTTTCTAGCTGCCATGATTAAGTTTGTGTCTGTGAAAAAAAGCTATCTCACTCTCTCTCTTCTCCATCTCAGCCAATCAATGTCCTCAAATCCGATTAACTAAATAGTCATATTGATTACTTGTAAATTAGTCATTAAATATTTTTCCTTGCACTGAAAGGAATAAAGATAGCTGAGAGAGAGTGCATGAGCTTTAGAATGTGCCCCGAAATTATAATGTTCTTTCCCCATTCCTTCCCTCCAAAATCTATACATTATGTTTCTTTTCTCTTGACAAATAAAAATCGTATATTTTTATCGTGTACAACATGATGTTTTGAAATACACTGTATGTTTCAGTGACCCAGAACCAAAAAATTTGCCTGTCTAGTGCCACTGCACTGCAGCCTGGGTGATAGAGTGAGGCTCTGTTAAAAAAATAAGTAAATAAATAAATAAAAATGTGATTGTAGGAAACCCATGTAGATAAACTGTAACCTAAATTATAATTTTATTCGTTAGATAGTTACTACCGTTTCAGCCAGAAACTAAAAATAATTAAAGCCAGGAGCGCCACCTTATGGAAAGAATGATCACTACACTGGCTGTTCCCCAAGACTTTTGGGAGATGCCTGGGCTGGAGGGAGCTGGGTATGACAATTGCCTGTCGGCATTTTTTTTTTTTTTTTTTTTTTTAAATCTTGGTGTTCCTTGGCAGTTCAGAGAGTGTGAGCTCAAAATTAATCTCCAGGGCCTGTCGAGTACTCCTCATGAATATCTGGGAGCTGGGACTGAGCCCTCTCTAGCCCCCGGCTGTCTGGAGAAATGCTGTCTGACTTCCCCCGTGTGGTCCAGAGAAGCATGTCCTAGCAATGCTACCTGAAAATAGGCTTCCACCGCCCAACACTTTTGGGAGAAAATGCTAGTATATTGTATTTCCTTCCTGAAGAGTCACAGTAAGCATTAGCATGTGAGGTGGGACTAAATTATACAGGAAATAAACCTGTGTGACTTTAGCCAGCATTCCACTAAAGCAGTGGTTCTCAAACTCAGGAGTGCTTCACCATCACCTGCAGGGCTTGTGAAAACACAAGCAGGTGGCCAGATGTAGTGCCTTGTGCCCATAATCCCAGCACTTGGGAAGGCTGAGGCAGGAGGATTGCTTGAGCCCAGGAATTCAAGACCAGCTTGGGCAACACAGGGAGACCCAATCTCTACAAAAAAAAAAAAAAAAAAAAAATTAAATAACTGACTGTGGTGGTGTGCACCTGTAGTCTTAGCTACTCAGGAGGCTGAGGTGAGGATGAGCCTGGGTGGTCAAGGCTGCAATGAGCCATTATTGTACCACTGTACTCCAGCCTGGGCAACAGAGTAAGACCCATCTCAAAACAAAACAAAACAAAACCCACCACATGATCAGTCTGAGGAGAGGCCAGAAATTGACATCTGTAACCATTTCCCTGGTGATGCTGATGCCCCTGATCTGGAGTCACATTTTGAGAACCACTAACCTAAATGAAGCCAAGCACAAAAACTTCTTTTCGAAGTTACAGCTTGTAATTTCCCCCAAATAACCAGGGTTCCATGAAACACACTTCAAGAATTGTGCCATATCCTGTTCCCACTCGATACCTACTACGATCTGGCCCCCGAGGGCCTGTGGCCCAGTCTTCTCTGGGATGCTCAGACCCTGGCCAGTTATAATACTCTCTTTTCCAAATAGCCCTGTTTCAGCTCTCAAATAATCATTCCTCACTTTCTTTTGCTTTTCTGCCAGGAGTTACAGAAGGGAAAAAAAAAAATGAAAACCTCAATTTTCCAAACCTCCTTGGCAATAAAATGTTTTCCCCAAGCAAAACTAAAGGAAAGCTGTATTGATTCAGGTAAAACTAGATCTCCAGTACCACTTGAAGAACAGTAACGCTGTCTCACTTCCAAGAGCAGAACTGGTCAAAATCAGTCTCAATATCAAGTTCACTGTTGACTTCCTTGTGAACAATGGAGAGCACTCTTTCTCTGGTTTTAACCTAATTATGGTTAAAATAGCTACTATTTATTGGGCAGCTTACATACATTAAATCTGTGTCTTCCTCCCAGCTGTGCTGTCACCAGGAGATTGGGATAACAAGGTGAGAATAAGGTCAAATTCTTGGGATGTTAAGTTGAGCAGGTGGTGGGATCAGCCTCTCCAACCTGCCGCAACTCAGCCCTTGGTGCCACAGTGAAAACCGTCAGTGGCTGCAGAGCCCAGAGGTGAAGCACGTGGACTCTGAAATCTGACTGCCAGAGTCTGTGCCCACTGGCTCTGCCATCTTGGGCAAGTTATTTAACTTCCAGGAAAATGGGGGTGGGGAGAGGGGGGACTCAGTTTGTTCATCTATAAAATGGGGACTGTAGTGGCCCCTTTCTCATTGACTTATTGTGAAACATAAATGAAATAAAAATGTAAAGCTGTTGGTATCCTACTGGGCAAATAGCAGGAGCACAAGTACTGGCTATTAATGTTATAACGTTTTCATAGCCCTGAGGTTTGCCATATTGTTTCGGAAGTTGGCCAAGGTGACTAAGGAAGGGAGCTGGCTTGAGATAGCTGGTGGGAAGGACATCGAACTGCAGTGTAAGCCCGGGCTTAGCCTGTCCACATGGCTGCCACCTGACCCCAGGAATAAGTCGTGTGAGACACCCCTTGGTTGGGGGTGGACTTCAGGGCAAATGTTTTAGCTGCACCAGCTCAGCTAGGGGTCGTAAAGTTTCTCCTCACTCTGCTTAGATATCTGCATGAGGGACAGACAGACAGAAAGGAGGCCATGGCCCAGAGATGAAGGCTGAAAGAAAATGTCAGAATTTCAAGCTCCTCTGCCAGCAACGCTGTATACCCTCAACTCTCCAACGTGTGGGAATGTGAAAGTTCCCTTCAGCCCCACCCAGAATTCCACCACAGCTCCCCATGCCCATTCTCAGAGCTACCCATTTTGGTCTCTTCCAGGTAGAAGATTCTGGAATAGGCCTTCAGAGACAGGCAGCATGAAAGGATGATCACGTCCTGGCTGGGTGTGAGAGGCGCTTACGGGGCTTTTTGTCTTCCTTGTGTGCCAGAGGAATTTTCAGGGTCAGGGAAGAACTAGGGCCACTGTTCTAAGAGATATGGTCTAACAGACATTCCTGGGCTAGAGCAAGGGCTGTAAATCAAAGAATTGCTTTGAAGTTAAAAAATAACGAAAGTTGTGTTACCATAGAAGAGATGGATTCAGTTCCTATCCTTCAATTCACTTGCAAACAGTGGAGTTCAGGCACCTGAAATAAACACACATGTGTACACACACACATGCTCAGTGCAGCCCACTCTCATGTTTCGACCTGGGCTGCCTCCGAACTTGCTGTCAGCTTATGAAAATCCAACTATCCACCAAGTGTAAAAATCATACCACAGACCAGTAGAGTAAAATGCTGTACATTTACATTTTAGGTAGTCTAATTTTTATTCTGTATATTCCTATAGAAATTAGACATTTATGCATATGTTCATATATACATAAGTGTCCAGGGCTATATTCAGAAAAAAAAACCCTATATGCTGTGTTTTATGGGCAATTTCAGGGACATTCAACGATAAATTTCATTGCATGTAATCTTGACCCAGGCAGATTTTAGCCCCATAATCATTATAAACATTATACCATAATCATTATAATCTCTGTTCATTACTATCTGTATGGATTTTCTTATCAAAATCCCCACCTCCACCCCCAACTCAGCTTGCTTCTACCACCAGCATCCTCTGACAACTTTAAATAAGTCTTTAAATTAGCACACTCCAGTCAAAGGTATGCTGGTCTTCCTAAATCAAAGAAGCCAATCTGCCTTCCTCATATAGATTGAAAAAAATAGAAGAATTAGTGAAAAGTATGAAATACAAACTATTCTTAATGGAACAGAGATTCATTCATTTAATTATATGTAATAGCTCAAACCAGGCTAACAAAATAATCATCGAAAAGAGATTTTTAGAAGGCCTGCTTTAATGAAGAAATAAAAATTAGTGTTTTAAGGAATGTGAGTGGGTGCTTCTAATATATTTCTTTTCTGAAATAGTCACTGTCTGCTTGACAATTGGGTTTTTGGTATTTACTTGCTCCGTGTGGCTGTTTTTATTCTTTAGGATCAATAAGTTTTAGCTCAGCCTTTATCTAAATTAAATAATGGAATCCCACTTAAGGAGATAGCAATAATGGTATAAATCCAGTATTGGCTTTATTTTTTAAATTTTATAGTTTTATAATTACCCAGACTTTTACCCATTTCCCTGAAAACAGGCTATGATGGATATTTACACATTAAAAATACCTTTATGATAATAGCAGTTAATATTCATTGAGCACATATATTAGGCCAAGTACTATGCTAAGCACATTACATGCATTATCTCCTTTACAGCAAACCCGTGATGGGGTACTATTATTATCCCTATTTTACAGATGTACCAGGAACTGAGGCGTAAAGAGGTTGTTCAAGATGTAGTACAAGCTCCAGGCAGTCTGATTCAGGTTAGCTCCTCTGCTGGGTCAGGAGAGTTTGAGTAAAGCATAAGTTTTGATGATACAGAAGACATTCTTTGTCTGCCTGTATCGTGAAGGCCCTGGCCCTATACTTAAGCCAGGTGAGAAAGTTCTTCACTGAAGACCAGTTAGTCTGGCATCAAATTCAGTTGCTGGTGGTATGGGCCAGCTCCAGAACTACCACAGGCCTCTAAAACCAAGACCAGGTGGGAGGATAGAAATAACTCTCCCAACTCAGTTCCATTCATCATCAAATGCCTACGAATTTTTAAGAATTAAGAGAAACTATTTTATCCTATTTTATTGTTAAACTGGCACTGTTTTTCTTTTTCTTTCTTTGGTATTTTTATCGATATATCATAGTTGTGCATATTTTTGGTTATACTAGTGATATTTTGATTCGTGTATACAATGTGTAATAATCAAATCACGGTAAGTGGGATACCCAACACCTCAAACATTTATCTTTTCTTTGAGGTGGGAACATTACAATTCTTCTCTTCTAGCTATTTTGAAATATACAATTATTGTTAACTATCTATAGTAAATATATTTATAATAATATATACTATATATTGTATTATTTTATTATAATATATAGTATAGCATATCACACATAAGATTATAATACATTATACTATATATTATATTATATAAATATAAAATATATAAAATATTTTTATATAAATTTTATACATAAATTTTATATAAATGTTTATTATATTATATTATATTGGTAAATATAATTTTTCTACTGTACTATTAAATACTATAACTTGGCTGGGCACGGTGGCTTACGCCTGTAATCTCAGCAGATCGGTTGAGGTCAGGAGTTCGAGACCAGTCTGGCCAACATAGTGAAACCCTGTCTCTACTAAAAATACAAAAATTAGCCAGGTATGGTAGTGCACACCTGTGGTCCCAGCTACTCAGGAGGCTGAGTCAGGAGAATCGCTTGAACCCGGGAGGTGGAGGTTGCAGTGAGCTGACATTGCGCCATTGCACTGCAGCCTGGGTGACAAGAGCAAGACTCTGTCTCAAAAAAATAAAAATAAAATAAATACTATAACTTATTTATTCTAATTATATTTTTGTATTCATCTTCCTTTTTTAAAATGAGATTATCCATTGTTTTCAAGAGGCTTTCTTAGTTCAGCTGTGTGAAGCAAATCTTCATGACTTTTGACTTAGTTCTGAGAATGTAACCCCAAAAAATCCTAAAATGTAGGCACAAATATGTTCATCATAGTGTTATTTCCAGAAGTGGAAAATATGCAATATTGTGCAGGCGCAGAGGGTGGAGGGGTGGAATTATGTGACATGGTTATTATACAAAATGGAATATGAGGCCATAATTAAAGAAGGACTTTTTCATAGCATGGTAAAGCATAAGGGGAACTGATCAGCAGGGCATTCTTAACTACACTTCCAAAAGAAGAATTCAGCTTCAGCCTTTCATTCATTCATTCATTTAACAAATGTATATTTCGTATCGTTATGAGCCACACACTGTGGTAGGTTCTGGATACTCCCAGGTTTTAACAAGGTATTGGTCTTGTCATAATGGAGCTGACATTCCAGTAGGAAGACAGATGTTAAAGAAAGAATTACCCATTTACAGGGTGCTTTGCGGCAGATAACCAGGTCAGGAAGGTTTCTCAGAAGAAATGGGCTTTGAACTGAGTTCTGAAGAATTTACCAGGCCAAAATTGAGGTGGTACAGTATGCACAGAGAGGGAGAGAGAGGAGAACTCCAATCAGAGAGAATGGCACATGCAAAGGCCTTGTAATGTATGGGACATATCAGAAGAATAACAAAAAGAAATGCATGTGTTGAGTACAGAATGGTACCAGATGAATCTGCAGAGGCAAAGACAGACTCTATGGAGCGCAGGTCTTTAGACTAGGAGTTGGCATACTTTGTCTACAAAGTGCCAGATAGTAAAGATTTTAGTCTTGAAGGGCCAAGAGGCAAAATCAATGGTATATTTGTATGTCAAGAGAGAAAACAAATTTGCACAAAATTTTTTTATTGGTCAAATTCAAAATACAATCATAATAACTGAGTATAGCTTTTTCTAATACAGATCACCTGAGGAGATGAATGGGATATTGGGGGAGGAAAATATTTCGCTTAATTAGTGTTCTCTATTATCAAAATAGATTGTAAATGTTTATCTGTTAATGCTGACGTGAAATGAGATATTATGTATTTCAATCTTTCTAAATGCCTTTCTACATGCATTGATATTGCCAAACACTGATATCTGTCCATAACCATATAATGTTAATTAAGCATATTCATGGCTTGGCAGGCAAGTAAAGAATTCTATCAGAGTTTTCTCTTGATAGTTGCCTTTTAGCATGTCACTACATTGCATATTAATCACTTGCAATTGAAAATGAGATTGAAGCTCCTCAATTGCTAGTTAAATGGATTTTGACATAAAAAGATTTCCTTTGCATTTATATCAAAGTCTGAAAAACAGTGCTGGAACTGCAGTTTAAGCTCAGAAAATATATCCACTTTAAATTTGTGTGTAATAGAGAAGACATTTCCTGTTTTAACTTTTGACAGCATGGGAAGTGTATAAAACAATCTAACGTTACTTGTGATCCAAACAGTATTATCAGTGAAATTACTTTATCACTGTATAAGTTTTGCCTATAAGAACAGTTTTGCCTTGTAATTTTAGGTACAATCCATTGAGAAACATGATCAACTCTGAAGCAAAAGCTAATATTCAGAGCCATTAAGTGTTGAATTACAGTGATTGAGAGCAGTTGTAGTTCAAAAAACTTTAATCTTGACCCTGAGCTCAAAAATCAAAATAAAACTTTACCCCACTGCTAAGCCATCAAATTGCTGTGTAGTAGGACAAGTCAAGGTATTGAGCTTTCAGTTCTGACAAAAAAATTCACAAAATGGATGATGGGTAAGTCCGTGGTAGAAAATAAAGTCCACTATTGATACTACTAGTTCTATAGCACTTGATAGGTCAAATATTTTCCACAAAGTACCTGCAAATGAATAATACAGTGAATAACCATAGGCTTTAAACATCTAACAGTTTCGCAAGCTTTGTAAATTTGTCCAGTTAAAGCTTTTTATGCTCCACACATATTTTTACTATCATCAGTTGTCAACACGTCTTAGCAGATTCCACTTCAGTTGTTCTGCAGTTCTTTCCCAACCTTTTTGAAATATTCTCACCTGTACTTGTTCCATAAACTATTCCACTATTCCACAAATTGTTCCACTATTCCACTAGTTCCACTAGACTCTTCATAGAGTCTAATTCTTTAGTCACTTCAGACTGGGCATTTTCTCCTCAAAGAAATGATAACACCTGAATAACATCAGTAATATGTGTGGACCCATTAAGAGCCAGTGAAAACCACTCAAAATAATCTGCTTTGTTTTTTTAATTGACTGTTTATGTGGTTCCCAATGCTATTAGCTTTTCAAGCAATAGTCCTTGCCAAAAGAGTAGTTAAGTTTATTTTCTCTGGACACATTTCTTCAGATGTTGCTGTTAAACAGGATTTAATGAACTCACCATTGGTAAATTGTTTTCCTTGCTTGGCTAACAAATGAGCAACTTGGAAACTTACTCATTTTCATGTTTTTTAATTTTATATTTTAAATTTTCTAAATTTTTGACCATTGTTTTTCTGTGAGTTGGGAATATTGTGATGAGTATTTAGTTTGGTGATGATATATATTGTATTCTTTTAGCACAGCTATAGTGTCATTTCATAATAATCACAATCCTTTGTCATCTAAATTTGATAACAAAATAATCCACATGCCATTGTACCTTAAAAGTGCAACATTCAAAGTCTACCTTTCTCTTCTTTTCTTGATTTGTCATAATGGTATACACTGGTAATAAGCACATAAATTGTAATGATCTAGCAATACACACATCACTCAAAACACTCTCAAATTAAAACAATGTCACTGTGATTTGTTGTGCACCGAGAAGCAGTATGAAGCTGAGACTCAGTTCTTTTTTTGCAGCATGAAAGCAGCTATAGACATCAGGTAAATTAATGAATGTGGCTGTATTCCAATAAAACTTTATTAATAGACACTGAAATTTGAATTTCATATGATTTTATGTGTCAAGAAATGTAATTTTTGGTTTACTTTTTCTCAATTATTTAAAAATATAAAAATCATCCTTAGCTTGCAAGCCATACAGAAACAGGTGGTGGGCTGGATTTGGCTCACAGGCTGAAGTTTGCCAGCCCCTGCTTTAGACCATGGTGAGTATGTTGGGCTTCACATCAGTTCAGAAGGCCTGTTTACTGTGTGTATAAGAACGTTTTCCCAAAAAGCCAGTGCAGGCCCTGAAAGCATTAACCAAGCAGGCAGGCTAACATGATGCATCTCCTTGCAGGATGGTACCCGAGTCGTAGGGAAATGCGGTGGTTACTGTGGAAAATGCACTCCATCCTCTGGTACTGGCCTGGAGGTGCGAGTTTTATAGCTAAGGTAAGTAGTCCTATGTCTGTCTGTCTGTGTATTTGTCTTTTATTTTTTTCTGTAGCCTATATGAGCAAATGTGGGAGGATCAGGCAGGGTTACAGTTAAGCATCTTGAAGCTGACCCAATACAGTTCTACCTTTTTATCTCCTGCTCCTCTGTCCTCACGTGACTGAAGCCATCAGTTCTCTGCCATTAGACATGGCTTCCCCTCTACAGAGCTGGCCTATTTATTTATTTGCTTTTAGATTTTAGATTCAGGAGGTACATGTGCAAGTTTGTTACACTGTTATAGTGTGTTGAGATGTAGGCTTCGTTTGAACCCATCACCCAAATAGTGAAAGTAGTATCCAATAAATAGTTTTCCCTTCCCTTCCTCCTCCCTTTTGGAGTTACCAGTGTCCATTATTTCAGTCTTTATGTCCATGTGTACCCAGTATTCCACTCCCACTTATAAGCAAGAGCATATGGTATTTGATTTTTTGTTTCTGTGTTAATTCACTTAGGAAAATTGCCTCCAGCTGCATCCATATTGCTGCAAAGGACATGATTTCATTATTTTTTATGGCTGCATAGTATTTCATCATGTATACAGACCACATTTTTAAAATCCAGTCCACCATTAATCGGTACCTAGGTTGATTCCACGTTTGCTATTGTGAATAGTGCTGCAATAAACATGTGAGTGCAGGTGTCTTTTTGGTTGAATGATTTATTTTCTTTTTGATATATACCCAGTAATGGATTGCTGGGTCAAATGGTAGTTATATTTTTAGTTCTTTAAGAACTCTCCAAACTGCTTTTCACAAAGGATGAACTAATTTACAGTCCCACCAACAGTGTATTCCATTTTTCTCTGCAGTCTCACCAATATCTGTTATCTTTTTACTTTTTAAGAATCGCCATTCTGATTGGCATGAGATGTTATCTCAGTGTGGTTTTGACTTGCATTTCTGTGATGATAAGTGATGTTCAGCATTTTTTCTTATATTTGTTGGCTGCTTGTGTGTCTTCTTTTGAGAAGTGTCTGTCCATGTCCTTTGCCCACTTTTTAATAGGGTTATTTGTTTTTTTCTTGTTGATTTGCTTAAGTTCCTTATAGATTCTGGATATTATTCCTTTATCAAATGTATAGGTTAAAAATGTTTTCTCCTATTCTGTAGATTGTCCATTTATTCTGTTGATAGTTTCTTTTGATGTGCAGAAGCTCTTTAATTTAGTTAGGTCTCCATTATCAATTTTCATTTTGTTGCATTTGCTTTTGAGGACTTAGTCATAATTTGTTTGCCTAGGCCAATGTTCAGAAGAGTATTTCCTGGGTTTTCTTCTAGAATTTTTATGTTTTGAAGTCTTACATTTAAGTCTTTAATGTATCCTGAGTTATTTTTTGTATATGGTAAGAGGTAAGAGTTCAATTTCATTCTTCTGTATATGGTTAGCCAGTTTTTCCAGCACCATTTATTATAGGGTGTGCTTTCCCCATTGTTTATTTTTGTTGATTGTGTTGAAGTCCAGTTGGTTATAGATGTATAGCTTTATTTCTGGGTTCCTTATTCTGTTCCATTAATTTTTGTGTCTATTTTAGTACCAGTACCATGCTGTTTTGGTTACCTTTAGTTTGCTGCCTTGGAGTAGAGTTTGAAGTCCGGTAATATGATACCTCTGGCTTCGTTCTTTTTGCTTAGGATTGCTTTCGCTTTTAGGCTCTGCTTTGGTTCCATATCAATTTTAGAATAGTTCTTCTTCTAACACTGTAAAGAATAACATTGGTAATTTGATGGGAATTTTGTTGAATCTGTGTATTTCTTTGGGCAGTATGGACATTTTAATGCTATTGATTCTTCCAATAGATGAGCATGGAACGTTTTTCTATTTGTGTCATCTATGATTTCCTTAAGCAATGTTTATAATTCTCCTTGTAGAGCTCTTTTACCTGCTTGATTAGATGTATTCCTAGGTATTTTATTCTTTTTGTGGTGACTGTAAATTGGATTGCATTCTTGATTTGGTTCTCAGCTTGAATGTTATTTGTGTATAGAAATGCTTCTGATTTTTGTACATTTATTTTGCACCCTGAAAATTTACTGAAGTCATTTTTCAGGTCTAGGAATCTTTTGGTGGAATATTTAGGGTTTTCTTTGTATAGAATCATATTGTCAGTGAAGGAAGATAATTTGACTTCCTCTTTTCCTCTTTTGATGTCTTTTCTTTCTTTCTCTTGCCTGATTGCTCTGGCTAAGATTTCCAATACTATGTTGAATAGGAGTGGTGAGAGTACACATTCTTGTCTTGTTCCCATTCTTAGGAGGAATGCTTCCAACTTTTGCCTGTTAAGTATGATATTGGCTGTGGGTTTGTTAGAGATGGCTTTTATTTTGAGGTATGTTCTTTTGATGTCTTATGCCTTGTAGGTTTTTATCATGAAGGGATGTTGGATTTTATCTAATGCTTTTTCTGCATCTATTGATATGGTCATATTGTTTTTGTTTTTAATTGTTTGTGTGGTGAATCACATTTATTGACTTGCATATGTTGAATGATCCTTGCCTGCCAAGAATAAAGTCCACTCGATCATGGTAGATTATCTTTTTGGTATGTTGCTGGATTCAGTTTGCTAGTATTTTGTTGAGGATTTTCATGTCAATGTTCATCAGGGATATTAGTCTGTAGTTTTCTTTTTTTCTTGTGTTTTTGCCAGGTATTGGTATCAGGATGATAGAGGTTTCATAGAATGAGTTAGGAAGGAATATCTCTTCTTCGATTTTGAAAAAATTGTTTCAATAGGATTGGTACCAGCTCTTTGCAGAGCTTATTTAAAAGGCTGTTTATTGGGCTGCATCTCTAGGGGTCCTGCTTCATTAGGTCTCTGGTGGATTCAGGGATCTGTAACTTTAATACAGAGAATTCTAATGCAAGTGAATCACAGCTCATCCTTTGAGAAATACATCCCAAGAATGTAATAGTAAAACTACAGTGGCATTTGTTGAGCAATATTTCATTGAATCCTCACAACAAAACTGTGTGGAGGAGCTGCTATTTTACATATGAGGAAGCTGAGGCCCACAACAATTAAGTAACTTGCTTAAGATCATGATGAGGCTGGGCACGGTGGCTCATGCCTGTAATTCCAGCATTTTGGGAAGCTGTGGCAGGCAGATCACTTGAGGTCAGGAGTTTGAGACCAGTCTGGCCAACATGGTGAAACCCCATCTCTACTATAAATTCAAAATTTAGCTGGGTGTGTTGGCACATGCCTGTAGTCCTAGCTACTTGGGAGCCTGAGGCAGGAGAATCGCTTTAACCTGGGAGACAGAGGTTGCAGTCAGCCAAGACCACGCCCCGCCACTGCACTCCAGCCTGGGTGAGAGAGTAAGCCTCTGTCTCAAAAAAAAAAAAAAAAAAAAAAAAAATGAAAAGGTAATGATAAATTCCCTCGGCAGAACTCAGAGTGTCCTACACTAAAGCCAGTGCTCTTAATCACTCCACTGTGCCACACCCCTGTTACTCATGGTGTGGTCCAAGAATCAGCTCGATCAGCTTTACCTAGGAACTTGTTAGAAATGCACAATGTCAGGCCTCACCCTATACCTGTGAAATCAGAATCTGCATTTTAACAAAGTCCACAGGAGTCATGCATGTTAAAGTTCGGCAATCCCTGACCTGAGTACATTATGCCAGAAGGTGATTCTTCTGCTGAGTAAAAGACGGAACTGGTCAGTCTTTTTATCATCCCCATGTCTTCAGCTGCAAGGAATGAGCTCAACCAATTCATGTGACCCACCTGCATCTTCCCTCAAGCTTCCAGTAGCCCATTACCGTGTAAGGCTCTTGAAGATCCTGATACAAGAGTGCCTATTTGACATTTAGGATTATTTCTGTTACAAGGAGCTAAGGAAATGAAGGAAATTTGTTATCTTAAGAAACTGAGATATCCAAGAAGTATGCTAGCTTCAGGCATGGCTAGATCCAGAAGTTCAGTCATCAGTACTCTCTTTCTTCATCAATCAGCAATGATTGCCTCTTAAATGTCTTCATTCTCAGGCAGATCATTGCCCCCTACACCATGGTCCTGGGCAGCTCTAGGATTACATCATTCTTCCAACTTATGATTCAAGTAAACACTCATCTCCTAGCATGCATTCTGCAAAATATCTCTGTTTAGCTCTGGTTAGGTCGCATGGTCGCTTTTGAACAAATCACAACATCCAAGGATCTGAGATCATGTACCCACCTAGAGTCAGGCGATTGACAGCTTCAGTTGGAAGAGGGATGGTTCCCAAAGGACAAGAAGGCATTTTGTTATCAGAAAGGAGGAGATGGGATGGAGGCATGGAAAAATCAGCAGGTATCCACTAGAGATCACCATTATATACGTACTTTATATATTTTGTATCTAAGAAGATAAATTTTATATAGCACGTATATACAATATTTACATATATAAACATATATTTATAGAAAAAAGACTAGAAGGAAATACCAAAATACCAATATATGAAGAGCAGTTATCTCAGGTGGGGGGATTTCAGGCTAGTGGGTTTTTAAATTTTATTGTTTATTACTTCCCTGAAACCTCCAAGTTTCTTACAGCAAACAAACATTACTTTTAAAATCTAGGGCCAGCGTGGTGGTTCATGCCTATAATGCCAGCACTTTAGGAGGCTGAGGCAGGAGGATTACTTGAGTCCAGGATTTTGAGACCAGCTGGGCAACATAGTGAGACTCCCATTTCTGCAAAAAAAAAAAAAAAAAAAAAAACCATTTTTAATTAGCTGGGCTTGATGGTTTGCACCTGTAGACCCAGCTACTTGGGAGGCTGAGATGGGAGGATTGCTTGCCCAGGAGGTCAAGGCTGAAGCAAGCCATGATCATGCCATTGCACTCCAGCCTCGGTGACAGAGTGAGACTGTGACTCAGAAAAAATAAAAATAAAATCTAGAGAAAATAATAAGTGTTAATTTTAAATTCTATATGTAAAAATTTATCAGTTGCCTATTCTTAACTTGCAGCATTTGAGGCAGAAGGTTTATATTTTCTGGTTTGTTTATTTCAGGTGCTTTGAAGAGGAAGCCATTATGGATGGATGAAGGATAGTAATGCAATACCTCCACCTTAATTTGGGTGCATGTGTATGTGTGTGTGTGTTTGTGTGTGACTTGTATGCTTGTGTGTGTAAATGTGTGTACATATACATATATACATATCTACACATACATATATACACATATATGTGTGTATGTAGATATGTAGACTATCCTAATGATGTAAAGTTTAATATTTATGTTTGAAATTATTTATTGTGATGTAATATTTTTGTACGTAAAATGATTCTATTATGACTGCCTTTGCATGTAGTAATATGACAAAGTGATCCTTCATTATCACGGTACACTATTGTTTACTTTTCATCTGTAAATGTTTTATTGTTACTTTTTTAAAATGAATTTTTTTAAAACAATCTAGCCATCATCAAGGTGCTATAAGAGTTGTATAAAAGATATTTTTGGCATTTCTAGGCAAGTATCAGCCAATAAGTATGTTAGTGATATCACAGATTGTACCAACTATTAACTATGTTAAATAAGTATTCAGTTTCATGTGATCTCTGGGAAAAAAATATGCTGCCTTGGTGCTAATATTGTATGTATTTAAATGATCATCCGACTCAGAAATATAAACACTTTTAATGAAAGGGAGGAACGGAAGGACAATTTCCAGTGCACAGAATCACTTGGATGAAATAAGACCAGCTCTTTACCCTTATTTTTGGATATGCCTTTTTTGGAAGAGACTTAGACTTTATCCTTATTGTTGTTAGTGTTGTTAATATTCGTTGCTTCAGCCCACGGTGCCTTGGTCTCTCCACAATCAAATGGAGGATCCCCCAAGCAGCTTCATTACAGAGTGATATTGGGAAAGTGAGATCCTCTCACCATTTTGCCAAGATACTCTAAAATGACATCCAAGTTTACCAGTAGAAAGACACAGGATGCACAGAATGGGCATGACCTTCAGCTCACGAGCACACCTGGAGAAATTCAGAACCAGGTTCTGAATCATCACGATTGCCTTTTGCATGAAAACATCGGCTGGTGATGTGACTTCTCTTCAGGCCATGAGCCTAACACCCTGCCGGTTTTCATGCCCGCTGCAGTAATGGACGTTTGTGTGAAGAAATGAACTGTGGAGTACAAAATGCTTTGAGTCTTTCCGATTGCTCATTAATTCACTTTTTTGTTACTTCTTTCCAAAATGGAAGTGCTGAAGCCATGGTCTTTCTGCCCCTCCAAGCTGATGAAGGGAAGCCTTTGCCAATGGCCCATGGAAGACACTTGGTTTGAGAAACCCTGCCCACTTCCAAAGACCAAAGAGATTAGGAAAAGCCTGGCAGTATTCTCCAACTCCAAACAAGCTCTAGAGTGCTCCAGGAAAAGTTATATTCAGTATATGAATAAGTGTTATTCTCCATTATTAATGTGTTCTGAAAATATATTATGAATAAATACATCACCACACCCAAACCATTTGTGTTTCGCATAGTTTCTGGACTCTTGAGTCAAGTTGGAGTAAAAATGTCTCTAGTTTCCAGATGGAGAAGAAGTGAAGATTTTATCTATTTCATTTATTACAATTGCCATTCTAGAGACAGATGGGGATGGGGCTTGTCCATAAGATCTGTCTTTTCATCATGCAAGTCAATTAAAGTGGTTCTTCTGGAAACTGGGAACTTACCCCTCTTGGGAAACAAATGAGCAAAAAAACAATATATTTAGGTGGGCTTTGGGTGCTTAATTGTTCATTTTGTGCGTAGTTCCTACCCTGTATGGTGTCCAGGGAAAAAAGAGAGCTTTTTAAACATGTCTACTAGAAGCAAATGATCATCGAACAGCCACCATATGCCAGGCCTTTCACTTTTATTGTTTCACTTCATCCTCACAACCACAAAATACACTAGGTAATAGACTAACCTTCATTTGATGGTAAGGAGACAGAGTCTTAGAGTTACAAACAGGCTAAAGTTCACACACAGTGAGTAAGTAGTCGTCTCCCAAAGAACTCTGGCTCTGATTGGGTCACATGACCGCTTCTGGACCAATCACAATATCAAGGGGCCTGGGATCCTGTGCCAGCCTAGAGTCAGGTGATCAACAGCTTCAAGTGAAAAAGAGATGGTTCAAAGAAGAGAAAAGGGGAGATAGGATGGAGACACGAAAAAAGCAGGCATCCACTCAGTTTCCCATTGTGTGTGTGTGTGTGTGTGTGTGTGTGTGTGAACACATGCATGTGCCTGTGTACAATCTCCAAATCGCAGAGCTTACACCAAAGTCCTACCCCTTGCCATCACTCAGCATCATTTGAGGCCTCAGTTCTCTTCCTTTCTCTGGTGTTTACTAACTGTATGATCTTGAGCCTTAGTTTTTTCATGTGTAAAATGAGGCTATTGATAGTCCTCCCACTTACCTTCCAGGATAGTGTTTTCTCATATCCCTTTTAGCCCTGCATCAGTGCTAGCAAAATAGCTGCCCTCAATATGTGCGTCAGCAAGCTTAAGCTGACAGCAGTGAAGGCATGGGCTCCCTAATCAGTTAGGAATTGTGTTCAGCACCTAATTAGAGATCTGACTGCAAGGGCTTACATATTTAAAAGTGTATTTCAGGTCGGGCACGGTGGCTCACGCTTGTAATTCCAGCACTTTGGGAGGCCGAGGCGGGCGGATCACGAGGTCAGGAGATCGTGACCATCCTGGCTAACACGGTGAAACCCCGTCTCTACTAAAAATACAAAAAAATTAGCCGGGCCTGGTGGCGGGCGCCTGTAGTCCCAGCTACTCGGGAGGCTGAGGCGGGAGAATGGCGTAAACCCGGGAGGCAGAGCTTGCAGTGAGCCGACATTGCACCGCTGCACTCCGGCCTGGGTGACAGAGCGAGACTCCGTCTCAAAAAAAAAAAAAAAAAAAGTGTATTTCATTGTTATGTAAAAGTATATTTCATTGTTATGTAGGAGGTAGGCAATCCAGATGGCAGCTCCACGACTTCATCAGGGACAGAGTTCATTTCTCTTTCTCCTTCTCTCTTCATTCTTCCGTATTTCAGTATGGCTGCTAGTGCTCCAGCAATCACTCCCAAATTTCCAGGTGACCGGAAAAAAAAAAATAATAGGAGTAGGGAAAAGAGTAGAAGGTGGCATATTTTCAGTTCTCTATTGTTCTTTTAAAGAGGTTTTTCAGAAACCTTACCTAACAAATTTTACTTATATCTCCTTAGCCAGAATTCAGTCATGTGGCTGTAGGAGTAGTGGGGAAATGGGGTTGTTTCACACAGTACCTTGCCATAGAAAATAAAATGAGGCATCTGTTCCTAGGAAAGAAAGCAAAATGAATTTGAAAGAGGCAATTACCAGTCTCTGCAATAGATCAAATACAGAGATTGAAGAGAGAAAGTTTTGGAAGCATTTATAGAGTCAGTAAGAGATAAATGAGACCTGGAGTGGTGATCATTGTAATGGTACGGAAAAAAACAACTATAGAGAGATACAGGTGGTAAAATTAATAGGAGCTGACAACTGATAGATTTGGGATGGGCTGTGGGAGTGAAGGAAACAGTAAGAGTTCAAAGATGAGACTTTATTTTCGTTGTAAACACAACCAGGGTGACAAAAAGATGAATGGGTGGGTGGATAGACAGATGTACAATCTATGAGAGTCCAGTAATCGTTTATATTTGTGTAGCACTGCACAAATTAAATATTGTCTTTGCATTGTATTTATTTAATCAAGTAATATTCATTGCATATCGACTAATTTTGAGGCACTCATCTAAGGCCTGGGTGCAGCAGTTTCAGTTAAGGTCAAGGCTAAGAGACAGCATGAGTTTGCTCAGGCTGCCTTAGCAGAATACCACATACTGGGTGGTATCAATAACAGAAATTTATTCTCTCACAATTCTGGAGGCTAGAAGGCCGAGATCAAGGTGCTGTCAGGGTTGGTTTCTGGGGAGGCCTTTCTTTCTGGCTTATAAACAGGCCTCTTTTCCCTGTGTCCTCACATTGCCTCTCCTCTTTGTGTATGCGCAGAGAAAAAGAGACAGAGATTTCTGGTGTCTCTTCCTCCTCTTAACAAGGTCACCATTTCTATCAGATTAGAGCCCTGCCCTTCTGACCTCGCTTAACCTTCATTACCTTCTTATAGGCATCTCCAAATACAGTCACATTAGGGTTAGGGCTTCAATATAGGAATTCAGGGGTAAGGACTGGGGACAAAATTCAGTCCATAACACAGGCTGTAACAAAGAGACTCCAAAATGAGGTAGACTTTTATTTCTCTTACTTGCTGTCCAGAGGTAGCAGGCACTCTGGGACTGGTAGGTGACTCTGCTCCATAACATCAGAGGACTAAGATCCTTCTGTTTTGTATCTTGGCCATTCTCAAAGCCATTGTCCTCATATGGTTCCTCCTCGCAAGGTCTGCATCCAGCCTGCAGGAAGGGAGCAATTGTTTGAAGGCAAGACAGGGAAGGTGAAGCATAATTTTTATTTACAATATATTGGCAATATTTTATTGGCATAGCCACACCTAGCTGCAAGTGAGGCTGGGAAGTGTACTTTCCAGCTGGCAACCACATGCCCAGCTCATACTAAGTGGAGGTGGGCGGGGGGGGGGGTCTGTTACTATAAGGAAGAAGGAGAGAATTGTTACTGAGGAAATTAGTTGCTTCTGCCACAAACAGTGAACAAAAGTTACAAACATCTCTTTGCCTTTTGAGCTTACATTTTGGCAGTGACAGAAGAGAGAGAAAACAAGCAAATCAACAACTAAACCACCCTGCAATTATTTTCCAGTAATAAATCTGACCATATTGTCCATGATGGCTGCTCATCTACCATGATGGCCTGGGATGGCATTCCCTGAGCACCAAGAACTTTCATACCCCAGAGTGTGCAAAGATGCCATGGTTCCCTTTGCCTTGGCACATTGATTTTTCTTTATGCTCTGATTGGTACAGAAGTGAAAAATAGCAAGCGAAACCTAGTGTGTCAGAAGGTGAGAAGCATCGGAGAGAGAGATAAAATAGGGAAAAGGAATTGGGAATGCCAGATGCCATGGGGTGAGCATGTTGCTGTTTTAAATAGGGTGGTCAGACATTTCTTCTTTACAAACTTCATAGCTATGAGCAAAGCTGTGGGTCCCCATCAAAGCCTGCCACTAACCTCGCTGAGCGTGGGAAACCACCTATCACCAACAGACGGTGGGAGAGGTCTTGCTCTATTATGCCTGGACCATTGCACTGATAATCTGCTTATTTTATTTTATTTTAATTTTTTAATATGGAACACTTCACGAATTCGTGTGTCATCCTTGCACAGGGGCCACACTAATCTTCCCTGTACAACTCCAGTTTTAGTATATGTGCTGCCCAAGCAAGTGCTCTTCTCATCTTAGAGGTCATTTTGCAAAGCGGCTTATGATCCTTAGAAGTCCTAAGCCCTAAAAAGATGATACTTCTCCCCTCGAATATGTACCTCAAAATGACAGATAACTCCAAGATGCATCTCAAAATGCAGTGACTCAGTATAATCCCAGGTAGGATTGCTTGTGGCCAGGAGTTTGAGACCAGCCTGGGCAAGATAGAAAGACCCTGTCTCTACAAATAAGTTAAAAAATTAGCCAGGTGTGGTGGCACGTGCCTGTAGTCCTAGCTACTTGGGAGGCTAAACTGGGAGGATTGCCTGAGCTCAGGATTTAGTGGCTATAGTGAGCCATGATTGTGCCACTGCACTCCAGCCTGGATGACATAACGAGGCCCCATCTTTTAAACAAGAACTCCAGACCAGGAAGTTGGTCTTTTTCCATGTATATTACTTTTCCTTTTAAATATCAAATACTGATTTTTCCAAAAAAGTTTTGAAGGCAATTTTTGCTGTAGCTCTAGGGGCATGTTGGTCTGCCAGGTAGGCAATCAACTGGTTTTATAACATTATTCACCCCAGTGATTTCCAGTAGGAACAAAAGGAACAAATATTCAAAGTGCTAATAAGAAGGGCATCCAATTACAATGGGAAAGAAACAGTGACTTTGCGCAGAAATGTACATCGTCATATGTGACTTGCATCCTGCCACTTGGTTTGGACTTAGGATCAAATGCCTTATAGGCCACTGATATGAGATGTCTCAGCGTGGTCAAGGATGGTTAGGTGTAAAAAGAATTGATACTCAGTTTATTACATTTACAGTTCAGAAACCTAGTTGTTCCTTAAACTTTTGATTCAAACTTACAAATTCTATCATTTTATTTATTTACTAGCCTAGTTTTCTTCAATTACTTTAAAAAAACCTTTCGACTAATGTTTGTCTTATTTGTGACTTAATTAAAAGGCTTGAAATATTTTGTATCACATTTGTACATTTAACAGATTATATTTCTGTCTTAGGTCCTTCAGTTATCTCACTCAGCAAACCTTTCTGAATACTTAAATGATTTAGGCCAGGCGTGGTGGCTCACACTTGTAATCCCAGCACTTTGGGAGGCCGAGGCGGGCGGATCACCTGAGTTTAGGAGTTGGAGACCAGCCTGGCCAACATGGTGAAACCCTGTCTCTACTAAAAATACGAAAATTAGCTGGGCGTGGTAGGGGGCACCTGTAATCCCAGCTACTTGGGAGGCTGAGGCAGGAGAATTGCTCGAACCATATATATGTGTGTGTGTGTGTGTGTGTGTATAAATACACACATATATAGAATATGAATATTATGTAAATCAATGGACTTAAAGTTCTTTAAAATATTCCAAAATAGAAAATTAATGTAGTGTAGTTTTGACTTAAAATCACAAATCTAAATCAAGTACTCAATGACACGTTTTAAACTGGCATTATAAGCTGCCACTATAAAAGTTCGAATTTTTAACATCATGACAATATAAACCACTAAGTTTTAACATATTCTTCTTAATATTTCTGGTGTCTTTGAAGATTTTTATGTCTCAGATCTCACTCTTGGCATGAATAAAAGTTGTGTGCTCGTAATACCTATTGTAGAGCCAGAGGTTACCTTGGGCACAGGTCTGGGGTGGAAGACAACCAGGGAAATTCTTTTTACTCCAACTAAGGAAACTATGAGATCATCCCATGTAAATTTGAGGGAAGCCTTCTATATTGGTTTCCTATGTTGCTGCAGCAGATGACTTCAAATCTATGTGGCTTTAAACAGCACATATTTATTATCTTACAGTTTTGGAGGCCAGATATTTAAAATGGGTCAGCAGGGCTGCGTTCCCTCTGGAGGCTCTAGGTGGAGAGTCTGTTTTCTTGCCCTTCCCAGCTTCTAAAGTCTGCCTGCATTCTTTGACTAATGACCCCTTCTTCTATCTGCAAAGCCAGCAGTATAGTATCTTCAAATCTCCCTCTCTCTCTGACCTCTGTTTCCATCATCATGTCACCTTTTTCTGGCTTTTACTCATTTGTCTTTCTCTTGTAAGGACCCTTGTGATTCCACTGGGCCTGCCAGGTACCCCAGGATCATCTTCCCATCTCAACATCCTTAACTTAATCACATCTGCAAAGTCTCTTTTGCCATGTAAAGTAATATAAAGGCATGTATACAGGTTTTGGAGATTAGGACATGGATATCCTCGGGAGGCCGTTATTCTATCTACTCCCCCTTCTGCAAACATTTAAGGACCAGATGCTGGTCTGTCCAAATCCCCAACAAGCCACACTGGACTTTACGTCAGTGACCCTTAACTTCAAGCGAGGGGTGTTCCCATAGCCCACGTTCCTGGATTCATATTCCATGTATTGCCTAATTTTTCTGACTACATTCCAAAGTCTGCAGCCATTTTATTGCTTGATTGATTTTGTATGTGGCTGTTATATACAAATCTCTTTCTGCTTTGATCCAAAGACTTTTGAACTTGACAAGAATTCTGCAGTCTTACACATACTTCCTAGGACATAGAACTCTTATAGTGCTAGGTGTTGGTACACTGAATTCTGGATGTCTCTCATGACTTTGTCAAGGCTCATAAGACCTCTCTTATGACAGACTTTTAGTACGTGAGCCATTATTAGGTACAGAAACTTCCATGGGCATACTTGGTAGCAGTGCTGTCTTCATCTTTCTTAGTGAGCCAGGATATTTCTTCAGTGCTTATTGCTCAGCTTCACAATTCCACAGAATGGATGCACCTCTGAGAGCCTTGTGAGCCCCAACATGACCAGGGCAAAAGCAGGAGACTTAGTGGGATCCCAGGTGGATCCTGGACACACCCCAGCCTTACTCAATCAGTCTCTCTAGAGGTGGGACCTGAGAATCCAAGTTTTTAACAGGCTCTCCAAGAGACCTTTATGCACACTAGAGAGACTCACCTTTACAGTGTCCTTGCCACACAGCAGTGGAGTCTCTAGGCAGTGGCAATGTCCCTCATCCCATTGCTTTAGCCCTACAATTTTTTGCATGCTGGACGTGTGGTCAGGACCTACAGGCTCTAGAACAGGACACAGTGGCTTATTTGGGTCCCCCTACTCCCTAGTTGTATGACTTTGGACAAGATCTCTACACTCCCTGGACTCACCTTCCTCATCAGTGAGATGGAACATATTGGCACCGGCATCTGCATTATATGGTTGCTGTGAAGCTTATTGTGTTAATTAAAACATTCAGAACACTGGCTGGTATATAGTAAGTACTCAATATCTCTTAGCTATTTGAAGTTTATGTAATACATAAATGCTACATATAATCTGTGTTTTAGTTTGGGAAAGGTTATTATGGAGAAGGTGTTGGCCCAACTTTCATCTCAACTCCATGACCAAGTGTTGAGAAAACTGGATTTTCCTGTTTATATCCTTCTCAGGTTCCATTTGCTTGCACAATACTGCAGTTCTTTCTGTTTCCTTTCCCTAAATGCAGATGCACGTTGTTCAACAGAAGATATCAAGACTAAAAGGGGCCTAAAAGGGCATATAGATAGATCAGCAACAACAGAAATAATAACTATATCATAAGAAGAATATTAACTACATTTATTGACCATGCCTTAGTCTTTTCAGGCTACTATAACAAGATAGGGTGGCTTATAAACAATAGGAATTGGCCAGGTGCTGTGGCTCACGCCTGTAACCCCAGCATTTTGAGAGGCCGAGATGGGTGGATCACAAGGTCAGGAGTTCAAGACCAGCCTGACCAACATGGTGAAACCCCTGTCTCTACTAAAAATACAAAAATCATCCAGGCGTGGTGGTGGGCACCTATAATCCCAGCTACTCAGGAGGCTGAGGCAGGAGAATCACTTGAACCCAGGAGGCAGAGGTTGCAGTGGGCCGAGATCGTGCTGCTGCACTCCAGCCTAGGCTCCATCTCCAAAAAAAAAAAAAAAAAAATCACAAAATAGGAATTTATTTCTCACAGCTCTGGAGGCTGGAAAGTCCAAGATCAATGTGTCAGCAAACTCAATGTCAGGTGAGGGCCCGCTTTCTCATAGATAGCTGTCTTCTCATTCTGACCTCACAGGGCAGGAATGAGAGGTCTCTTTCAAGCATCATTCATAAGGTCATTAATCCCATTCATGAGGGCTCTACCCCTATGACTTAATCACCTTCCAAAAACCCCATCTCCTAATCTCATCACCTCAGGGAGTAAGTATTTCAACATACAAATTCTGGGGGGACATGAACATTTAGACCAAAGAAGACCACTTACTATGTGTAATGGTTAATTTTATGTGTCAACTTGAATAGGCCATAGTATCCAGTTTTGGGTCAAACACCAGTCTAGATGTTGCTGTGAAGGCATTTTTTAGATGTGATTAACATTTGAATCAGTACTCTTTGAGGAAAGCATATTACCCTCCATCATGTCAGTGGGCCTCGTCCTGTCAAATGAAGGTCTTAAGAGAAAAAGATAGATGTCCCCAAAGAAAGGAGTTCTGTCTTCAGACTGCTTTTAGACTCTAGCTGAAATGCCATTTCTTCCCTGGGGTGCCAGCCTGCTCATCTGCCATGCAGATTTTGGACTTGTCAGCCCCCACAGTCACATGAGCCAATTCTTTAAAGTATCTCTTTTTATCTCTCTCTCTCCATAGGTATAATAGATAGACAGATAGAGATACAGATAGATTAGATAGATACATAGATTAGATAGATAGATAGATAGATAGATAGATAGATAGATAGATAGATAGATGATAGATAGATCGACCTAGAGATAGATCTATCTCCATTTCTATCTATTCTGTCGGTTCTGTTTCTCTGGAGAACCCTGACCTAGACCAATGCAGTACGTGACAGGCCAGAACTGATCCTCTGCACAACTCTGGAGGGCACCATTCACCCTGAGCTGAAACCTGCCAGGAGCTTTGTAAATGCTTTGCACATGGCCTCTCGTGGAACCCTCATGATAGCTCTTTGAGGGAGCTGCTATTTTTATTCCCATTTTAAAGATGAGGGAATCAAAGGGTAAGAGAGTCAGCTCTCAAACCCGGGGTCTTAACAGCTCAATGTAGGTGTGATTCAAAGCAGCTGTGTCCAGGACATTAAAGAAGTTAAAACGCAGTGCCAAAACTAGAGCCAACACCTCCTCATTCTTGCCACACTGCCTTTTCACACCAGCAAGCTACCTCACAGAAAGAAGAGAAAATTTATAACCTTGCTTCACAAGAGCAAGCGGAGAAAGAAAGAAAATTAGTCCCGACTGGAACGTTTCCGGTGAGTGCTCAACTATGTTTCGTATTAGCTGCCACTGGTTAAGAGCCATAGGCCCCTGAGAACTCGAGATAAAGCAATTTTCCAGTTAGTGACTTCGACTTGCCTCCTATTCTCTTGCTCTTTGTATCTCAACTTTCAATATGACTTCAAGGCACATAGAAATGCCTGCCTGGGTGTCCTTCTGGGTTTTCTGCAGGAGCTCTTTTTTTTTTTTTTTTTTAAATTATTACACTTTAAGTTCTAGGGTACATGTGCACAATGTGCAGGTTTGTTACATATGTATACATGTGCCATGTTGCTGTGCTGCACCCATTAACTCGTCATTTACATTAGGTATTTCTCCTAATGCTATCCCTCCCCCCATCCCCTTGCCCCATGACAGGCCCTGATGGGTGATGTTCCCCTTCCTGTGTCCAGGTGTTCTCATTGTTCATTTCCCACCTATGAGTGAGAACATGTGGTGTTTGGTTTTTTGTCCTTGCAATAGTTTGCTGAGAATGATGCAGGAGCTTTTCAACAAGGAAAGGTCAGGCAAGAAGTGCTGGGCTTATTTGCATCCCCTCAATCTTGAGACTGAAATGAAAACTCTTTGTCCAAGGAAAGACCCTAGCTCTTCTCTCAATGGTTGTCTGAGGCAGAGAGACCTGCAGCTTTTAAGAAGCCCTAAGTTGTCTTTCTGAAGTGAGGTTTGTTTTCTATCTCCCCACCAGGTATTAGTCCATTTAGGAAATACTGTTAAAAGCAATTGCTTGACCAGTTCGGGCTAACCCAGGGGTTTCCAAATCCATGCTTCTTGCGCAATTTACAAAATATTTTCTTTGTAGTTGTCCTTGAAGCCCAAGAGGAACTAATGGCTTTAACTACCAGCCTACATGTTTCAAAGTGATTTCCACAACAGGAAGCCATTGTCGGCTTCCCCAAACCCTTAATTGGTATAGGATGTGAGCAATTCTGAAAGGCCACGCTTCTTGTTCCAGCCCCAATTCATCGCTCAGATAAGAGCCGGTTTTCAGCAACGATTTCCATTTCTGCCTCCTTGTGTTTGCTAAATCATTTATGGCTCCATTTTTCTATGGAATAAAAGACTTCTTTGGTCATGAAAAAGCATTATAATTACCCCTGGCACCCAAGAAATGGAGTTGGCTTTGCAGTCACAAAGACCAAAGTGCTCTGTGTTGGCATAAAACCCACGAGGAACAGCATCAAAAACAGCCTTTGCAAGTGCATGGTGGTAAAGATCACAGCCTCTAAAATCTAGACAACTTACTTCTCTCTAGACGTCAGTTTCCTCGTTTGTCAGTTGGGGTTATAATGGTACTTCCCTTACAGGGTAATTCAGGGATTAAGTGAAATATGCACAAAGTTCATAGAACAGTAACTGGCACATAATATATTACATAAAGCAAGTATTTATCATCCTCCTCCTCTCTTCCTCCCTCCGGCATCACCATCATCATTCTCATTGGCAGCATCTTTGAGTAAGAACATCTTTTTAGAAATTATGCAAAACTCAGAAGTTATAAGGAAGAAAAGTTAAAAATTTAACCATATAAAAATAAAATATATATATATGAAAAAATAAAGAAATCCATAAACAAAGTCCAAAGATAAATTCTAAACTGGGAGAAAAATGTTCTCCACACATTTGCCAGATTAAGGCATTATTTCCATTTACAAAGATAAATAACTTGCTTTTAAAAAAAGTGTTTGCTGAAGAAAAATAAAAGAACAGTCAAAATAAAGAAGAAAGAGAAAGAATGAGAATAAAAGGAAAAAGAAGAAATATGGTGAAAACACAGGCAATTTTTAGAAAACTTAAAGGAAATGACAAGCAAATGAATTACACCCAATTTATTTCATAATCAATGGAATATACATTAAAAGATCAATGAGAATTTTTTTCATCTATCGAATGATGAAAACATTGGTAGTACTCAGTATTTGCAAAAGTGTTCTCCACCTCTAGGGCCACTTATAGTGGCTCATACCTGTAATCACTTTGGGAGGCCAAGACAAACATATCACTTGAGGTCAGGAGTTCAAGACCAGCCTGGCCAATGTGGTGAAACCCTATCTCTACTAAAAATACAAAAATTAGCCAGGTATGGTGGTGCATGCCTGTAATCCCAGCTACTCGGGAGGCTGACACAGAAGAATGACTTGAATCTGGGAGGCGAAGTTTGCGGTGAGCCAAGATAGCGCCACTGCACTCCAGCCTGGGTGATAGAGCGAGACTCCATCTAAAAAAAAAAAAAAAAGTGTTCTCCACCTCTGCAATGGGCAATTTGTTAATTCTCAAAATCATAAATTTTTAAGTGTAACTTAAAAATAATTTCCTTAAAATATAATAGGACTAATAGAAGTGTATTGTAGCATTCTTTTCAATAGCAAAGTCTTAGAAATAACCTAATGCCCCTTAATAGTAGATTAGTTAAATGGGCTACCTATATAATGGTATATTAGTTATCTATTGCTGCATAGCAAATCACCCTGAAACTTAGGAGCTTACAACAACACACATTTACTGTCTCATTGTGTCTATGGATCAGGAATCCAGGTATGGTTTAGAGATCCTGAAAGGTCACAGACTACGTAGACTACAATCAGACGTTGGCCAGCATTGTAGTCATTTCTAGGCTGACTGTAGAGGGATCTGCTTCCAAGCTCACCCCATGGTCGTTGGCAGAATTCGGGGCTGTTGGCCAGGAAGCTGCCCTCAGTCCCTTGGATCTCTACATAGGGCAGTTCATGACATGGCAACTTGCTTCCTCAGAGTGAGCAAGTGGAAAGAGCCTGAAAGAAAATGACAGCAAGATGGAAGTGACACCCTTTTATAACCTAATCTCAGAGGTGACTGTATTAGTCTCTTCTCACACTGCTGATAAAGACATACCTGAGACTGGGTAATTTATAAATGAAAGAGGTTTAATTGACTCACAGTTCCATATGGATGGGGAGGCCTCATAATCATGGCAGAAGGCGAATGAGGAGCAAAGTCAAGTCTTACATGGTGGCAGGCAAGAGGTCTTGTGCAGGGGAACTCCCATTTATAAACCATCAAATCTTGTGAGGCTTATTCACTACCACAAGAACAATATGGAAGAAACCATCCGCCATGATTCAATTATCTCCACCTGCCTTCTTCCTTGACATGTAGGGATTATTACAATTAAAGGTGAGATTTGGGTAGTGACACAGCCAAACCATAACAGTGACATGCCACCCCTTTTGCTAAATTCTATTCATTAGAAGCAAATCATTAAGAAATTCAAACATCATGAGTTTTCACTCCTAACTTCTTCAATATTCATCTTTAAAAAATAAGAACATTCTTCTCCCTAACCACAATGCCATTATGACATCTGACATAATTAAAATAATTCCTAAGGCCTTGTTTCCATCCTAAAATGTTTCCAGTTGTCCCAAAATGTCTCTTACAGATGGTGTATTGGAACCGTGAGCCAATTAAGATCCACATGTTGCATACATTTGATCGTTATTTCTCTTAACTCTCTTCTAAAGCACCTCCTTTGTTTTCATGCTACGAATTTGGTGAAAAGGAGGCCAGTGATCCCATCTTCTGGATTTATTGGTGTACTTTCTCGTGATGTACTTTAACTTGATCCGCTAACTCCTGTGTTTCTTATAAACTAGATGCTAGATCTAAAGCCTTAATTACATTCAGCAAGACTATTTCATAAGTGACACCGTGTCCTCCAAATTCTAGGAGGCACAAAATGGCTGGTTGTGCCACTACTGATGATATTTAAATTGATCAGAATTATCTTTTTAACTGTTCATATCACTCTCCTGCTTAAAACCCTGTAAACTCCATCACAAATAGAATAAAACCCTAGTTGCTTACCATAGTCTTGCCCTTGTCTACTTCTTTCCCCCTTGGTCACTACACATCAACCACACTGTTGCTATCCCTCAAATGGACACTCTCCCCCTAGAACTTTTTGTGGCTGGCTACTTCTCAGCCCTTTCCAAAAGCCCTTCTTCCCAAGCCCCTTGCTGACTCATAGCCCTGTTTTATTTTCTTTGGCATTTATCGCAACTTGAAGCAATTTCAGCTTTTTTTTTTTTTTTTTTTGGCTTGTGTATGTCTTTAAGTGTTTATGAGTCTGTCTTCCCACACTGAAATATAAACTCCTCAAGGGCAAGCTGCTCACTACTGTACCCTAAAAATTTGAAACAAGCCCTGGCACTTAGTAGATTCTCAATAAATATTTGTTGAGCAAATAAATTGAGCATTTTTTCAATGTGGTTTATATTAAGATACAGTTTCTAAGACACCTAAATTGATGAGAATAAAAACAAAGTACTGGCCACTATCTGTATTTTGGGGAGGGGATTGTTTGTTTGTACTTCTGTCTTCACTGCTCTTTTTGGAGGGATATATAATGCTTTCATGCCAGAGAATGTTGCTATTCAAAGTGTGGTCCACAGACCAGCAGCATCAACATCACCTGGGAGCTTGTTAGAAATGCAAAATGTTAGACCCCCAGCACAGACCTATGAATCAGAAGCTGTACTTAACAAGATCGCCAGCTGATTTTAATACATTTTAAAACTTAAGAAGTACTGATCTGAAATCCTGGTCTATTCCACTTCTCCTTCCCACCCTACTCTCCGACTGCACCCAACCTCCCCATTGTTAAGCCTTACTGGCCCATCCCAGGAAGCAGCTTCTGGTGCCTCTGGAACTATTTACCTAAAGGCTTATCTTCTCAGGCTTCTTCCCTCCGGATTTTGTTCTGTTTATAAATACTGAGGCTGAAATGTAAACCATACTGAAGCTCTTCTCTAAATGGCCTGCGTGTCCTGGTAAGCCTTCACATCTGCAGGTATCTATTGACATATCTTAAGCAAACAATTTTAAATGATTCCACTGGTGCCCTGAGTTTAGCTTTTCCCTTTATCTTGCCTGGTAAGCAGATTGAGGTTAATGTTTATTTTTAAAGCATGCAATACTCACAATATTTCTTAAACATGGGTTGAAGTCACATACCACCAGCCTCGGAACTGGGGTTTGAGCTCATTCCGTCTGATTCTAAAGCCTGGGCCGTTAATCTCTATGGAGCCATAAGCACAAAAGTATGCTTTACGAAAGCACCATTCGTTTGTCCATTAGTTCATTCACTCATTCAAAAGGCATGTGAGAGAGTTGGGTGATAAAGAAATGTAGAACTCTTCAGCCCACCAGGAGAGGAAACGAAACAAGCACAAAAGTAACCTTACAATGTTGAGTCATGTTACATGTACCCAGTGTAACATACTCTGGGTACAGTGCAGGACTTCATGGAGGAGGTAGCAGGCATAGGTGCCTTTGAGGAGCAGAAGGCCCAGGAAATCAATGTCCTAAGACTGTCCCCAAACCCTTGGATCTAACTTGATTCAGGATCTTGGGTGTCTTCTAGGCAATCACTGGGCTTTAGTCTCTTTAGGATGCACCCAGCAATCCTGTAGGACTCAGGGCAAAGGGTATTTGCCTTCATGCAACAAAATTTTCCTAAGCACCTGCTACATGCCAGGCACAACCCTAAGAACTGGGAGTCCAGCGATAAATTAGGCAAAATACTCATTCTTGTGGGGCTTATTTTCTAATGAGGCATAAAAGAGATAAATAAGTAACGTTTGAAATCCTCGATGGTTTTGGTGCACAGAAAAGACCATTTCAAAGTGTATCTTGGTTTTAGAAATTAATGATTAATTATTTATTTATTTATTTATTTGAGACAGATTCTCACTCTGTCGCCCAGGCTGGAGTGCAGTGGTGCCATCTCGGCTCACTGCAAGCTCCACCTCCAGGGTTCACGCCATCCTCCTGCCTCAGCCTCCCGAGTAGCTGGGACTACAGGCGCACACCGTCACGCCAGGCTAATTTTTTATATTTTTAGTAGAGACGGGGTTTCACCGTGTTTGCCAGGATGGTCTCAATCTCCTGACCTTGTGATCCGCCCGCCTTGGCCTCCCAAAGTGCTGGGATTACAGGCGTGAGCCACCGCACCTGGCCATGATTAATTTACGAAAGGCACATGTTTTTAAAAAGCAAGGCTTTAAGTTCAGCTTATATGTCTACTTGTAAGTCTCAAAAACTGTGAGCCGTCATTTTTAAAGATCATTTGAATGTTTGAGTCCATTTGTGAACTCAATTAATTCCAACACTATCAAACATTTTAAGGTACATTTATAAATTCTTTGTATTCAGTTTCACTTTTTAGTAAGCTCATTTGTGTTATTGATAAATCTTCCTAGGTACCTAAGTAATTTATATAAATCTATTAAATTAAGAGAATAAATGTAATTTTTAAAGTGTCTTAAATATTCTAACAATATGTATAAACTTAATAAGGTCTCAAATTAAAATTCTAAGCCAAGATCAATTATTACTCAATTACATATTTGAAATGAGTACTAGGCTGATCTGTTCATTCTAATAGACCAAATTCTTGTAAATATAATAAGCACATAAAATATACATTTTAACATGAAATATTTATACACATATTAATATTATGACTTGATTATCTTAAATATTTAAAAAATCATAAATTTCCCCAGGGTCGAAATATGCTTAATCCTAAAGGAAGCAGTGATATTGGCACTTTCAAGTTTGGGGTTTGCTGAGTTTAAGGTATGGCTAGATCTTGGGGTGTCTAATGGGCCAGCTGAATTCCTTCTTAAGGGAAGCCTTAAGAAGAAGTGGTGGCTTCACCTACATTCTTTATATTCATGTAACTCATGACTTCTCACCCATACACTGTTGGTTTTTGCATTTCTTTCACTCTGTAGATAAAGGTGTGTGATAATTAATATTGAGTGTCAACTTGATTGGATTCAAGGATACAAAGTACTGTTCCCGGGTATGTCTGTGAGGGTGTTGCCAAAGGAGATTAACATTGGAGTCAGTGGACTAGGAGAGGCAGACCCTCCCTCAGTCTGAGTGGGCACCATCTAATCAGCTGCCAGTGTGGCTAGGATAAAAGCAGGCAGAGAGACATGGAAAAACTGTACTGTCTAAGTCTCCTGGCCTCCATTTTTCTCCTGTGCTGGATGCTTCCTGCTCTCGAACATCCGACTCTAAGTTCTTCAGCTTTTGTTCTCTTAGACTTTCATGAGTGGTTTGCCAGGGGCTCTCAGGCCTTCAGCCACAGACTGAAGGCTGCACTGTCACCTTCCCTACTTTTGAGGTTTTGGGACTCAGACTGGCTTCCTTGCTCCTTAGCTTGCAGACGGCCTATTGTGGGAGTTCACCTTGTGATCGTGTGAGTCAGTAGTCCTTAATAAACTCCCTTTCATATGTACATCTATCCTATTAGTCCTGTCCCTCTAGAGAACACTGACTAATACAGAACACATGAACTTGACCAGAATTTGGCTTTTTCTCCCCCTTCAGAATCTAAAGGCCACACAACTCTTAGAGATTTCAGATTAAATTGTGTATATCTCTCAGGAAGGTGTGGAATTTTTAAGCCTAATGTCCAAGGTCATTCTATGGACAAGCCATGCAATATGAAAAGAAGAAAACTAAAGCAGAGGGATCAGAGAGTGACAGGAAAGGCACTGTTATATAGGGTACTCAAAGGTGGCCATGGGGTTAGATCCTGAATGATGAAAGTGATGGGCCTATGCTGGTGTCTGGGGTAATAGTGTTCTAGGTGGAGGGAACAGGAGATGCAAAGGCCCTGTGGAAGGAGTATGCTTGGCTTTTCTTTTTTTTTAATACAGAGTCTTGCTGTGTTGCCCAGGCTGGAGTGCAGTTGTGTGATCTTGGCTCACCACAATCTCCACCTCCTGGGCTCAAGTGATCCTCCTGCCTCAGCCTCCCAGGAAGCTGGGATCACAGGTGCCAGCCACCATACCCAGCTAATCTTTGTGTTTTTAGTAGAGACAGAGTTTTGCCGTATTGGCCAGGGTGGTCTCAAACTACTGACCTCAAGTGATTTACTTGCCTTGGCCTCCCAAACTGCTGGAATTATAGGCATGAGCCATCTTGCCAGCCCCACAGTTGGCATTTTAAAGGAGCAGCAAGGAGGCCAGGGGACTTGAGTTATGAGTGAGGGGAGAGTAGTAAAAGATGAAAGCAGAGGAGAATGGGGCAGGATATTGGGATGGGCGCAGTCCACACGTTTACCTAGGAACCAGGATCAGGAGCCTGAATTCCTTTCTGAGTGAGGTAGGAAGCCATTTGACTTGACTTGGGTTTTAAAAAGCTTTCAAGCTTTCTCTGGCTGCCTATTGGTGAATAGAATGTCATCAGGCTGGGAGAAAAGCAGAAAAACTAGTTAGGAAAAAGCTCTTAAAATAGACCAGTCCCAGCCGGGTGCGGCTTACGGTCGCAAGCCACGTAAGCCGCAGCCGGGTGCTCACACCTGTAATCCCAGCACTTTGGGAGGCCAAGGCGGGTGGATAACCTGAGGCCAGGAGTTCGTGACCAGCCTGGCCAACATGGTAAACCTCATCTCTACTAAAAATACAAAAATTAGCCAGGTGTGGTGGCACATGCCTATAATCTCAGCTACTCGGGAGGCTGAGGCATGAAAATCGCTTGAACCAGGGAGGTGGAGGTTGCAGTGAGCCGAGATGACACCAGTGCACTTCAGCCTGAGTGACAGAGCGAGACTCTGTGAAAAAAAAAAAAAAAGGGAGGGGGGAGGTCCAGAAGTCACAGTGATCTGCAGTGCCAGTGGAAATTGTGCCAAGTGACTATATTCTAGATGTCTTCTTAAGGCAGTACCACCATGTTTGGCTGAGGAATGTGAGACCAATAGAGGAATCCAAGAGAACAGTGTAACTGGAAGAACAGAGTGACTTGTTTCTGAGATGGAAGACACTGGCGAAGTAACAAATGGGGTCGGGGGATCAGGGGTTCAGTCGGACCCCTGATCCCCCGACCCCATTTGTTACACATGCCAGGTGGGAGACATCCGGGGGGAGAGTCAAGGAGCAGCTGGACACAAGCACCTGGAACTCAGGCTGGAGGTGGGAGCCAAGCTGTGGGCTGACTCTGATCCACCCTGAGCTCTAGATAGAATTTCCATCTGCTCTTTGGTGCCTCTATCAGGATGTTTACATGGCATCTCTGATGCTCAGCAAGAAGCAGTTACTATCTATTAGCACTCTCTGCCATGGGTGGCTGGTCTGGGTCAGGCTAGTGGAAGTACCTGGTGTATTCTTCCAGGAAAATAAGTAGTGTCATCTGAGTGGCTTAGCAGAATTTCTGGCTCCTTTTACAATGGAATTTCCAAGGTTAATGTACTGTACCCCAAATTTCTAGATCATAGTCGAGCCAGCTTGGATAACATGCTTTGGGTGTACAGTAGAGTTTAAGGATTTGATATCAAAACATGAGTCCAAATCCCTTCACTTGACACTTCCAGTGTTTAAGCATTAAGTTCCAGTGTTAAGCATGAATGCCTCCTACGTGCTGGTGTATTCATTTACTACGGCTGCCGCAAAAAATGACCACAAACCGGGTGGCTTAAAACAACAGAAATGTATTCTCTCACAGTGGTGGAGGCCAGAAGATGGAGCAGAAGTCAGACCAACTGTGCAGGGCCATGCTGCCTCTGGAGGCCTTAAAGGGGAATCTCTCCTTTTGCTCTTCCAGACTCTGGTGGCTCCAGGTGTTCCTGTGGGTACATCACTCCAATCTCTGCCTCCATCTTTGCATGGCCTTCTTTCTCCTCTGTGTCTGTGTCTTTGCCTGTGTCTCTCATGAGGACCCACTGGATTTGGGTCCTACCCAGATAATCCAGGAGATCCTTACATTAATTACATCTACAAAGACCCTTTTTCCAAATAAGGGTCACATTCACAGGTTCTAGGGGTTAGGATGTGGATGTATTTGGGGGTGGAGCAGGGACTATTCAAGCCACTACTGCTGGTTAGTGCCAGATAAAGGAAAGACGTAACCCATTCCCACAGTCCTCTGTTAATTCAATAAACATTTATTGAGTACATACTTTATATAGGACCTCATATTTGGCATTGCAGACACCAAGATGAAGATAATAGGCAAAGGCCTTACAAAGACCTCACAGTTTTATTGGGTGAATGGGATCAAAAAGGCTCAGCTCACCTAAGTATGCTGAGTCTTTCTGATCCCATTCCACTAATAAAATGTATTAAAAATAGTAGGGTATTCTCATATTATTTAATCCCCCCAACTCTGGAAGGTAGCTATTAGTGTTCTCATTTATGGATGCATATGCTGTGGTTCAGAGAAGTGAAGTGACTTGTACAGGGTGATGATTAGTAGGTGGTACAGCCAAGATTTAAACCTGGGTCTGCCCAACTGCAGCATACCCTGTTCTGTGCAATTCAGCATCAACTCCCCAATTATACCCACTGGGATATCACACGTGCACATAATTAAATGCTGACTTCTGTGACACAGAGTTCAAAATGGATATAAATGGATTTTTAAAATTGATTCTCATTTAAATATGCAAGGGAAATATTCTTGGAATCTTCTGGTCAGCCCTTTCTGGGAAGCACTCACTTTTATATTCTGCAAATCTACATGTGCCGGTCTTAGGTTTGCTTAAAATATGGTAGTCTCAGAGGCCTTGATCCTATTAAAGAACAGAAGAAAGATAAAACTTGTCTTTGCCTGGGCTTTGGCAACCCAGGCTCTGTATTTTGTCTGAGAGAGATACTCTCAAATATGTTGTATCAAAAAAACTATTAATTATAACCAATATTGTTTTGTAATTGATTATAATTTGATTGGACACAGACTCACCAACCAGTACCCTGGAAAAGTACCCCTTGTATAAAGACCAAGTAATCAGAAACACGGGTTTCATGTACAGTTCTTACCTGGTAAGGAAGTGAGGTTTCATTTTCTTTTCTTTTTCTAGTGTGGCCTAGCAAACAGGAGACCTGGGTATACTCTTAGCAATGACCTGAGCCCGGTGATACAGGGCACATTGCTTTCAACCTCTGAGACTCAAGCTTCTCATCACTAAGGTGAATGTTTGTACTAGGTGATCTTTGAGGTCCCTTTTGGCTCAGAAGTATATTAACTGTGAGGCTAAATGTTTGGTGCTAATTATATTTGCTGGGATATGGGTTCTTTATGGCTAGGCTTAGTTTACATTTTTTATGAGACAGATGAATGAGGTTAATAAGAATAGTTAATTTAAAAAGATATTGAATTCCCAGAAGGTATTTTATTATGAATTTAATTATGAAAAGTACTAATGGCTTCACTCCAAGACTTGAAATTTGTCCAATTGCTCAGTGTACAAAGTAAGGGACGGTTTTCCTCAAGCCTGCCTCAGCTCTGTACTAATACCAGTGATGCAAGAACATCTCGCTTTAAAAAACATTTTTTTTAGAGATGGAGACTCACCATATTGCCTGGGCTGGACTCGTACTCCTGGGTGCAAGTGATGCTCCTGCCTCAGCCTCCTGACTAGCTGGGATTACAACTGCCAACCACTGCACCCAGCTTCACTTTCTAACTATAGAAAGAAACAGTGCAGGAGAGCTAGTCAGTCTGCATAATGGGTCTCTTCTCTTATCTTCATTGTCTTTACAGGAGACAAGAAATGTACATGTTAAAATGTAGCTCCATTACTATCAACCTACTGTGTGTTCTGACTACAGGGTTGCCACTAGGCTGTGTGGCACCTTCATTGCAAATTAACAAAAATAACCCTTTTTCAAAGAGCACAGCTCTGCACAAAAACAGCTTGGGAAGCAGATGGCTCTGCACCAGGGTGTGGTTTGACAAGTGGAGCTTGGGATGAGTTGCAGTCCCTACTTGTTTCCTTAGCTGAGCTTGTCTGTGCAGTGCATACACTACCCCAGTGGACAAGGCGGTCCTGCCTGGCTCAATCACTTACGTTCTTTCTGCTTTTCCAGGGAAGTGGCTGGTCTTTACTTTGAAAAAAGTCCTTGATCACTGCTTTGAAAATAGCCTTGTCTGAGGTTTCAAGCAGAGGGTCTGGAACACTTAAGGGCCTTGAAATTAGGAGGGGGAATGGTATCTTTGAGAAACGGAGAGAAAAAATATTGTGGCTGAAATTAGCAAACAAGATGAAGTCAGGAGACAGGCTGTAGAGATGGACCAGGGTCATGTTTGTTTAATCTCTAGCCCATTGGTGAAGGGCATTTTCCTAAACAATGGGACTTGGTAGACTGGTTTTAAGCATGGAAGGATTTAAATAGATCAAACCGGCTTCTCTGTTGAGTGAGAATTGCAGGAAGCCTTATTCAGAGGTAAGAGATGCCGGTGGTTTGGGCAAGGGTGATGTTGGAGAAAGGTGGGTGGATTTTAGAGTAAAATTATCTCGTGAATTAAAATTATCTAGAAATGATGATGGATTTGGTTAAGGAATGAGGGGAAGGTAAGGAGTAATTTCAAAGGTAATAATAATAGCTAATATGGTGCCAGGCATCATTCTAAGTCTTTACATATATTAGCTTTACATATATTAGCTCATTTAATCCATGAAGGACAATGTATGATTTTCCTCACTTTATAAAGGAGTAACTTGAGGCACAAAAAGTTTAAATACCTTGTCCAAGGTTCCATAGCACACAGTCTGAGTTGAGATGTGAACACAGAGCCTGAGGTTCAAGTCCTTTTTCTAAACCAGTGATTCTCAAAGGAGACATTGTTGGTTGTCACAGCTGGGGCTGGAGTGCTACTGATATCTAGGGATAGAGGACAGAGATGCTGCTAAATATCCTACAATGCACAAGATAGTCCCCACGACAAGAAATTACCCAGCCCAAAATGTCAGTAGTGCCCAGGTTGAGAAACCCTGTTGCAAATTGCTACATTATATTAATACTACCTACTGAGGGTAGCCGGTAGGCTTCTTAGACAACTGGTTTACCAATACTGGGCGAAGACCAGTTTGAGGGAGACTGAGTTGCTTTCTGGACACATCCAGTTGAGGTCCTTTAAGGCACCTAGGAAGATAGGGCAAGTAAACTGCTGGATGCTCGCTTGGCTTTGTAATTCAGAGAGGTCTGGCACTGCTTGGAGTAGGTTTCTATTCCTGGCAACTGCATACACCAAAATATCTCCTGTATTTTTATAGTGTATTTGTTTGTTTGTTTATACCCCCACCCTCTTCCAGAAAGGATGCAAAGCTGCTTAGGAGGATAAGGAACACGCAAGAGTCTGATGTAAGTTAAAAGTAGGACAAAGGAACACATTCACATAAGGGTGGAGACATAGGATGGAGCCAGCAATGAGGCTAAAAGGAACCCTAATCCCATTCCTGGCAGCTGCAGGGCTCTTCTTACAATCTTACTGGACTCCTTTATCCCAGTCTCTGCTGAGATCTCTGCCTCCTCTCCAGGAGATGAACCCCAATCCTCACCTCTTGGCTGCCCTGCAGCTGAGATGAAAACTGAATGTGCTTACTGTCTTTTAGGTTCCTGGCACCTAGTGGGAGAACAATACATAGTTGTAGAGAGAAACTCCAGGGATGGGGTTGTGAACAAGACCCAAAGCCTCCCCCATAGAGCTTCCTTTTGAATGGGGGAGACAAACCAAAAAGGGGAGCAACCGTTGATATGAGCATTCGTGCTTTGTTTTGCTTATCAGATAATTTAATAGCTAGTTCCAAGGCGTCTTTCATGCTATAAAGAAACAAAAAAGGACCCAAGAAAAAATGATGAGGAGAAGTATGGTGGTTGGGGAAGCCTCTGTGAGAAGGTGATATGCAAGCTGAGACCTAGAAGAGGAGAAGGGACAGAGTTTCATAGAGTCGGGTGAAGGCATTCCAACCAGGAAACAGCGTGGACAGATAGCCCTGGATGGGAAACAACTATGGTCTTTGAGAAACCGGGAAGAGGCCAGCAGGCCTGAAGCAGGATGAGTGAAGAGAGAGGGTGGGAAAACAGCCAGGACCTTGCAGGCATAGGAAAGAGTTTGGGTTTTATTTCAAGTGCAGTAAGGAGCTATGGAAGGACTACGTGGCAGAGATCAACAATTGTCCACAAGTATCCATTCTCCCCTTTGTCCTGATTCATAAAATCCACAAGGTTGAACTGGGCATGTGGCTGCCTGGAATAAGAACAACTTTTCCCAGCCTCTTTTGCAGATGTGGTCATGTGACTTAAGCTCTGGCTGCTAGAATCCAAGCTGGGGTGGTGTATGCAACTTCTGAGTAGTATCTTTGAAAGGGGGATGTGTGTCCCCACTCCTCCTTGCTGCTATGTGGGGTATAGATTAAATGGCTGGAACCCCAGCACCATCTCAGACTCTGAAGTGACCTTGGAAATAAAAGCCAGGATTGGAGATGCCACAATGTAGACAGAGCCTGGATTCCTGACTCCGTTGAACTGCCATAGTCTCAGGTAGCCAGCTGCCAGATGCTTCTGGGAGGGAGGGAAAAGCATCTATCTTGCTGAAGCCACTGTTAGTGTGCATTTTCTGTCACAGCTAAACCTAATTCTAACTGATAAAGGCTTTCAGGAGGAACCACATGATTCCGTTTATCACATCAGAAGCTCCCTTAGGCCCTTGTGAGGAGCAGAAGATTGAAAGGGAGTGAGTACAGAGCAGGGAGATAGGGGCAGAGGCTGCTGCAATCATCCAGGCAAATGAATGAACAAATGAATGAATGAATTGTAACCGGACCCAGGTTCAGTTGCTCTCTGCTTGAAAGCCAAAACTCAAGAAATGAGACTTGGTGGGAGGAAAAACAGGTTTTTCGGGAAGCCAGCAAACGGAGAAAATGGTAGACTACCATCCTAAAATGCCATCTTAAGTCAGCACAAATTTCAGGCTTTTTTTTATGTTAAGGGCAGGGGAAGAAGAGGGAGTTGGGATCAAGATGTGACTGATGACTGCAGACCTCTGGGTGCCAGTGAGGGCCTGAGGAGTTTGGGAACTTCTTTGTCCTTGGTCAGGTCACAATGCTCCTGTAAATCTTTAACAAAACACAGTTGTTTACATACTTTCCCTTTAACCCCAGAGTTATTTTTTAAAACTACATAATTGCTGTTTTTGTGTATTATCTATATGGATCTTTAACAAAACATGATTGTTTACATACTTTCCCTATAACCCCAGAGTTGGCTTTTAAAACTACATGATTGCTGTTTTTGTGTATTATCTCAGTGCTCTAAAATTATCCTAGCCTACACGCGGGCATGGGTTAAAGCCCCTTACACAAATACGGTGAGTGTTACATTCTTTTGCTGTTTCGCTGTTGCTGAATGAATGACTGAATGAAAGCATCTCCCAAGGCTGCCTGCTTGCTTACCTTCTCACATGATGCTTCTTTGCCTCTCTGTTCCTTAAGGAGCTTTCCCTCCCTTCTTTCTTGCCCCACAGTCCCCAAACTCACCAGTGTGGGCAGAAGGAGAAAAGGAATGTTCTATCCAGCCCCATACCCCAGCACCTGCTGGGCAACTTTGTCTTCCCTTCTGCAAAAGAAAAGAAGTCCCCTCAAACACAGGAGAGGATGGGAAAAGGCATCTCTCTAAGCAGTAACCCTGGCAGGGCCCTTCAGGATTCCCAAATTCCCAATTTATAGACAGGGAAACTGATCCCTAGAGAAGGGAAGGGACTTGCCCATGTCCACACAGCATGTTAGTGGGACACATCATGAAACATAAAAGCAGGAAGAGGGTCTAGAAACCATCTAGCCCTACCCCCTCATTTAGAGAAAGGAAAACCGAGGCCCAGAGAGGGAGAGTTAGTGACAGAGCCACAACAAGAACTCAGAAGAGGGTCAGCTGGTGTGCAACCAGCTCAGTGACACAAAAGCCTGTGCTAGGGATTTAATGTTCTACTGTCGTGTCTTGAAATTCTTCATATCTTATCTGTAAATGTGTAGTTTGTAAATGAAGTCTGTGAGATAACACAGCAGGCACCCAGGCCAACAGCCTCAGTTCAAGTGCAGTCCGGCCCCTCCCTCACCAGGTGGGTTCTCAGTGCCAGCTTCCCCAACCCCCTGCTATCTCCTCCTCACATCCCTTCTTCTCTCTCTTCCCCCCAACAGCTGCCAGTCTGCTATCTGCAGGGCACTGGCACGGGAGGCTGAGCATGCACATCCCACAGCATTTGGGTAGGACACGACTGCAGCCATGCCTGCCCTAGAGGTTGATGACATCGTGGTGCCTTCAAGGGGGGAAACTGGCAGGGCAAGCCTTTCCCCTATGCTAGAGCCTCTGACATGGAGGTTGCAAGATGTGGGGGTACCTGTCCACCATGGATTGGGGTGAAGGGCCTGTGGGAAAGGAGGATGCCTGGCTTCCCTTCTCCGGGTCCTCTTGCCTCAGTGTAGGGGACCTGGCAGCAGATGGGCACTGGTGGGCCACACTGCAGGGGAAGGCTCCTGGGTGCCTTGAGGGCCTCCGTGCTCCTCTCCAGTAGCTCCATGCCCAAGGTAGCATAGCATTAAATAGCAAATACACAGCACAAGAGGGGCCACAGAAGTGGGGTGGGGCTTTATGTTTGGGTACCTCTCTCCTGCCTGTGGAACAAAAGGCTTGTGTTTGCAATGTGCCCTGGGCTGTCACATTAGGTAGCTGTCCTGACTCAGGACTTCTGTTGCTCTGGCCACCAGCCCCCAGCACTCAGCACCGCTGGACAACACCGGTGTATTCACGTTCAGTCTAGTGCGTTCCCGGCCCTGTGCTGGGCCTCTTTTCCCTGTTTTCTTGTTTGCAGCCTTGTCGTAACTGAGTGAGGTGTGCACTATTATTAGACTCATTTTACAGGTGAGGAAAGACAGCTGCCCATAGGCTGAGTTAACTTGTCCACGTCCTCCACCAGGGAAGCAAGAGAGCCAAGCTCCCCACCCAGGTGGCCTGGTGCTCCTGTCCTGGCCCGACATGCGGGCAGTCGGGCCGTCGGGAAAGGAAAGCGCAGTGTAGAGGAGCTGCTTCTCACCGCCTCTCCTCCCCTCCCCACCTTCCCCGGGAACTCATGCCCCTCCCCTGCACTCCTGCTCCTTGCCGGCTCGCCCTGGGCCGCTCCGAAGGGAGGAGACCACGTGACCCAGGTCACCGGTAACCAGGCAACCGTTCCAAGACACTGCTTTTCATCCACTCTGGCTTCTACCTTATTCAATATCTGCCAGGCGGGCAAGGCTCCTGGGAGCATCCCTGAAGTAATTCTAAGAAATAAGGCTTGCTGGGGAGGCCTGCGGGGACATCTAATATTCTTTCTCTCTGAACTCTGTGCCCCAAAGTCGTGAACTTGCCTGTTGGGGATTCTGAGTGAATGCTGGAAATCCAGATTCGTTGGGGCCAGAGTTTGCCCTGCGCATGAGGGAGAGGGTGTGGGGTATGGGCAGAGGTGGCAAGGGAGGCTTTGTGAAACGTTACACTCTGCTTCCTCAACTGCAGGCCATTTCTCTGGGCCAGGAGCCAGCTGTTCCCAAAATGGCCACGATGCCTCAGGAGGGAGGTTGACACCCTGTGCTCTCAGAAGCAGCTCAGAGCTCAGAGGCAGACCTCTACTCATGCAATTCTGCCTTCTGTGCATGCAATGGATTGCTGCCATCTCCAATCAGGTGGGGACATTAATGGGGTGACCAAGGTTTATTAAGCCCCTATTATTTTCCCTGTGCTAGACACTAGGGAGAGAAAAAGTAGCAAATCCGACCTAATTCCCATTTCATAGATGGGAAAATGGAGGCTCAGATAGGCAGAAAGAGTTTCCCTGAATCTGGCTTATGAAAATATCAGCCCTTTCCATTTGCCATGCTGCTTTTACAGAGGAAGAAAGGAACTTCAAGTACATCTAGGCCAGCTTCCTTACTTTGCAGAAGAGGAAACTGAAGAATAGGGAGACAAAGTGTCTCCTCCTCTAGAGTCACACAACTTGCTTGGCTTCAAAGTCACTTTTTAAATTACACAGGGGACTCTTAACCCCAGTTACGACCTGTTCTTGGATTCAGTTAACTGTTTTTTGTTTTGTTTGAGACAGGGTCTTGCTCTGTTGCCCAGACTGGACTGCAGTGGCACAATCATAGCTTATTGCAGCCTTGCACTCCTGGGCTCAAGGGATCCTCCCTCCTCAGCCACACAAGTAGCTAGGACTACATGCATGTGCCACCAAGCCTGGCTAATTAAAAAAAAAAAAATTTTGTAAAGATAGGGTTTCACTATGTTGCCCAGGCTGGTCTTGAACTCCTGGCCTCAATCAGTCCTCCCACCTCGGCTTCTCAAAGTGTTGAGATTACAGGCGTGAGCCACTTCGCCCAGCCCAATAACTGTTTAGAACTCTAAACTTCCTTCTATTTTCCAAAGCCAATTGAATTATCCCTGTCTTTATGTGCAGACAGCACTGTAATTTCATAATACAGGCAGTGTCGTGTAGTTAAAAATCATTCTTTTCTCTTCTTTGGAGCAATTGAGATTTTGGACAACTATTTCATCTTTTTAGGTTTGTTTCCTCTTCTGTAAAATGGGGGTGATAATAGTATTTACCTCATAGAATTATTGGGAAGATTCAATGAGATAATTTATATCAAGTGTTGAATACAGCCCTGGATATTATTATAATTGTGTCAAATTTTTATTACTAGTGTCTTCAAAATCTCAACCAGATAAAGAATAGAGCTGACCTCACCTCATATTCATTCATCCCTTTATTTGATATCCCAAAGGACTCTCCCTAGGACTATGCAAACCTTTGGATGCTCGATAAATGTTTGCTTAATTGGAGAAATTCTAAAATATCTAGAATTGACTTCAAGGTAGACTTTGTTAACAACACCAAAATGGTGGATAGAGACATCTTCCTTTCTTAGCCAGGCCTGGACTTGAGCAAATTTTACGTTTAACCTCTTCTTCTTTCCCCTGCCCTTCTCTAAACCTTCAGCCTCCTCTGCAGGAACATTGGAGACCCGTCATTACCTCTGTATGATCTGAATTTAAGATCAAGGTGGCCCTTCTCCTGGTTGCATTTGAAGTCTTCTCTATAATTGTGATAATTATTTTATCAGTGAGAGGAGATGTCTGGGGGCAGTGGGGCAGGGGTGGGCGGGTGGGGGGACGCAGAAGCTCATCAGACTCTCAGGAAATGAGACTGGTTGGCTGTGAGACAGCTTTGGCCACTAGGTTCTATTTCGAAGCTTTTTTTTTTTTTTTTTTTTTTTTTTTTTTTTTTTTTTTGCCGTTAAGTATGACCATGTCGCTGAGTTCTGGCCAGTACATGTGGGTGGAAATGACATGCACCACTTCCAGGCCTGACCCATCTCATGCTCCTCCTTCCCCTTCCCTAGCCACAATGGGAGGCCACCTGCTAGACATGGAAGAGCCACCGGATGGAAGAAGCCTGGGTCTCTGAAATACTGCTTGGAGTAGACTACTCTGCCTGCAAACTAGGAGCACTGATTTTGGACTTTTTGGGAGGTGAAAGAGAAATTTTTATTACGTGAAGCCATTGAGTTTGGGGAGGAGACTGGTTATCTGCTACAGCATCTAGAATGTTACCTTAACCAGCACAGTAAGGAGGCGGGGCACTGCAAAAGAACGTTGAATGAGATACTCTCTGTGCTGTGTGCGAAAGCTTGGGCAGGCTGTGCAGGAAGTTGGGCTGGGTTCAGATCCTGCCTTGCCATTTCCTGCCTGTGCTATTCTTCCAAAGGCTCTGAGCCAGCAATTTTAAAAGTCTTAAAAGTTGAGACACCCATCATTGCCTGATCACTCTCTTCTGAAGAGGTTCTGGGAGAATCAGACCTAGAAAGTAGGTCAAGGGTTCTTTGATTTCAGCTCTGTTTTAATATTTTTACCTTGGCTACGAGTTTAGAGCAAAATAAAAAAATGCCCTGCGGGAACAGCTTTTCCAGTTCTCCTTTTGCTGCCTCTTTTTTCCTTCCTTCCATATCTTAGGATGAATGTGGATACAGGCAGCCTGAATTCATGGCCAGCTCTGCCATTTTGATGTGTGTGACCTCAGCCAAGTGTCCCGGCCTTTCTAGGTCTCCATTTCCACATGTGTAAATTGAAGAGAATATGACCTTACCTTGCCCGGTTATGTGAATTAAAGATGTAATATTAAAAGATGAGCACACAGGAAGCCCTCGGGGGATATAACAGAAGCAGGACAGGGCTCCCACTTCTATTAGTACTATTACTTCTAACCTTTACTCCCTGATTCGTGCTTCTCTTCAACCCTTCATTCAGTAACCATTTATTGGGTACCTACTATGTCCCAGGGAGTGAACAAGAAGGCAAAGTTTCTGCCCTCTTAAAGTTTGTCTTCTGGCAGAGAGGTAAATGTATTTTAAGTGAACAGAAATAACATAATTGCAAATTGTAATAGATAAAGGAAATAAACAGTTTGCTGAGATAGAGAACAAGGGCTGAGGGGAAGGTGAGACATATGTTGAATGTGACATTCAGGGAAGGTCTCCCTGAGGCGGTTACATTTCTATGAGCCCTGAAGACTGAGAGACAATCAGACAGCAGAAGAGCTAAAGGGGGCACCATCTGAGCAGAGAAAGGCTCTTTCAAAGGTCTTCAGGTGACCACCTGCGGTGGTCAAGAGGCAGATAGGAGGCCAGTGAGTGGTTAGCAGAGGGTGTGAGAGGCCAGGAGCTAGGAACCCAACAGGACTTCTAGATTGATAGGTCTCACCCTGCCTGACAGGCCATGGTACAGAAGGTGAATTTTTAAAATATACATATATAAGTGTAATAAGTCATTTAAACAGGAGTTTCATGGTCCACCTTATATTTTTACAACAGTAGTTCTCAAAGTGTGAACCTCAGCCCAGGAGGGTCACCTGGGAATTTGTGAGGCATGGAAATTCGCAGGTCCACTTCTGGCCTGATGAATCACAGGCTCTGGGAGTGGAACTCAGCGGTCTGTATTTTAACAAGCCCTCCAGGAGATGCTGCTACTGCTGGTCTGAACTGGAAGCTCAGTGATTCTCAATCCTGGATGCACAAAAGAATCATCTAACTTTGGGAGGCCAAAGCAGGTAGATCGCTTGAGGTCAGGAGTTTGAGACCAGCCTGAGCAACATGGTGAAACCCCATCTCTACTAAAAATACAAAAAATTAGCTGGGTGTGGTGGCACACACATAGTCCCAGCTACTTGGGAGGCTGAGGCCAGAGAATCGCTAGAACCTGGGAGGTTGAGGTTGCAGTGAGCCGAGATGGCACCACTACACTCCAGCCTGGGTGACAGAGCAAGACTCTGTCTCGAAAAATAAAAATAAAAAGAATCATCCAGGAGCTTTCATGAGCTACGAATGTTGAGAGACCTTCTACCCACTACCCCTAGATTCTGATTTAATTAGTCAGGGTTTGGCCCCTGGGTGTTGGTAGGTCTTGAATGTTCCCCAAGGCATTCCATAGCTACAGCAGGTAGGACCACAGCTCTAGCTGCTGCGTGAAGAATAGACAACAGGGGGAAGGGAGGAGATGCAAGAAGATCAGGAGGCTAATGCAGTGGTCCAGGTGAGGGATGATGGTGGCAGAGAATATGAAGGGGCTTAGACAGATTTTAAATATATTTCACAGAGAAAAACCCAACAGGACTTTTAGATTGATAGGATATGGGGTGGAGAGGTGGGACTTATATTCAGCATCAGATCGAAGGGAATGCCAGCCATAATAGTAAAGACCCTGTGCTTTTAGATAGCCTGCAGCTAGAAGACCCTGGCAACATAGCCTAACGTTGAGCACAGGGCCCCAAAGAAGTCCATCTTCTCTATCTGCCTGGCAACAAAGAAGATTTCAGCAAACTTAGCAAGATCTAAGCTTATCCTAAGTTCTCAGAGGAGCCACAATGTGAAAGGGACTTTACGAAAAAAAAATCTGAATACTCAGCTAGGATGTTCCTGTTTTACAGCCCAGTCTCCTGGGAACACTCTGGGCACTGGCCCTTCTGGGGAGAACAGGGGACTGGATGGTATATCCAGGAGTGACCAGCAGGTGGCATGCCAGACTCAGAAATGTGTATTGCAGGGAGCAAGGCAACTCTTGCTGTTTGCTGCTTAAACAGAAGAAAAGGATTCACTCCGGAAGTAATACTCATGTGTGCCATGTACTAAATGGCTACTGTGTGCCAGATACTGTGCCAAGTGCTTATGTGTATATTCTCATTTAATCCTCATAGCTCTACAAGGTGAGCTCCACCACTGTACATATATTCAGAGATCTAAGTGGCTTGGGCAATGTCACTGACATGGTCATTGGCAGAACCAGCCTTGGTCCTCTAGCCTGTCTGACCCCATGGCCACTTTTCCTGTCAAAAGGGCCAGGATCCCCAGCGGCTCTTTCTTGTCCACAGTGGTGCTCTCACTCACACTTGGGGGTAATGCCCTTGGAAGGTGGGGCCATCAGAATTATCAAAGCCTTTAAAGTCAAACGCCCTGGGCTTTGCCGCTCACTTGCTGTGCGATGGTAAGAAAGCTACTTGGCCTCTCTATCCTCAGGTTTCCTCATCTCTAAAATGGGGTGAGGCTGGGCCCAATGGCTCACTCTTGTAATCCCAGCACTTTGGGAGGCTGAGGCAGAAGGACTGCTCGAAGCCCGGAGTTCGATACTAGCCTGGGCAACAAAGTGAGACCACGGCGCTACAAAAAAAAAAAAAAAAAAATTAAAATGCGTTGAGACGTGAGGCAGTGAGCTGTGGTGAGATGATCTTATGTAACTGACCCAGAATCTTGCTTGCTTGGCCCAGAGGAGTGCTCAATGAATGGCAGCTTTTCTGCTTAAAATGATTTCACAGGAGGTAGAGACAACTCTGAAAGGTCTAAAACTGTGCTATCCAATGGTGCTCTCTGCAGTGATAGAAATGCTCTATAACTGTGCTGTCCAGCAGCATAGTCATAACCACATGTGGCTATTGAGTGCTTAATACATAGCTAGTGCAACTGAGAGATTGAATTTTAAATTTTACTTAATTACAATAAATGTAAATTTCAATAACCATATGTGGCCAGTGGCTACCGTATTGGACAGTGCAAGTCTAAAATGTGTCTGCGCTCACAGTCTGTGTGTCCTTTACAGCCCCTTGGGTATGAAACAAAATAAGTTATGTTCAACATTTGGATCCTGGCATATAGCAGGCACCCAGTAAATTTGAGTTAGTCAGAAATGGGAGAGAAAGGAAAATCAGTAAGTGAAGCCAAAGCAATGTTTTACATTTAACAAATTGTGTAAAATTGTAGAACTGGACTCTCAGACTTCTCCAGCAAAATCTTCCAGAGTTCAGTAACCATGGGGGACTGACTGGGGCAGGTTGTTAGTTTTTTACCCTTTCAAGCCAGAATTCTCTAAATATTTCTTCAGCCTGTATTCGATGGGGACAGAGAACAAATGTGTTCAAGTGAATAACGTGTGTGTTCAATACAAATTCCTTTCATCTATTCACTGACTAAAGAACACTTCCTCCTTTTCTGTGCCCCCTCTTCAAATTTTTTTTTGCAATTTCACAAATCAGACAACTGCTTAGAAAGTTTATTCTCTCTCTCTCTCTCTCTCTTTTGTTTTGTGTGTTTGTTTTTTGAGACAGGGTCTCACTCTGTTGCCGAGGCTGGAGTGCAATGGTGAGATCTCAGCTCACTGCAGCCTCAACTTTCTGGAGCTCAGATGATCCTCCACCTCATCCTCCCAAGTAGCTGGGACTATAGGCATGTACCACCACACCCAGACTATTTTTGTGTTTTTTCTGTAGAGACAAGGTTTCACATGTTGCCCAGGTGGGTCTCAAGCTTCTGGGACCAAGTTACTTGCTTGTCTTGGCCTCCCAAAGTGCTGGGATTACAGACATGAGCCAGCATGCTGCGCCAAAAGATTTTAAAGGTTCAAAGTATAAATAACAAAACAACTGGCCCCCCAGGAAGCAGCACTATATCATGCATTTCTCACTTCCAAAATTTTATCTATCCAGATTTTGTTTTTAAGTGATGGTCAGTTGGCAATTCTTGCATGTTCCATAGTTGAATCTTGCAGTTTATAAAAGCTAGTGGCAAACATTTTCTCCAGAGGTAGGTCTGCATTGGCTGACACTGCCATTTGCTTCTATCTGAAGATAATTTCTAGTCAATATTGGGACCAATTTGCATTCCACCTGTGGTTTAAGAAAAATCTGAGTTAATAGACATCTTATTTCCAAAGTATCCCAGTGATGTGTAGTGGTCCTTGTGGACTGGCCCCCTGGGCTGCTGGTCCATTTCCTAACCTGGCTCTGACCCAGTTAAGACCAAGCCCCTCTCCTCCAGAGCATCCTGTTCTGGCCACAGGGCGGACATTCTTACCTATACCAGGCAGAACCTTTCTTACCTGTACAGGGCAGAGCCATTCGTTGCTCCTCACCATTCTGAAGACTTGTACTCTATCTGGGTGCCCTAGCTACCAACATGAAGTAGCGGTGATCACAGCTCCTTGAACAAGACCTATGGCTCTGACAACAAACAGCCCCATGAAAGGAGCTGCTTTTGCTTTTTGTATTTTTAACTTTTCCCTTCACTATACCTCAAAGCCCTCTAGGAACATAGAGAATCCTCTGCCAGAATGACATGTTCTTCTGTCTTTTATGGCTCTTAGATTCTTTTTTTTAAATTTTATTATTATAATACTTTAAGTTTTAGGGTACATGTGCATAACGTGCAGGTTTGTTACGTATGTATACATGTGCCATGTTGGTGTGCTGCACCCATTAGCTCGTCATTTAGCGTTAGGTATATCTCCTAATGCTATCCCTCCCACCTGCCCCCACCCCACTAACAGTCCCTGGTGTGTGATGTTCCCCTTCCTGTGTCCATGTGTTCTCATTGTTCAATTCCCACCTATAAGCGAGAACATGCGGTGTTTGGTTTCTTGTCCTTGCAATAGTTTGCTGAGAATGATGGTTTCCAGTTTCATCCATGTCCCTAAAAAGGACATGAATTCATCATTTTTTATGGCTGCATAGTATTCCATGGTGTATATGTGCCACATTTTCTTAATCCAGTCTGTCGTTGTTGGACATTTAGGTTGGTTCCAAGTCTTTGCTATTGTGAATAGTGCCACTATAAACATAAGTGTGCATGTGTCTTTATAGCAGCATGATTGATAATCCTTTGGGTATATACCCAGTAATGGGATGGCTGGGTCAAATGGTATTTCTAGTTCTAGATCCCTGAGGAATCGCCACACTGTCTTCCACAATGGTTGAACTAGTTTACAGTCCCACCAACAGTGTAAAAGTGTTCCTATTTCTCCACATCCTCTCCAGCACCTGTTGTTTCCTGACTTCTTAATGATCGCCATTCTAACTGGTGTGAGATAGTATCTCATTGTGGTTTAGATTTGCATTTCTCTGATGGCCAGTGATGATGAGCATTTTTTCGTGTGTTTTTTGGCTGCATAAATGTCTTCTTTTGAGAAGTGTCTGTTCATATCCTTTGCCCGTTTTTTGATGGGGTTGTTTGTTTTTTTCTTGTAAATGTGTTTGAGTTCATTGTAGATTCTGGATATTAGCCCTTTGTGAGATGAGTAGGTTGCAAAAATTTTCTCCCATTCTGTAGGTTGCCTGTTCACTCTGATGGTAGTTTCTTTTGCTGTGCAGAAGCTCTTTAGTTTAATTAGATCCCATTTGTCAATTTTGGCTTTTGTTGCCATTGCTTTTGGTGTTTTAGACATGAAGTCCTTGCCCATACCTATGTCCTGAATGGTATTGCCTAGGTTTTCTTCTAGGGTTTTTATGGTTTTAGATCTAACATTTAAGTCTTTAATCCATCTTGAATTAATTTTTGTATAAGGTGTAAGGAAGGGATCCAGTTTCAGCTTTCTACATATGGCTAGCCAGTTTTCCCAGCACCATTTATTAAATAGGGAATCCTTTCCCCATTGCTTGTTTTTGTCAGGTTTGTCAAAGATCAGATAGTTGTAGATATGCGGCATTGTTTCTGAGGGCTCTGTTCTGTTCCATTGGTCTATATCTCTGTTTTGGTACCAGTACCATGCTGTTTTGGTTACTGTAGCCTTGTAGTATAGTTTGAAGTCAGGTAGCGTGATGCCTCCAGCTGCGCTCTTTTGGCTTAGGATTGACTTGGCGATGCGGGCTCGTTTTTGGTTCCATATGAACTTTAAAGTAGTTTTTTCCAATTCTTGAAGAAATTCATTGGTAGCTTGCTGGGTCTGGCATTGAATCTATAAATTACCTTGGGCAGTATGGCCATTTTCACGATATTGATTCTTCCTACCTATGAGCATGGAATGTTCTTCCATTTTTTTGTATCCTCTTTTATTTTGTTGAGCAGTGGTTTGTAGTTCTCCTTGAATAGGTCCTTCACATCCCTTGCAAGTTGGATTCCTAGGTATTTTATTCTCTTTGAAGCAATTGTGAATGGGAGTTCACTCATGATTTGGCTCTCTGTTTGTCTGTTATTGGTGTATAAGAATGCTTGTGATTTTTGTACGTTGATTTTGTATCCTGAGACTTTGCTGAAGTTGCTTATCAGCTTGAGGAGATTTTGGCTGAGATGATGGGGTTTTCTAGATATACAATCATGTCATCTGTAAACACGGACAATTTGACTTCCTCTTTTCCTAATTGAATACCCTTTATTTCCTTCTCCTGCCTGATTGCCCTGGCCAGAACTTCCAACACTATGTTGAATTGGAGTGGTGAGAGGGGGCATCCCTGTCTTGTGCCCGTTTTCAAAGGGAATGCTTCCAGTTTTTGCCCATTCAGTATGATATTGGCTGTGGGTTTGTCATAGATAGCTCTTATTATTTTGAGATACGTCCCATCAATACCTAATTTACTGAGAGTTTTTAGCATGAAGGGTTGTTGAATTTTGTCAAAGGCCTTTTCGGCATCTATTGAGATAATCATGTGGTTTTTGTCTTTGGTTCTGTTTATATGTTGGATTACATTTATTGATTTGCGTATGTTGAACCAGCCTTGCATCCCAGGGATGAAGCCAACTTGATCATGGTGGATAAGCTTTTTGATGTGCTGCTGGATTCAGTTTGCCAGTATTTTATTGAGGATTTTTGCATCGATATTCATCAAGGATATTGGTCTAAAATTCTCTTTTTTTGTTGTGTCTCTGCCAGGCTTTGGTATCGGGATGATGCTGGCCTCATAAAATGAGTTAGAGAGGATTCCCTCTTTTTCTACTGATTGGAATAGTTTCAGAAGGAATGGTACCAGCTCCTCTTTGTACCTCTGGTAGAATTCAGCTGTGAATCCATCTGGTCCTGGACTTTTTTTGGTTAGTAAGCTGTTGATTACTGCCTCAATTTCAGAGCCTGTTATTGGGCTACTCAGAGATACAACTTCTTCCTGATTTAGTCTTGGGAGGATGTATATGTCGAGGAATTTATCCATTTCTTCTAGATTTTCTAGTTTATTTGCGTAGAGGTGTTTATAGTATTCTCTGATGGTAGTTTATATTTCTGTGGGATCACTGGTGATATCCCCTTTATCATCTTTTATTGTGTCTATTTGATTCTTCTCTCTTTTCTTCTTTATTAGTCTTGCTAGCAGTCTATCAATTTTGTTGATCTTTTCAAAAAACCAGCTCCTGGACTCATTAATTTTTAAAGAGTTTTTTATGTCTCTATTTCCTTCAGTTCTGCTCTGATCTTAGTTATTTCTTGCCTTCTGCTAGCTTTTGAATGTGTTTGCTCTTGCTTTTCTAGTTCTTTTAATTATGATGTTAGGGTGTCCATTTTAGATCTTTCCTGCTTTCTCTTGTGGACATTTAGAGCTAGAAATTTCCCTCTACACACTGCTTTGAATGTGTCTCAGAGATTCTGGTATGTTGTGTCTTTGTTCTCATTGGTTTCAAAGAACATCTTTATTTCTGCCTTCATTTCATTATGTACCCAGTAGTCATTCAGGAGCAGGTTGTTCGGTTTCCATGTAGTTGAGCAGTTTTGAGTGAGTTTCTTAATCCTGAGTTCTAGTTTGATTGCACTGTGGTCTAGAGACAGTTTGTTATAATTTCTGTTCTTTTACATTTGCTGAGGAGTGCTTTACTTCCAACTATGTGGTCAATTTTGGAGTAGGTGTGGTGTGGTGCTGAAAAGAATGCATATTCTGTTGATTTGGGGTGGAAAGTTCTGTAGATGTCCATTAGGTCTGCTTGGTGCAGAGCTGAGTTCACTTCCTGGGCATCCTTGTTAACTTTCTGTGTCGTTGATCTGTCTAATGTTGACAGTGGGTTGTTAAAGTCTCCCATTACTATTGTGTGGGAGTCTAAGTCTCTTTGTAGGTCACTCAGGACTTGCTTTATGAATCTGGGTGCTCCTGTATTGGGTGCATATATATTTCGGATAGTTAGTTCTTCTTGTTGAATTGATCCCTTTACCATTATGTAATGGCCTTCTTTGTCTCTTTTGATCTTTGTTGGTTTAAAGTCTGTTTTATCAGAGACTAGGATTGTAACCCCTTCCTTTTTTTGTTTTCTGTTTCCTTGGTAGATCTTCCTCCATCCCTTTATTTTGCGCCTATGTGTGTCTCTGCATGTGAGATGGGTTTCCTGAATACAGCACACTGATGGGTCTTGACTCTTTATCCAGTCTGCCAGCCTGTGTCTTTTAGTTGGAGCATTTAGCCCATTTTTATTTAAAGTTAATATTTTTATGTGTGAATTTGATCCTGTCATTATGATGTTAGCTGGTTATTTTGCTTGTTAGTTGATGCAGTTTCTTCCTAGCTTTGATGGTCTTTACAATTTGGCGTGTTTTTGCAGTGGCTGGTACCAGTTGTTCCTTTCCATGTTTAGTGCTTCCTTCAGGAGCTCTTTTAGGGCAGGCCTGGTGGTGACAAAATCTCTCAGCATTTGCTTGTCTGTAAAGTATTTTATTTCTCTTTCACTTATGAAGCTTAGTTTGGCTGGATATGAAATTCTGGGTTGAAAATTCTGTTCTTTAAGAATGTTGAATATTGGTCCCCACTTTCTTCTGGCTTGTAGAGTTCCTGCCAAGAGATCAGCTGTTAGTCTGATGGGCTAACCTTTGTGGGTAACCCGACCTTTCTCTCTGGCTGCCCTTAACATTTTTTCCTTCATTTCAACTTTGGTCAATCTGACAATTGTGTGTCTTGGAGTTGCTCTTCTCGAGGAGTATCTTTGTGGCGTTCTCTGTATTTCCTGAATTTGAATGTTGGCCTGCCTTGCTAGATTGGGGAAGTTCTCCTGGATAATATCCTGCAGAGTGTTTTCCAACTTGGTTCCATTCTCCCCATCACTTTCAGGTACACCAATCAGACATAGATTTGGTCTTTTCACATGGTCCCATATTTCTTGGAGGCTTTGTTCATTTCTTTTTATTCTTTTTTCTCTAAACTTCTCGTCTCGCTTCATTTCATTCATTTTGTCTTCCATCACTGATACCCTTTCTTTCAGTTGATCGCATCGGCTACTGAGGCTTCTGCATTCATCACGTAGCTCTCATGCCTTGGTTTTCAGTTCCATCAGGTCCTTAAGGACTTCTCTGCATTGGTTATTCTAGTTATCCATTCATCTAATTTTTTTTCAAAGCTTTTAACTTCTTTGCCATTGGTTCGAATTTCCTCCTGTAGCTCGGAGTAGTTTGATCGTCTGAAGCCTTCTTCTCTCAACTTGTCAAAGTCATTCTCCGTCCAGCTTTGTTCCATTGTTGGTGAGGAGCTGCGTTCCTTTGGAGGAGGAGAGGTGCTCTGATTTTTAGAGTTTCCAGTTTTTCTGCTCTGTTTTTTTCCCATCTTTGTGGTTTTATCTACCTTTGGTCTTTGATGATGGTGACGTACAGATGGGTTTTTGGTGTGGATGTCCTTTCTGTTTCTTAGTTTTCCTTCTAACAGACAGGACCGTCAGCTGCAGGTCTGTTGGAGTTTGCTAGAAGTCCACTCCAGACCCTGTTTGCCTGGGTATCAGCAGTGGTGGCTGCAGAACAGCGGATATTGGTGATGATCAGCGGATCAGGCAGACGCTGCTGCCTGATTGTTCCTCTGGAAGTTTTGTCTCAGAGGAGTACCCGGCCGTGTGAGGTGTCAGTCCGCCCCTACTGGGGGGTGCCTCCCAGTTAGGCTACTCAGGGGTCAGGGACCCACTTGAGGAGGCAGTCTGCCCGTTCTCAGATCTCAAGCTGCGTGCTGGGAGAACCACTACTCTCTTCAAAGCTGTCAGAGAGGGATATTTAAGTCTGCAGAGGTTACTGCTGTCTTTTTGTTTGTCTGTGCCCTGCCCCCAGAGGTGGAGCCTACAGAGGCAGGCAGGCCTCCTTGAGCTGTGGTGGGCTCCACCCAGTTCGAGCTTCCAGCTTGCTTTGTTTACCTAATCAAACAACTAACTCGGCAATGGCGGGTGCCCCTCCCCCAGCCTCACTGCCGCCTTGCAGTTTGATCTCGGACTGCTGTGCTAGCAATGAGTGAGACTCCGTGGGCGTAGGACCCTCCGAGCCATGTAAGGGATATAATCTCCTGGTGTGTCATTTTTTAAGCCCGTTGGAAAAGCGCAATATTATGGTGGGAGTGACCCGATTTTCCATGTGCCGTCTGTCACCACTTTCTTCGACTAGGATAGGGAATTCCCTGACCCCATGTGCTTCCCGGGTGAGGCGATGCCTCACCCTGCTTCGGCTTGCACATGGTGCGCTGCACCCACTGTCCTGCACCTACTGTCTGGCACTCCCCAGTGAGATGAACCTGGTACCTCAGATGGAGATGCAGAAATCACCCATCTTCTGCGTTGCTCACGCTGGGAGCTGTAGACCGGAGCTGTTCCTATTCGGCCATCTTGGCTTCTCCCCCAGCTCTTTGTTTCTTAACATAGCTCATTCCCAACTCTGACATCAAGGGCCCTTGGGAATAGGGTCCAGATATGAATAAAGAGGCTCCCTCCATGATTCTGCCTTTGAGTGAAGAGTAAAGGGACCATTGGGTCTGACACCTTATCCATCACTCCTCTCACCTCTGTATATCCTCCCAGCTCCCCAAATAGTTGGGCATCCTTTTCCCAAATAGTCATTTTCCAGTATTAGCAACCCAGGTAACTATTAATACACTCCCATAAGGCAGTGTGTTACATGGTATCAACTAGGTGAACATCTGCACGACTCAAAGAATCTTCACCCAAGTGATAGCTAACCCACTATTAAAACAGCACTTCCCACCCAGTGGCTGAATGTGTTTTCACATTACATTATCACTTGTTAATATCAGAGACAAAGTGCAACCTCAGCTCTCTCCTTCCCCTCCTTCAGACTTTTTCTACTCAATCCACTTCACACCTGTCTCCAGGTACCAGCTCTGCCCTCCTCTTCTGTGCTGGGTATATTGGGATTCCCCTCCAGATCCCCTCCTCTGCCCCTAGTGGCTGACCATCTAGTCTAGGGAACCCTTGCTCTTTGGCACTTAGCTGGGTTCAGCTAATGCAGAACCCCCGCAGGAGATTGCAAGGAGGGAGAAGAAAAGATGGGTGCCCTTCCTTCCAAGGTCTCAGCCAGCCTGTGTGTCCCCAGACTAAGGTCTCTGTTCCTCTCAAGCTCCACAACTCCCTAAGGTTCTGCTAACAGCTTCCTTCCCTCGTCCCTTAGACCTGAAGATGGTGAGCCCTTGCAAGGTTACTTCGCTTGCCTTCATGTTCTCCTGCACATGCACCTCTCTAAATGTCCCCTTTCTAAATAAATCTTCCTCCATTTCTCCTAACTCAAGTGTGACAGCTGTTTCTATTGGGTCCCTGATTGACATACTTTCCTTTGGCATATGGATGCATTCTGGTTTTGCTGTATTTCTATTCCTGGTTGCTCTGTGAACCTCATGACTAAGATTTACCTCCCCTTCCAGACATCACTTGGATTCAAGGTATTTGCTGTTCTTAAAACTGAATTTCTCAATTTCACTCTCTTTGAACCAAACATCCATCTGTTCTTTTTCTTTCCTTCTCTCTTTTTCTTCTTCCCTCCTTCCCTCCCTACCTCCCTTCTTGCTGGGTAGTGATGAATGAGAGCACTAGCATTAGTCTGCTTGAGTTAAATTCTCAGCTTGTTATGCAACCTCACCCCCTTAAGCTTAAGTTTTCTCATCTGGCAAATGGGGACAATGATTGCATTGTCATGAAGATTAAACAAGATCTTAAGATGGTGTTTGGGCCTGGAATGGTGGCTCACACATGTAATCTCAGCACTTTGGCAGGCTGAGGAAGGCAGATCGCTTGAGGCCAAGAGTTTGAGACCAGCCTGGCCAACATGGCAAAACCCCATCTCTACTAAAAATACAAAAATTAGACTGGCATGGTGGTGGGGGCCTGTAATCCCAACTACTCTCGAGGCGGAGGCAGGAGAATCACTTGAACCTGGGAGGTGGAGGTTGCAGTGAGCCGAGATTGCACCACGGCACTCCAGCCTGGGCAACGGAGTGAGACGCTGTCTCAAAAAAAAAAAAAAAAAAAAAAAAAGAATTGTGTCTGCACAGTCTGAGGTTCCTCAACATTTGTGGAATGATTATTTCTGTGTGTCAGGCTACTCCCTAATCTCTGATATCATAATCTAAATTTCCAAAGATTCTCTTTCTTGTGCCTGTAGCTGGTGGATGGCTTCTTCCTGCAATACTTCTCATGGTCCTGAATTGACCTTTTGAACCCTGGATTTTAAAGGCATCCTTAATTTCCATGGGCCCAGTACAATCAGAGAGCAAATTCTTAACCTAATTCTTATACTTTAGTTTGCTTCCCCCGACCCCCACAGTTACTGGTAAAGAAAAAGAAAAGGAGCTTTAAATTGTCTTATTATTTTTAGTATCTCCTACGAAGTACTAGATATTCAGAATGCCATAGAGAAAAGCATGAAGAGGAATTTTTTTCTTATGGAGGTGATGGGCATAGCAGGAGGGAGAATTTGACACCAGTTCTAACAGGGGAAAGAAAAGTACAGAATGCTTTGCATGTGGAGACTATGGAAGTATTTGTGGTTTTACAGTGGAGTTGATCAAGATTATAGAGGAAGTATTTGAGACCAAAGGTTAGCTTGAAGATTTAGGAAGATCTGTGCCTATAAATTCTCCATTACATGTCTGTTCCATTAATCATTCAAAAAAGTGTTGATTATATGATTTTTCACTTCTAAACTCCTGAGAATTGTAGGAAAGGGATTAGGAAGGAGGTGTGTGTGTGTGTGTGTGTGTGTGTGTTTGTGTGTGCAACTCACAGAGAAAGAGTTAAGGATGCAGTTACATCCACAGCTGAACTAATTTTCTTGATGCTCCGTTTATTTCATATTTTTATTTTCTCAAGAGTCCCCCAAAATAGCAATTTATACACATTTGTCTTCCCACCTAATTTTGCTTTAACAATAGTTAGGAAAACACAACCAGATGCTTTTTTTTATAAAAAGGCTTCTACATGTTGACATCAACGTCAAAATTAGCCCTCAGTCTCCAGAAAGTCACTTTTCTCAGTTCAATTAATAATTAAGTTGGAAAACTCACCTCTTAAGTTCTGGGACAACATAGCGGGGGTCAGAACACTGACCTGTCCTCAGGGAAATCAACCAGCTAAGCTTCTTTTTCTTGCAGTTCCCTGGGCAACCATTCCCTAAACAAGGTTCTCCATTTAACAATTAAATTTTAATTACCTAAGCAAGAGATAAATACATTCTCTTTTTTAAAACTTAATGTATCACAGATGAAGCTAAAGTGCCCTTGGACCACTATTTCTAATCATGATCTTCTTTACTGAAGGTTACAAGTTTGGGGTGTATCTTTATAGAACTTTTATTTTGCATTTTCCTAAATCTATATACATGTCCACATAGCAAGTGAGTAGCATTACTGTGTGCGCACTTTTTCCCTTGGTTTCTTACAGTCCATGGTAGTTTTTCCTGGACCCCTGATCTTGAAGAACACCAAAGACCAAACTGCAAAACCCAATGGTTGATTGCATCTCATTCTTCCCTTGGGAGTAGGGAGTTGACTTAAGCCCATTGTCTTTGTATGATAAATAATTGATAATAACTTAATATGTGGTTGGGGATACTTTATTTTCATTTCTATTTTATAATTTGTTGGTCATTAGGAGAAAATTAGGGGAAAATCCCTCTAAACCATATTCATAGAATTTGTGTGCTGGAAAGATCTTAGAGAGTATCTATTTAACACATCAAAAAATGGGTTCCAGAGGGGAAATGGAGCATTTGCAAACGTAGCAGGCCTGGGTCCTCTCTATTTAAATAAGCAGCAACAGGAGAAGGAGGTCAGACTCTGCTCTATCGTCACCTTCAGATTGTAATGAAACATTATTTTCCATGTGCGTCCTTTCTCCTTACCCCATTCCACTCCTCCTAGCCAGTCTTTCCTAGCCACATTCTCCTTTGTAAATCTATCTCAGCTATTTAGTGACTTTCTGCTTCAGATTTCTTAGTAGCAAAAGCTGACTGCTAATGTTCACTGTTCTTATTCTGCAAAGGATTATACTGCGTGCTTTCCATACATTTTCCACTTTATCCTCACAGAGCACTATTTGAGGTTGGCACTCTTATTATCCTCACATGAGAAAACTGAGGCTCAGAGAGGATAGGAAACACGGCCAATGTCTCTAAGCAGGAAGTGACAACTCAAAGGTCGAACTCTACAGGCTTCTTGACTCTGCAGCTTGCACTCTCGATTCCACCCTATACTGCCACATGTTTAATTGTATTTTACAACAAACAAGAGGAAATATTCAGAGTAGAATGGGGAGAAGCAGGCTAGAGACTCCCAGTAGCTTTTAGCAATAAATGTGCAAATATCACAGAAGGCAAGACATTTCTTGTCCAGAGTCACAGGTCATGGGAGTCAATGGTACTATTGAGATAATTTTAAAAGACCTTTCTGAAATATCACCTTCAAGCAGTTGAGGGATTTTGGTTTGCTAACAAAACCATCTGGGACATTCTAGTAATTAGAACAATGACAGCCAGGACTCATGTGAGAGAAGGTTTCAAACTCTTCCTTATTATTGAATTTTGGAATTTGGAACCAACTCCTTCACCCCATTGTATTTTCTTTTGCCATCTTTCTTACTCACCAAACCTATCATTATTTCTTCCTTTCCAGGGACTTCTATGCCCTCTGCAGTTTGCCTCTTCCTCTGCTATTTTTTCATGTATGTGTATGTTTTTTGCCTGTATTTGCAATGCCAGCCATCATTTGCCATGTCTTCTAGCGGCAACCTGCATTTAGCCCAGGTAAGTAGGCAGCAAATCACATGATATCCACCCCTATAACTTCCCCAGCCATGGTAAATCAGTTATGGTGAGCACTTGATCTTTGAGATCATGGTGTAGTATTAGGACTGGCCGCCATCTTGGGTCAAGTGCAAGGTAAGAAAGTGGACAGACAAGCCTGAGTGAGCCAGTGAAGTGGCCTCTACTTTGGTTTTCTAGTTCTAGTGCCTATGTTTTCTATTTCTTGGATTCCACATCCTTTTTCTTTGTTTGTTTTCCTTACTTGAGTTAAATTGAGTGAGTTTCTGTTGCATGGATCCAGAGGGACTTTCACTAGATACTTCCTAACCAAGCAATTAAACTCTTTGAGGACATAGTCCCTGTGTGCCCCTCGATGTGTAATATACTGCCTGGTACATTGTAGGTATTCAATAAATATTTCTTGTTAATGCATATTTTATGGAGTGAGAATTATCTTGATCTGGGAATTTTGATTATAGTTTGTTTTTGTGACAGAGGCTATATACCAATAATAATAATCATTCATTTGTTTATGCAAAGGCATTTATTCTGGATAAAATTGAGAGATAAAATAAGGCCCAGTTTCTTACGTTAAGTTCCCTGTCTAGCAGGGGAGATAGTAATGTACAACAGATAAATTACCACTTGATTGACAAGTGTAACCCAAACAAAGTGTTCTCTCCCTAGATCTGCTGTGATTATTCCTTTTCACAAACCACAATGACTCTGGAAAACCTGGCTGTAAACACCAGCACTGCCACCAGCTAAGGATCTGTGATCAGGAGTGCCATCTCACGGTAACAGGGTAAGTGTCCCTTCCCCCATTTAATTCTAACTGGAATTCCTTCCATTCTGTATTACTGTTGTTCACTTCAAACTAATCACCAACATGTCTCATTAATTCTGGGCTGTTGGTCGTGTCTGAAGTTCGGTAGTCGATATTTGCATGTGCAGGATTTTTAATAAAATGCTGGTATATCTTTCAGTCACCTTTTCCAGACTTCACAATGAGTTGGACTACTTTCAGAGTCAAAAGATTTTTCCTTCCTTTTGTTCCCCCTTATAGGGTGAACCAGGTGACATCCTTGATGCCATCCCTTCTATACCCCAATTCAAATACTCATCCCCAGTGGGGAAGATTTGGTACAAGCTTCTATCACTGATGAATGCTTTCACTTAATTATTATGAATGACTGAATGATGGATTCATATATATAATATATTTTTTGAGTATTAACCATATGGTATTCATCAGGCTATGTCCTGGGGACAGTGGAAAATAAAGTAGATCCAGTCAGTACCTGCCATCCTGGAGCTTGGAGTCCAGTGGGGGACAATGGATGTTCCACAAACAGTTCACACAGAACAATAAGACTGCAAATGTGATACATGCTGTGAAGAAAAATTGCCAAGTGATATAAGTGCACGTAACAGAAGGGTTGATGGATGTGGAGTGTCTGAAAAGTTATCATAAAGTCATATTGGAGCTCAGCCCTTTGCAGGGGTGAACCAGGTGAAGAAAAGAGGGGAGAATGTTTGGGTTCAGGGAAGAACATTTCCAAAGGCCCCAAGCAGAGAGGAATAGCTAGAATAACTCAGGAATAACACCTTGAAGCTTTGGGAAATGAGGAGAATAAACTACTCATCTAATTGCTGCCTTTCAGAAAATACATGCTCTTCTGTTTTAACCAAAATACCTGGCTGGTGGGTGAGAAACCCATGATCAAAACAAGTGCCCCAGTTGTCCCTGATTTGGAAACTGTTTTATTGACATCAAGATGTTTAAAAATATGCATGGCTTTTTTTTTTTTTTTTTTTTGAGATGGAGTCTCACTCTATTGCCAGGCTGGAGTGCAGTGGCGTGATCTCGGCTCACTCCCAGGTTCAAGGGATTCTCCTGCCTCAGCCTCCCAAGTAGCTGGGACTACAGGCATGCGCCATCACGCCCAGCTAATTTTTGTATTTTTAGTAAAGACGGAGTTTCACCATGTTGGCCAGATGGTCTCGATCTATTGACCTCATGATCCGCCGACCTCGGCCTCCCAAAGTGCTGGGATTACAGGCATGAGCCACTGCGCCCAGCTATGCGTGGCAATTCTAATATCATCCCTTCTTCCTTCCCTGCCATCTTCCTCTTTCCCAGTCATCAGAACTCTAGACAACCCGGGGATCCCAGAGCATCTTTGTAGGAGAAATAATAGAGCCACTGAGGTGTGGAGTTTCCTGTTTTACCTTTATGAACTTTTGGCTTCCCGTCTTGGGGGAGACAATAACAACAAAAAACACCTGAAGGGCAAGATTTGAGGGGAAACAAGCAGATTTGGCAATCAAGTCCAAAATCCACCACTGAAAGCCTCTGGCTGCTCTTTCTGTTCCCTTTGGTTTGTGCTTTGACTTCTTAGCAGTCATGGTTGTTGTCATCCTAGTAGTAGCACTAGCAATTAATATTTACTGGTCATTACCTTGTGGCCAGGCATTATGATCAGAACTGCCTGTGTACCATCTCATTTAATGCTGACAAAATTATATACGGTGGGCCCTGTTAGGGTGATGTGAAATTGTCAATATTCAACAACTTTTTTGATCTATAAAAATGTCCATTTTATAAGACTGAAGCTAATATTATTATTTCCCAGGGACCCAGGGGTTTACAAAAATTGTCCATCTGTCCATGTTTTTATAATTGGGGAGTGGCTGAGCTGAGCTTCATGCCCAGGTGTGTATAGTACCACAGTGGCTGTGTTCTTTTGCATGATGCATGAAAGGAAGAGAAAGAGGAAGAAAATTACACCATAAAGGTTTGTCCTTTTCTCTTCCCATGTCCTAGTTTACTAATTATGTGTCTCATGAGTTAAAAGAGGAGAGAAAAGCCAGAAGATGCTAAAGTCTGAAGATATTCAAACAATTCTCACTCGTTTTACTCTGCTGCCCCACCCCTGTCCTGACCCCATTTAAAACTGATCTTCGACGGAGCACGGTGGCTCACGCCTATAATCCCTGCACTTTGGGAGGCCAAGGCAGGCAGATCACGAGGTTAGGAATTCGAGACCCGCCTGGCCAGCATAGTGAAATCCCATCTCTACTAAAAAAAAAAAAAAAAAATAGCCAGGAGTGGTGGCAGGCACCTGCAATCCCAGCTACTGGGAGGCTGAGGCAAGGAGAATTGCTTCCTGGGAGGCAGAGGTTGCAGTGAGCCGAGTTCACGCCACTGCACTCCAGCCCAGCCGACAGTGCGAGACTCCGTCTCAAAAACAAAAACAAAAACAAAACCCTGATCTTCCCACAAAAGGGAATGACTGGTGCATGCTACTGGAAAGCCCAGGGGAGTGGTGACCACAGCCACAGCCAGGCCCAGGCCTTCACACAATGCTGAGAAAAATCTGTCTCTGGACTCATCAGATCTTCCTTCTACTAAGAGGTCCAACCCCATATCCCATAGCACACCACCCCCACCAGAGAGAGGAAAAGAGAGAACCACTTTCTCAGTAGTCCCAACAAAATCCTAGCAAAGATTCCCATTGGACTGGCACGCCACATGCCCATGTGAAGAGACTGAGGCACAGAAATAAGGTGAGCCCCTGAGGACACACAGCCCCACCCCACCACACTGTGCCTGTCTGAGGTCATGGACTGCACTAATCAGCAACTATGGCCCAGATGCCTACCCCTGGGGTGAGAAGCAGGGGTATAGAATCAGCTCTGCAGGGTCAGCCCCACATCCGTCACCTAGACTGAAGGTTGGGGGAAGTGATTTTTCAAAGGAAACTTGGCTGCTCTTACCAGAAAAAGGGAGACTGGGTGCCAGGCAGGGGAAGCCACAACTGCTCTCTACAATGAGACTGTAGAAAAGTTTTTGACAGAGAGGATATTTTTCTCTCCAGTCTGATGCTGGGCCCAAATTTCAAAGAACGGAAGGCTATTAAAAGGGCAAAGGAAGGAAGTACTAATTAAAAGGTCCCTGCCAAGCTCTAGGGTCAGACAGAACAAAGAATCATCCATTAGGGAGGCTCCTAGCCTGGTGTTAACTGCAAGAGCTTTGGGGCGGGACAGAGGTTCAGCTCAGGGCCCTTAGATGTCTGAAACCTCCCGGACTTCATTTTTCTCATTTGTAAAATGGACATAAAATACCTACTTCTATGGTTTATTGGCAGGATTGGATGCTTTAATATATGACAAATCTTTAGGCTGGTGCTTGGCACATGGCTTGTTCTTAATACGTGGTAATGGCTGTAGTGAATGTTGCTGCTAAGCCTCCTCAAATGTTTGAGTCCTAGAGATTCTTCCTCTTAAGCCAAAAGTCTCCTCGGCTCCCCTGAAATCTTTGGTTCCTTATTTTTATTTATTTATTTAGAGACAAGTTCTCATTCTAGAGTGCAGTGGTACTATCATATCTCACTGCAGACTCCAACTCATAGGCTCAAGCCATTCTCGCAACTCAGGCACCTGAGTAGCTAGGACTATAGGTGCACACAACCATGCCAAGCTTAATTTTTTTAATATGTCATTTTGTAGAGACGAGGTCTTTCTATGTTCCCAGGCTGGTCTTGAACTCCTGAGCTCAAGTGATCCTCCTTCCTCGGCCTCCCAAAATGCTGGTTTTACAGGAATAAGCCAACCACACCCAACTCTGGTTCTTTTCTTTTTGAGGAAGAGTCTTGCTCTGTCACCGAGGCTGGAGTGCAGTGGCACAGAGTTGGCTCACTGTAACCTCCACCACCCAGGTTCAAGCAGTTCTCCTGCCTCAGCCTCCTGCGTAGCTGGGACTACAGGCATGTGCCACCTTGCCCAGCTAATTTTTTTTTTTTTTAATTTTTAATAGAGACAGTGTTTCTCTACATTGGCCAGGGTGGTCTCAAACTCCTGACCTCTAGTGATCCACCCATCTCGGCCTCCCAAAGTGCTGGGATTACAGCTGTGAGCCACAGTGCCCAGCCTCTGGTTCTTTTTTTAATAATCCCAAGATCAAGGACTTATTCTAGTACTTATGTTCCTAGAAGTCCTTTGACACTTTTCCAGAACTTTTGCTCTGACTTTGGGGTTATGCAATATGGGCCATGTCAGTGTGGACTACACTGGTGTTGTTTGTATCTATTAGATGCTGGAGAAACAAGATCCCCTATATTCCTTTGATCCGGAATATTCAAATGATGCAGTGTCTTTTCCATATTTCCTTCATGTCAGCTGGCTTTCCAAGGGCACCCTGCACAGCCACATTCCATAACCCACGTACAGTTGCCTCTGGCCACCTTTCTAGGCTCTTCCTGCAGGACGCGCTGCTCTATCTTGCCTTCCCTTCAAATCCTGCCACGGCTCTCAGACTTGACACTCTAGACCTTCCTTGTTTGCTGACTGATACAGTTGGGTGAGGTGTCTTTTTGTAGCAAATCACAGACACCAGTTGAAACAGACTTAATTATTTAATTGAAAAGTCAGAACATAGCAGGATTCAAGGACTTGAACAATATTATCAAGTCTCAGTCTCCATCTCTTGCCTCTACTTTCCTTCCTGTTGGCTTCATTCAGGGAGACTTTTCCCATCCCATAGCAAAATGGCCACCAGCAAAGGCAGCTTACACTGTGGGGGTGAATGCGTGATTTTTCCCAACTCCTCACCCATCCTGCATGCCTGCCTTTTGCCAGTGACTTTGTAGTCTCTTCCACCAGTAGAGTGCATTTGCCATCTCACTGATGTTGGGTGTAGCCATGTACTCTATTTTGGCCAAAGAAATGTGGTTGTAAATGACAGCGTGCCAGTTCTGAGCCTAGGTGTTAAGAGGAACTGCCTGTTTCCATATGCTTTCTCTTGTGCTTGTAGAATTACCATGAGGATATGCTGCAGGTAGCCTCTTTAAAAAAAAAAAGACATTTAGAGAGAAGCTGCTTCACTTGAATGCAGGCTTGCAGCTGGAAGCAGAGGCATGCCAGCTAATCTGAGAAATTGTTAGCATGATAATAAACACTTTCTGATACGTGGGGCTGAGCTATATGAGGGCTCTTTATATAGCATTGTTGTGGCCATAGTTGACTGATGCATAAACTATTTCCATTGCCACCAAAAGAGATTTCTTTTCTTCCTGACGGTTTCAATAAAAATCCTAAAATCCATTTCAATGCACCACACTTAGTTATAGGGCTGAAAGTGAAGAAGAGATGGCTCCCCACAGGAATTTGTGGTGCTCTTACCGGAAGACGGTATAAAGAATGTTGAGAAGTCAAAATGACAGGTTCTCATTGCATCATCCTTGAAGGGGCTGCGGGTACCTGTGTCCGATGTTAAGCCAGGAACCAGCCTTTTCACATCTGTACCGAACCTTATAGGGCAGAGCTCAACCAGATCTAAGAACCAGTTACCAGCTGGCCAGCTAGGGATGCCCAATACATAGCCATTGGTGTTCCACCAAAATCAAAAAGACCTAACCTCTAACTTCTCTCCCTTTCCAGGCCAGAATGGATAAGGTGGGCTTGTTCGGCTGGCAAGCTGCTATTTGGTAACTCACTGCCCTCCTCTGCAAGGCCAGTTCAACTCAGAAAAGTTGTGGGCAGAATGGTTGCTGGGTCCTGATTTAGAGCAGTCCTTTCTTTGCCAGCTCTGGTCTTCAGTTGTACTCTGGGGCTTTAATCTCTAGTGGTGTGGGTGCCCCACCAAGTCTCTGTTCTTGAGAAAGAACAGTCCTGAATTGAAAGCATGATGTGTAATAAATGGAACCCCTTTGCCCTGCTTTATAGGGTCTATTAAGTCTATTAAGCTTCCTGGTGAATATCATTGGAAATTAAGCTGATTTTTAAAACTGCAGAGGCTCTATTTTGCTTTCTTCCCCCAAATCCCACCTTTCTACCTTGACCTTTTTCCTGCTGTTTGGCAGCTGCTGTCTTTAAGGAATGCCACTTGGCTCCAAGATATTCATGGGGCATTTTTGATGGGCATTGCTTTGGGAAAGGGCAAGATTCTGCCTCTTTCTGACAGTATTGTCTTCCAAAGCTGCATGGCAACTCATCCTTCGGCAGGGCATCCATCGTGTAGAAGCTCTTGGAGCTATGAAGAGAAGATTCTGTTTCCTCTACTCCCCAGGGATTGCCCATCACTCTTGCGGTACTACACACCATCCCCATCCTTTGAATGCCAAACCTCTTCATCGAGCTGGGAGAAAATGTTGGGAGAAGGCTGGGGAGGGGGAAAGCAAACACTGGTCAGTGTGTTCACTCTGATTACACCATTGTGGGTGAGACAATAGCTACTGTGAATACAAGCAGGCAGGGTTCAATGCTGCTTTCTTCCCCTCGTCAATGCAATTTTGATCCAGCCAGGGCTACCCTGCAATTTTGATCCAGCTCAGTCTAACTGGGGCAGCCCAACCTGGAAACCAAGCCTCTCTCTGTTGGGGGGTGGCTCCTCTCATCATTTGGGAGGTTATTGGGACCATGCTTGGAACGTCCCATGAACGTGGGCCACTCCAAACCCACCAGAGCCTCCATGAACCAGCCTAATTGTTATTAAAACACATCTTTGATATAGACATGATTGCAAGTACCAATTATTAAGCTGTTGTCCCTCACCCCAGGGCCCACGAACCACTGTTTTGTGATGCAGTGGTTGGGGCTGCCATTTCTCCCGACCAGCTGGTGCCACATTTGGTTCTGCCACTAGGAGGCACCAGAGGGAGAAGGCAAAATTGAAGGATTTAAGAGGGCCTCCCACCTTCTAGTTTGCATCAGCTTCACCCTGGCAATAGCAGTCCGTTTCAGTCTCTAGCTTTCTCAACACACTCAGTACCAGCCTCTCAATCATTACTCTGCTCCGTAATTTACAAAATGTTCCTACTTAACAACGCCAGCCAGATGCAATGGCTCAGTGTGTAATCTCAACACTTTGGGAGGCAGAAACAACAGGATTGCTTGAGGCTAGGAGTTTAAGACCAGCCTGGGCAGTATAGCGAGACCCCATCCCTGCAAAAAGTTTGAAAGTTAGCCAGGTGTGGTGGTGCACACCTCTAGTCCCAGCTGTTCAGGAGGCTGAGGTGGGAGGATCACTTGAGCCCAGGAGTATGAGGCTGCAGTGAGCTATAATTATGCCACTACACACCAGCCTGGGCAACAGAGTGAGACCCTGCCTCAAAACAACAACAACAAAAACCACCTCTGGTGTTTTTTTTGTTTGTGTGTGTGTGTGTGTGTGTGTGTGTGTGTGTGTGTTTTAAATCTCAGCTCTGTGTGTGCGATTTCACTCACAACAAAGAAGAGAAGCATCAACAGCTGGTACAATAGGGAGCAGGGTCCCCTCCTTCCTAAAGATCCAATTTCATCCCGGGTGGTGGATAAGGCTAAGAAGATAAAAAATGACCTTTCACCTCTGGGGACAGTAATGTAAAATTAATTTGAGGCTTTGAACCTAATGAGCTGGCCCATCCTGGTGCGTACCCCATGAATAACACAGTATGTGCACAGCCAGCAGCCCAGCGATCTTTCTTCCTCTGATGGGGCTTGGGATGAGAGGGGGGATGAGAAAGAAACTCATTTTGAAAAATAATCCTCAGAGGAGAGAGGTCTGCTAGGTCTTCATAAACCCAGTATTAGAGGGAGGAAGAGGGGGAGGGGAGGAAGAGAGAGAGAGAGGGAAAGAGAGAGAGAATTATGTGCTTTTAATCTGCTTAGCTTTTCACTGCTGAATAGCTAAAGGGCTCAGACAGGCAAGAATATTGTGAGGTGGTTAAGTCCATGAACTTGGAGTTAGACCCCTTGGGGTCTAGGCTTGATTTGTGACTTTTTAGCTGTGTGATCTCCAGCATGTTTTTAAACTTGTGTTTTTGGGATGTTTGGATTAGATAGTACATGGAAAGTGCTTGTGTTTAGGCTAAGAATCTGGTTATTTTTGCATTTTTTGGCGGTGATTGAGGAAGGGGGGAGCAATTCGAGGGTGATTTATCCACAGAATATGAAGTCTGAGGTTTCTGCTCTGACAAGAGGAAATGTCTAACAGCAGAAGACAAAAGTGAAACCGGGCTGATGCGAATCACTGGGAAACTGGCTTTGGCACCTCCAGAGAATGAACTGTTTCATAGCCTAGCTGACCATCCATGAAAATGGCTGCCTGGAGAGGCAGTGATCAGCCCATCCCTGCAGGTATGCAAACAGAAGCTCTCTCCGCTGTATGAAAGGATGTATTCACTTCTTTCTTTTTTTTTTGGGGGGGGGACAAAGTCTTGCTCTGTCGCCAGGCTGAAGTGCAGTGGTGCTATCTCGGCTCTCTGCAACCTCTACTTCCCGAGTTCAAGTGATTCTCCTGCCTCAGCCTCCTGAGTAGCTGGGATTACAGGCACATGCCACCACACCCAGCTAATTTTTTTGTGTGTGTATTTTTAGCAGAGACAGGGTTTCAGCATGTTGGTCAGGATATTTTCGATCTCTTGACCTCGTGATCCGCCTGCCTAGGCCTCCCAAAGTGATGGGAGTACAGGCGTGAGCCATCACGCCCGGCCTGTGTTCACTTATTTCTAAGGATCTTTCTCCCATTCAAATGCTGGCTATTCCACTTGCTAATTGTGTTGCCTGGGTCATTGAATTTCTTGGAGGCTGGGCTGCTTTATCTGTGGAATCAGGCCAATGGTGCTATTGGCCTCCCTCTTATGATCTCCCTCCCTTTCCCTTTTACTCCCTTCCTGCCACCAACTAATGCTCATGATGTGCTGGGCACTGTGCTAGGCTTGGGAGATACTCAGAGGAAGAAGATGGTATAAGCACTCCCTGGGAAAATACTCAAACACTTAGTTTTAGGTTTAGAAGAAGACAGACAGATGAACAGATAATTATAAAGTAATTCCATAGATGCACTGATGAGATATGCGTTGAGTATTCTGGAAGCACAGGAGAGTGCATCTAACTCTTCAGGTGTGAGACAGAGATGGGGTCAGAGAATGCTTTGGTATTGGGCATTAGTGTAATAATTACATGGTGGGGTATCTCTGGCAGAGGAAGCCATATGAACAAAGACCCAGGGACAAGAAGACAGCATGGTGTGCAGGGAACTATATAAAAGGCAGCACAGCCGGGATAAAAAATGTGAGGGAAGAGTGACGGGAGATAAGGCTGAAGAGTTAGACAGGGGCTAGATCACAGAGGCCCTTCTCTTCCATGTTGCAAATGTGAACCATGAAACATCAGGCTGATTTTAAGTAGGAGACTGGCATGTTTGGGTTTCCATTTGGAACGACCTCTCTGGAGACTGTATAGAGGATGAGTTAGGAGGAGGCAAGGCCAGACCACCAGCTAGCAGTGTTGAAGTCAGGAAGTCATCTAAGCTAGAATGACGATGCCACGAAACATGCTTCTTACGGGGTTGTGGTGAGAATCTGATGATGGAATGCCCCGGGAAGCTTGTAGTAAGACATGAACTGCTTCCCACAAGCCAAGGGTCATTATAATTATGATCACTCTATAAAACATTGGTTTGGGTGCCCATCATATAAACTGGGTCCCTCCCATCACTTACCCAAACAGTGGCAACAAAATCCATACATTTGGTCAAAACCAGTATAAATGGTTGTTGGGCTTAACAAGAACCCTTTAAAAAGTAATGAAACCACTGGGTTGAGAAATAATTTTGCAGATGCTTCTGGGATACAGAAGACTAAATTTTGGTGCTGCTGGAAAGAATGGGGGAGAGAAGCACAATATTAAATTTTGGGCAAACTTGAAATGCACAATTAAATGCAGGCAAACTGGGAGGGCAGATGATACTCTTTGAATAAAACTTATAATAGATTTGGCACAAGAGGGTACTGGAGATGGGCCCAAATGTCTCAAATTTGCTGAACTGTTTTTGCAGACAGCTGGGAATTTACCAGCATTTTCCTTTTTTTTTTTTTTAAAAAAAAAACCAGAATATTTTGGATTTTGTAGACATGCCCTGGAATGCCCCATCTCAGGGAAGGCTAGAGGAATGTCTCAGTGCAAGTGTGGTGTCTGCTTCTACTGATGTTTATGGCAGAGCTGAAAATTGTCTTTAAAATTAACAATAGATGTGCATAAATCTTCCTCAGTTACCTAGCAACTGATACAAGACAACGCTGAGGTTCACAGGGCTGGGTGGAGGTAAACCTGTTTTAGGAAATACCTGGGAGCATTTTAGTAATGCCTGGAGATTGCTTGGAGGGAAAGGAAAACAAATTAACATGACTAATTAAATGTTTGAATTCCTTTGTTTTTTGTTTTTGGTCCTGGGTTTTTTTGTTTGTTTGTTTGTTTTTTGTTTTTGTAAAAATCAAATCAAATAACAAAAAGGTTTCCTAAATCTCTGAGGTTTCTAGCAACAACGAGGGTTTTACAAAGACTAGCTAATTTCTGAGGCCCCTTTCAAGGCTAAAATTTTTAGCCACGTATTAGCCGTATTGCCTCATGAGTAAAATGAGAGGTTAAACTAGGGGAATTGTAGTTTCATCCACATTTCTAGGGTGTATGGTGCAATAGGGCTTTTAGACCAGTTTTGTTGAATCAGACACCAAAGTCATGAATCTGGAATCAAAGTGAATTTTTTTAAAAAGAAAAGATGTTGAAATAATGAAGCAAAGAGACATGGGACTTAAGGAATACATACACACACACACATACACACACATACATTTATTCTCCGTGTGTATGCATGTATGTATTTTTATTTATAAAAATCAGTTTATACATTAGGGTCTAGGTTACAGATTCAATGCTGCATGGGCCAGCAGGTGACACAGCTACATCCCTTGCCCAGGAACCACAGTGAGCCAGAGAATGGTGGCCTAGGGCTTCCAGATCTGTTGATTTTTCAAATAGCCAGAAATCCAGAATTTGTGTAGAATCTCCTGTTGTTAAAATATTGGCAACTAATTTGAAGTGTTTTTAAGAAGCACTGTGTGGGCTAAACAAAGTGAATCTGCCTTAAAGCAAAAGTTCCAAATGTGTAATTATCTTTTTACATATTATATGGTTAATTAAGACTCACTTTATTTGACAGGGTGAAGATAAGCTTGTGCAGGCCACTGGCTAACACAGTTCATCCCATGCCTCCTACATACCAAGCACTGTGCCAGGCACTTTTCACGTCTGGCATCCTCAGAATCCTCCAAAAGGTGGGTGATATGGTTTCACTGTGTCCCCACCCAAATCTCATCTTGAATTGTAGCTCCCATAATCCCCACATGTTATGGGAGGGACTTGGTGGGAGATAATCGAATCATGGGGGCAGTTTCTCACGTATTATTCTCATGATAGTGAATAAGTCTCATGAGATCTGATGTTTTTATAAGGGGCTTCTGCTGTGGCTTGGCTCTCATTGTCTCTTGCCAACATCATGTACAAAGTGCCTTTGGCCTTTCTGCCGTGATTGTGAGGCCTCCGCAGATATGTGGAACTGTGAGTCCATTAAACCTCTTTTTCTTCCCAGTCTCAGGTATCTCTTTATCAGCAGCTTGAAAACGGACTAATACAGTGGGTGTTATTTATCACAAGAGTTTGGTCTCTACTATAAAGATGAGGATGCTGAGGCAGGGATGCTAAAATTTTTGGCCACATATTAGCTGTATTGACTATGTAGCCAATATGTAATACGTAGCCAAAAATTTCAGCATGCAGGGGCATGCTGAAGATCAGGTGACTCCTGAGTCCTAGACCCTCCATTTCAAGTCCCTTCTCTCTGACTCTAACTCTCCAGCTGCCTGCTCTTAGGACTCTGACTTACCTGAAACATTTCTCTGAAGATGTGTTAGGAAGCTGTCTTAGTTTGCTAGGGCTGTCATAACCAAGTACCACAGACTGGGTGGTTTAAAAAACAGACATTTATTTTCTCCTAATTCTGCAGGCTGGAAGTCCAAGATCAAGGCTGGTTTCTTCTGAGGCCTCTCCCCCTGGCTTGCAGTTGACTGTCTTCTCCCTGTGTCTTCATATGGTCTTCCCTGTGTGTGTGTGTGTGTGTATTTGTGTGTCTGTGTCCTGATCTTTTCTTATAAGAACACCAGCTATATTAGGTAAGGAGCCACCTGAATGACCTATGTTTATCTTACTTACCCCTTTAAAGATTCTATTTCCAGATACAGTCACGTTCTGAGATATCAGGGATTAGGACTTGAGCATATGAATTTGCGGGGGGAGGGGTGGGGGTGGCATAATTCAACCTGAAACAGAAGCCATCAAATTTTTTCCCTCATTTCTTTCCCTTGAATATTATTATTGGAAGGACAGAGAGAGATTTTCTGAGCCCAAGGAATTGGAGCACCTGAGGGGAGGTGCTTATCTCCTGACCCCCACCCCCCTAGGTGACCTGGCTGGCCGCAGCTCAGCCCCAGAAGAAGTGGTATATTCGCACACTGGAGCCACAGTTAACCAGTTCCCAAACCACAGCTTCAATATTTTAGAATGCATAAAACATGAGATCACATTTAGCAATGGCACTGTTTTATTTGGCATCGCTGGGTATATCCGCGTGTGTCTTCATCTAAAATAATACTGATGCAGATGAGAAGCATTATTTATCATGTCAAAAATTAGAAACAACCTCAATGTCCAACAATGGGGTTTAATGGGATAGAATTTTATGCAGCCTTTGGAAACTGCTGTGGAAAAGTATTTGTGGTGTGAGAAAATAATCATGACAGATGAAGTGGGGGGAAAAAGCAGGTTGCAAAGAAATAGGTATAGTTGGATCCCAATTTTTTGAAAAAGGTTTATTACATGTACATATTTATAGGTATATATGTGTGTATATATGTGTTCATCTGGAAGGCTATACCCCAAAATATTTAAAATTGTTTTCTTGCAGTGATGGAATTATGTGTACTTTAAGTTTTTTTTTCTGTTTTTCTAAGTGTGTGTCCCATATTTTCTAAAATAGACATATTACTTTTGCAATTCAGGGGAAAACCTTAAAGATAAAAATCTTGATATCCACTCGGTTTATAGAAAGTTTCCTCTAACTTAGCCTTTTTCATAAGGAGCTGCCTCACAGCTTTCCACATATGGCTGCATTTACAAAAGTGTAATTTACTCACCGTTTTCCAGATACAGCTCTCAACCACAATTACCTGGATTCTAGAATAATTTTTGTGACTGGTCTGAGAACCTCTTCTCTATTTTTGTTTTTCCACCTGGCACTATTTTCTCATTAAAGGAGTTTTAGGAGTGAATGCAGAGAAAGCGTGGAGCCCCAAAGCCCTGGAAAAAAAAAAGCCCTTAAAATAAATAAATCAGTGGACTAGTTTAATGTGTCTAAAATATCATCCAAGGAGACCCAAAAAGAAGCAGGATGTAACTTCACAGTGACTTTGTTCCTTCTATTTCTCTTTACTTATTTGAGAGATCCTTTAAGCACACTTCCCTTTTAACAGAATGTGCTTTGGCTAAATACTCCTATGATGTTATGCTTTTACAAAGGAGAGGTTCGTGGAGGATAATGCTGTCAGGCTTGGAAGCAGCAGTAGAGATCACGTTGCCCAGCTCTTGGCATCATTGGTTCCCAAAGCTCTGAATCCCCTGGAGAGCTTTTGTAAAAGGTCAGTGCTCCACAACATGACAGAAATAGAAGGGGCCTGGGGCTGTGGGTTGTGAAAGCTGTGATTCTTTTGATGCTCAGCCAGGTTGAGGAACCCACTTCCCTACAGCTCCTGCATTCCCTCCTCAATGTCACAATAGGTGATTACTTGAACACTTGCAGAGATGGAAAATTCTCTTCCTCAAGAGCTAGGCTTTTCCATTCTCGGACTGCTGTGCCTATTGTAATTCTTTTTTTTTTTTTCATATACTCTAGATTCCTCCAATTCAGGGAGCAAAAAATGGAGACATTTTGTTAGTGTAACCCAAATAAATCGCAAGGCCCCATGTAGTCCAATCTCTGCGTAGAGCCACATCTTCCAAAGCGAAAATAATTACAATGGAAACTTTACCTGCAATACCCAGAGAACGTTATAAGGGGCCCAACTGATAACCCATGGTAGCATTTCTCAAAATCCTTTTCTCTTTCTTTCTTGATTTTCTCAATTATACCAAAGCTTCTCATTCACCACCCCAAACCCAAACATCTCCAAGAGCAGCCCACTTGCCTTTTCAAGCTCTCTGTCTTTGACCTCTGTTCTCTCTCAGCAATACAGTATTTAGGTTGATTTTGCCTGTCTGACTGCCTTCATCCCTCTCTCTGCCTTGCCCATTACCCAGACTTTTCACAACAAAGGAGAGCCCATGAAATGTCTAACAAAAATCTTTCCTCCTTTCTTCCGTTCTACCTGGGCCTGTTTCTTTTTGCCCAACATCCTGATTTTGCATTTTTTTAAGCCAGAAACTGGGGAAAGGAGAAGCAGATATCAAAGACAAAATTCCCTTTATTGAAAATGACAGGAAAGGGTTAAAATTGGGCACTGTTGCACATTAATAAGCCTTGTGTTCATCACAATAATGACTTCCCCATCTGCCATTGCAAGACCACAGACCCCTACATGGTTTACACATTTGCTCCTCATTCTTCTTGCCATCTCCCCACCCCTAACATGTGTCATAGGTGTTCACAAACAAATCCCATCAACTACCAACTCAGGTATGTATTTTTTTTCCCCATGCCCTACTCTAGTTCCCTCCCTCTGATAATGTCTATGGCTAAGTTCTTCCCTGATTACCATGTTGGGGGATATTAAACAATACTGCTTCATGCACCAGTGACTTATAGTGAATTATGCCATCACACTTAGAATTTTAGTCTCTTCATGAGCTAAACCTGATGACTTAATTTCTCTGTGTGTCAGCTTCCTCATCTGTAAATGGGCAACCATAAAAATCTTACTCAAGGTGTTGTGAGAATTAAATTAACTTGAGTAAAGTGCTTAGCACTGCAAAATGTTGGCTCTCTACATATACCAACATTTCCATTCTTCTTTTTACCATTCTTTTTTGGAGGGGACAGGAAGAAGAGAAAGGTGAGTCTGCTAGGAAGTGAAGAGGACCTGGTGAAGACTTAGAGCAGGAGCCAGCAAACTATGCTAGACCAAACTGGACCTACTGCCTGCTTTTGTAAACAAAGCTTTATTGAAACACTGTCACTCTCCTTCATCTATGGCACTTTTGTACTACAATTGTGGAGTTGAGTTGTTGTGATAAAGACTGTATGATCCACAAAGCCTTAAATAGCTCCTATCCGAACCTGTACAGAAAAATTTGCCAACTCCTGATTTAGAATATAAAAACAGAATCACTTTTTCATACACTTTGCCATTGATGAGATGAATGTCATATGAGGCTTTCTCTTTCAAGTGAAGTGGTTAACTATTGTCTGAGTTTCTGCATCTGAGTCAACCCTTACCGACAGCAAGAGTTAACATCTCTGAGGCCTAATCCAAAGTAAGGTTATGTTCTTTAGAAGCCTGGCCAGTTCTCCTAGGAATACAAGGAATGCAGTGTGAGATAGTATTGCAATTCTGATAAGGCCACTGGGACAGGGATGCCCAAGGGCTCATGCATGTCCGTGCTTCTCCTCTTCTTAGGCGCAAAGCTAGATGATGCTTTCCGGTTCTCTTGCAGTAAAGGAGGCCATGTCTCAAGCTTGTGCCAATGAAATCTGGGGAAAATACGTCCACCAGTCCTCACTGACTCTTTACCTTCTCTTTTCTTGTCTGCAGGTCGGATTCAGACAATCCGGTGGAGCACTCTGAAATTTAGAGGAAGTGGTCAAATAGAATTTTCTGGAATTATGGAAATCTTCTATTCTGTGCATCTAGTATAGTAGAATCTAGTCACATGTGGCTTTTGAGAACTGGAAATATGGCTAATGCAACAGAGAAAGTGAATTTTTACTTTTGATTCATTTAAATATAAATGGTCACATATGACATCACTGCCATATTGGACATTGCAGTTCTGGAAGATGGCAGATGCAGCCCTCAGAAGAATTATCAGCCTGAATGTCTGGGCGGAGCAGAGCACTACCTTCCCACTCACTCTTCCCCTCCTCTCGCCCCCTCCCCTGCCTCACTTGCATCAGATTATGATGTGAGCAAAAGCAGGAAACAGCTCTTTTGATAGGCCTGTGAGACTTGCTGTTCGTTGGAGTAGCTAGGCTGCTCTGACTCATACAGACCCAAATCCTGGCAACCACTTTTATGAAGAAATGACAATTCAGTCTACTACTTGTCCATTTTACATGCCCAAGGAATGTGAGGGGCCTCTGCTTGGATCTAGTTTTCAACCTAGTCTATGGCATTGATTATCCTTTTAAAAGACAAAAGAGGTGACTTCACGGGCACTTAACATCTTGGCCATACTGACCCCAGTTGCACGCTACGTAGGAAGTTTTAGTCCATTTAAACTGAAGTTCCAATTTTTTTTTTAACAACTATTTAAAAATTGTACATGTCCCATACATGACAGAGAAAGGGTTGTCTGGTTGGATGATTTTTGGCTTGCAAAAAGAGAACACAAAAGAAAAGCATACGTTTTAATACTCAAGAGACCAAATTTTCTGCTGAAGAGGAAATGAACTACATATCCAGAAGGGTCCTACCAAGAGGCCAAACAGACTGTGTTCTCTTGGGGGAGTTCTCAGTGGTGATGAGAACACCACTTTTTTTTTTTTTTTAGTCATTTTCAAGGTGAGATATTGACTTGCTGCTGGAGCAGGACAACTGGTCTCTCTTTCATTGCTAGCAGCAGAGTAAGGGTCTTGCAAGTTTCAGGCAGCAGCAGAGAAAGGGTCTTGCAAGTTTCAGTCCAAAGCAAGAAGAGCTAGGATTGCACCAGCTGTCTCACCTACTCTGTGCTCACCTGTTTCTGGATGAAGCACGGTGACATCTGTTTTATTGTAAAGAGAACCAACTTTGGAATCAAATGGAACCTGTATTAAAATCCTGAATCCGTCACTAGCTTGGACAAGTCACTTCACTTCTCTGAACCTTGTTTTATTCCAGTTAAGAATAATAGTAAGCCAGTCCCACAGAGCTGTAGCAAGGTTAAAATGAATGGTTGTCTGTAGAAGCATTTAAAATAGGGCTTCATACAGAGCCAGTACCTGGGGAGACTGAGGGTTTGAACCACATAGTTCCACTCTGGCAAATCACAGAGGGGCTGTAGGATGGTCCTTTAAGGGGGATGTGTTATGGGTTAATTGGAACAGTGCTTCTTAAACTCCAGTGTGCATTCATATTGCTTAGGGGTTTTGTTTAAATGCAGATTCTGAGTTACTAGGATTATGCAATTTGAATGAGCTTGCAGATAATTTCATGGCTGCTGGTCTCTGACATCACCTTTGAGAAGCAAAGAATTAAAGGTCCTGTCCTGATCTGTCTCCTTCTCCTGTTATCTGTGCAAAAGAGATATACTGTCTACTTTGCATAGTGAGATGGCAGGTACAAAAGTAGGATGAGGATAATGTAGCATGAGCACAGAGAAGGAAAACCTAGGAGGATGAGTAAAGAAATCATGGGAAAAGAGATAGATTCAAGGCTTTCAATCCTGACTAGACTTTAAATTCACCTGGAGAGCTTTAAAAAAACTAGCCATTGTCTGGTCCCAGGAATACTGATTTAATTGATTAGGATGGGACCAGACATGACATGTTAAAGAAAATAACTCCCCAGATTATTCTAGTGTGTAGCCAGGGTTAAGAACTGCTGGGCTAGACAAATGAGACAACTTTCCCAGATGGAAAGAATCAGGAAGGGGCCTTATCAAGATATTATGTCAGGTTTGGTTTTCAGGGGGCTGATAGGAAAGAAAAAGAAATGCTTCATGGAAATTGCAGGTAAGACAGGCCAATTGGTTGAAACCTTGACAAATCAGACCATTTGATCAAATTGTTCCCAAAATATGAAAACTCTGTCTCAACCGAAATAATCACTTAGCTCTGGGACTCTAAAGCAACCTGTTTGTCTGTTGGGAAGCTAGGGTAAATGTGAGAAGTGAAATCCATGCCATTTTTTGGAACTGGAGACTTTTTAATAATTTCATTAACATTGTCAGTTTGGTTGTCCTCTGTGATCAGAAGCTGTCGAATGATGTTCATTTGAGTACAGAAGCCAGCCCTTTCTGTAGCATTAACCAGGCCTCAGTCCAGTGGATCTCTACAGGGTGCCACGAGCCCAGCACAAGTGCTCCAACACATTCTGACCAATGAGCATAATTAATTTGTTGTAATTGACTTTACACTCTTGAAGCCCAGGTGTAGACTTCCTTCTTGTTACCAGAAGCCAGCTCAGACATGGCCCTTTGCCAGCCTCAACACAAAGCTCAGCTCTCTTCCAGGGTTCCCTAAGATCTAGGCACGTCAAGCATCTGAAAATAATATGGTTTTACAGAAGATTCCTTACATCCTGCGGTGGGGCCAGCTCAGGCACTGAACAACGTTTTGTTTGAGCAATCCCCATTGGACACATCTCTCCCCCGAATCCCTGTCTGCACAGCCAATAAGGTGATTCTCCTCTGTCACCCTCCTTAGCCCTTGCCCATTCTTTTATTCCTTTACAAGACAGCTGGGTTTAGCCCTGTCCTAAGTGCTCCACACTCGGCTGCCTGCACCCAGGCATAGCAAACACAAAGCCCTTCGGAACCCCAGGCCCACCCTCTTTAGATACATGTTATAAACTGTTACTGTTGATGAGGTCATTCCAGTGGGTGTCAAGCTGGGCACAGCTTCTGGTAAGAAGAAGAAAGCATAGCAGATTCACATCTCAGCCAAAGAACCTGGCTGTGAAAAGCCTTTGCCTAAAAGGTCATGCAGTCCACAGTTCTGCCACACAACTGCAGCCTGGAATCACATGGGGAGTTCTTAAAATGCTGATGGCTGGGCTGTACCCCTGAAATTCTGATTTAATTGGCCTGGGGTGTGGCCTGGGCATTAGAGTTTTGTTAAAGTTCCCAAGTCATTCCTGCCATGCTGCCAAATTTGAGAGACGTTGTTCTAAAGAGGCTTAGCGATAAAGGCCAAGTGAAAAGGACAACCAGTCCTACGTTATAGTTGCAATTGCTTTGTCCTTATTACTGACCTGTTTGGTCTTGTTTTGAGTCTTTTAATCCCTTCAACTGAACTCTCCAAAATTCTACTATTGGACAGTATAGCACAGAAAGTTTGGGAACCACTCAGTAATTCTGAATCTCAGTGAGACAGAGGCCATTAAATGTCTCTCTCTCTCTCTGTGTGTGTGTGTGTGTGTGTGTGTGTGTGTCTGTGTGTGTGTGTGTCAGAGAGAGAGAGAGAATTTATTTTTGAGTTAGAATTGAGGAGAAAAATGAGCTCTGTGTGGCAAACCAATAACCTTGGTTTCTTGATGACGCTCAAGTATAGACTAGTGAAATAGGGGAAATAGTGTGTTTGGAAACTGCCTCTCCTCCCCTTTTCATGGTTTCTATTCAATTAATGGAAGCTATGACAAACTCAGTCAATGCAGAAAAATGATACAAAGGCTGGAGGAGAGCTCAGGGAAAGGAGCAGCTTTGCCAGGTGAGCTGGAGAGAGTGGTTGGGGATTATGGGGAAACAAATGCAGTCAAGGGGAAAACAGCAAGAGAAAGTCCACCCACCTCCCCCAAAATATGCTGTTACCTCAGACCCATGCTGGTCCTTCAAATGCATTTTTGTGTGAAGGGGCACTGGGTGCACCCAGAAGGTGCACAGCAGGGCAGTCTTGTGTGTGTTTGCATGTGTGTCTGTGTGAGAGAGGGAGAACATCTTAACAGAAAGCTATCCCCAAAGACGGGAAGGGATCATGAAAACTTGGGACAACAAACCTAGTTTTCGTTCCTCCTGAAACCCCCTTCTCTTACCAGCATACGTGTCGGGGAAGTCACACAGCTTCAGCGAGTGTTTGTTTCCTTTTCTGACCTCACTGTGAGTCTTGGAGTCCCAATATAATACTTTTGAATGTATTCTGCAAACAGTGGCCTGGGACACAAGTGAAAGGGATTATCAAAAAGTCAACTTTGCATATTTGTGCTTGTTTAGGAGTATTGGGAAAACAGGGAGCACAGTACTCAAAAGTCCTCAAATCCCTGGTTGTTAAAGGGAGTGATAGAAGAGCTGCACCAAAAATATACTTTTTTTTATTATTACAAAAGACACATATGTTCATGGGGAAAACAACTCTAGAAAATTGTGAGGAAATAAAATTTGAAATTTTTTCTTTCTAAAGAAAACTAGTATTTGTTGTACATGATAATTATGAATATTTGAAACCCATTTATATTTCCAGTTTCAAAGTGTTTCTTAATTCAAAACAATACTTGCTTCCTGTAGAAATTAAGAATATATAGATAAGAAAAAGTAACAAAAGCCCCCTATATTTTATCATCTATAGATAACTCTTAGTCTTCAAGAGCTTCTAAAAGTCAAGTAATTATTTTATATTTTCACTTTTAATTATTATAAAAGGAAAACACATTCTGTTTTAAAAAATTAGATAAGCAAAAGAGAAACTATTAAATCACTTGAAATTCAATCCCTAAAACAATCCTAACCAGTAACATTTTTTGTTATAGTCGCTGGACTTCTTTTTTCCAAATATGTGTGTATCTTTGAAAGTATAAGAGGTACCCCAAATCTTTTGCAAATGTAAATTCATATTGTTATTTTGTAGTCTGGTTTTAAAAAATTTTCTCATATCCTACATCATTTTTAACATCTGGGCAGAATGCCATTGGAAGGATGTACCATTATTTATTTTTACTTAATGGATCCTTTAATGTTAGGTATTTACATGTGATTTTTCTTTTCGTCTTAGAAACAACACTGTCGTGACTGTCCCTCAAACTACAGTTTTCCTTTTGCTTTGTAATTTGCTTTTCAGGATAAGCTGAGCCCATGGCACCACACAATTCCAAGACTTTTCAAAGAGAAATGTATATGCTGTTTAGTGTAGTACTTTATATCTTTTCAGATATTTTTGCTTTAAGTATATTAGGATATACTTATACATTTAAGATTATTTAAATCCTGTGAAACAGCCCACCTGCACTGCTCTCTTTATTCCAGTTATCTCCTGATTTAATTCTTTCTGATGACATATGTCTGATTCATGCCTAGACAAGAAAATGTATAGACTACAGAAGAGTGCTCATTGGGAGGGAGGAGGAAAGCCCCTCTATAAACCCACCACTAAGAAAAAAAACCACCTTTCCAGTCATCCTGAACTCCCCCATCACCATGGCTTTAAATACTCTTTTTAAAATTACCATTTGTAGACTTCTGACTCAGAGGACGCTTTGATAGAGCTGCTAAGTGTTGGCTACTATTCAGGGAGATTTTACCCCTTTTGCCACATTCAGAGTTGTTTCTGGTAGGTCACGGAAATAAGTGTGCACATGTGTGAAGCTGCTCTGAGCTACTGTGTTCTTTCCTAGTTTAGAAAGTACTTTTTGGACACATTGCTGAGGTTTCCCGCAGGTATGTGAGCACAGTGGGCCAGAAGCTTTGCCTGGCTTAAAAGTCACAGATTTATACAAAAAAAAAAAAAAAAAAAAAATAGAAAAGCCAAACTACACAAGATAGGAACCTATATATAGGTCAAAAGAAGGGGAGACACAGAGCTTCTCGCTGCAGCTGATCCAGATTTGATGTAAGAAGACCTCCGACAACAAGGGCACAATTCTCAATTTAGATAAATACTTTTACATTTCTGGTTATGAAATGAACAGAGGTTCATTATAGGAAACAGATTTAGGAGGCAGAAAGGAAACAAAACCTTATAATTTCACGATCAATACATTTTAACGTGTTGTGTATTTCTTTCCAGTTTCTTGATGCATATTTTAGGAGCAATTACAGGCAGACAGTCTATTCGGGTTTTGTTTTTCCACCTTACATTATAGCAAAGGCGTCTTCCCGTGTTGACAATTATGTATGAGGATCTCTTCAAGTTCCTTTAGTAACTGTATTGCCTTGAGAGATGAAGAAAAAACATACATCAAAGATGCCTATGAACAGCAAATGCAGTGATAAAGCAAAAGAAAACTGTCTACTATTCACTTGCAGCTGACAGCAAGAATGTTTTTTTCCTTCCTGGGTTACTAAACTTTGTCTTTCTAAGCAAGATAAAGTGGTTGTTCAATAGATAAGGAAGATACTACCTCTCATACATGAACCTCAGGGGTAAATAAGCCCATAGAATACTGGTTCAAACTCAGAGGAAATAGAGCAGTGGGGACTGGGCTTAGGAGGGGGTTCTTTTTATGGCAAGCATCAGGAGAAACCCTTGGAGCACTGTTTGTGGGTTGGGATTGGGCCACATGCACCTGGCTTATTCATACAACATTTAAAGTCCACTCACATCTTCTTGGCATCTCCTCTTTGACCACACAATAAAAGTTAAAGGCCAGAAACACTCCACACATGCTCCCAATGATGTTGTTATCATTGCACCCTCCACCAGCCATATCTGAGGCAAGACACCTGCTCCTAGCTCTTGTAGCTCCTTTGAGGGAATTTGAATAAGGCAACACTTCCTCAAGATATTCACCCTCCATCTGTTGGAAACTTGTAATGCACTAATTTTGTTACTGACCTTTGCTAAAAATTTTCATAATTAAAATACTAATAGGCGATATCCACAATCACAATATGAGCACTTCCCTAACCTCCTGGCATTTTCCTCCGGATACAAGGCCACGTGCAGTACAGAGCTGGGTGTGTGGTGCCCTGCTGAGAAAGCCAGGTGAGCATCCAGCCCTGGTACTGACTGTAACCTGGGGCTGTGATTGCTAACATCCCCTCCCCCTCCCCCTGCCTAATCTACTGCCTTAGATTTAGTTATTTAACAAATGTTTGTTGAGCATCTGAAATGAGCCAGATGCTGTGCTAAGCCTGGGCTAATGAAGAGATAGAAAAGCCGGGGCATTTACCCTCTGGGGGTATATCATCTAATGGTGATAGTTGGTGGTGAGTAACTTAGATAAAGCAATATAAGGAAGTCTATCCTTAATGTCCCTGAGTTTTTGGAACATTTTTACCAGGGCCAGGACTAAGATAAGGTGAGTGAGGCAGGGTTATATAAGCATGGGGTAGAATCCTGTCTTTGTTTAAAATGATATTCTGTTCATCATGGAGTTTTTTTTGCTGTTAACTTTGATTCTTTAGAATATTGAATAAAAACATGGTTTATCTTGGTTACTGAGTTTCTTAGCATCCCAGTACATTTTGCTCCTAAAGTAAAGGCCTTCTTTGCCTCACCCTAATTCCGGCCCAGAAACCAAACCAAACTTTACTGTCTAGGCATGAGGACAATCAGCTGACACTGATACACTGGGTGTGTCTGAGTTGTGGCCCCCTATTCTTTTGAATTTGGGGTGTAGGTGGTTTGGCCTTGCCACTCATTTGCTGTGCCACTCCAGGCAAACACCTTTTCTTCATCAAAGTTCAGTGTCTCATCTGTAAAACACTAAGTTTGGACAGTTATCTTTTTTGACAATGGGAAGAACGTCTTCTTTCAAGAAATATTTATAGAGAACCTACTAGAGGCAAGCATTGCTACAGGCTCTAGGGCAACTGAGACCAAGAAGACAATGTCCTTTCTGTTGTGCAACTTGAGTTTGGGTGAGGACAAATAAATAAGCAAACAAGATCACTTCAATGGATGCTACACATTATATTAGTGTGTGCGAGATCATATTAGTACGAGAGATGTTACAGCGGGGGCGAGGAAAGTTCTCTCAGGGAAGGTGGTATTTGAGTAGAAACATCAATGATAAGCCGGCATGTGGCCTGAACCTCTCAGACTTACTACGTTTGACAGCTAATCTTTATTTTTATTTATTTTATAAAAACAGGGTCTTGCTCTAACACCCAGGCTGGAGTGCAGTGGGGCCATCATAGCTTACTGTAACTTCAAAGTCCTGAGCTTCAGCGATCCTCCTGCCTCAGCTTACCAAGCAGCTAGGACTACAAGTGCACACCACCATGACTGGCTAATTTTTTACTTTTTATAGAGATGGGTCTAGTCAGATTGCCCAAGCTGGTCTGGAGCTCCTGGCCTCAAGAGATTGTCCTGCCTCCCCCTCTGAAAGTGTTGGGATTACAGGCGTGAGCCATGCCAGGCCATGACAGCTAATCTTTAATGAGCCTGAGTTTGTGCCTGTTATAATAACTAAACATGCCCCAACTCAGCTCTCTCAACAATGGTGTGAGATAAGGACTCTTGTTACATCATTTAAAAAAATTATTATCGATAAGGAGACAGAGGCACAAAGAGGTTAATTTGGGGAGATCACCAACTAGGAAGTGATGGAAAAGGTAATGGGAAAAAAGGCACTAAAGGCGCAATGGCTTCAAAGCTTGAATGCAATGAATCAACACTTACTTAATGAGCATCTACTATATTCCAGGCATTGTACAATTACATAGGGGCATAATTCCTCCTCCTCCTCCACTTTCTCTTCCTCTCCCAACACCTAATGAACACTAGATTCTAGGCATGGTACAAACTTTTAAAATAATCCATTTTCGGGGGTGAGAGCGCCGTTCTATAGCTTGATTGTGGTGGTGGTTACAGGTCTGTACGAATTTGTCAAAACTGGCAGAACTGTGCACTAAGAAAGGGTGAATTTACTGTATGTGGATTATACCTTAAACAAACTCAACCCTCATCCTTCCATCTCCACTCCCCTACCCCAGCTACAGCGGCAGGGGGGTGTGAAACGGTCCCTGCCCCTAGGCTGGGGACAAGGGTGAGGGACGAGCCTTCAGGGGCGGGACCAGGTAAGCGCCGGGAGTTGTGCCCAGTGGGCCTAGAAGCCAGGGAAAGGGAGAAAGTGGCCCCAGCCGGGTGCGGGGGAGGGATGGGAAGAGCCGGTGGACCGCGGGGCGAACCCGGGAGGGCGGGGGGATGCCGGGAGAGAGGGAGGGACCTGCGGGCGTGGAGGGAGAGGCAGAGGGAAGGGAGGAGGGGTAGGCGTGCGCTCCGGAGCGAGCCGGGGACTGCAAGGCGGAGACAGCCAGGCCAGCGGCCGCCGAGGGTGCCCGCCCAGGCTACCCGCCCTCCCGGCCGCGGCGCGGACGGACCGACGGACGGCGCTGCGAGCAGGAGGCGTCCGGCCATGTTCAGCCGGAGCTCCCGGAAAAGACTCTCCAGCCGCTCGGTGAGTGTCCCCCGCTCGAGCGGGGCCGATCGCCGGGCACCTCCAGCCGGCCGCGAGCGCCCGCGCGCAGCCCCACTGCGCCCCGCGGCTGCGCACCTGTGGCCCCAGGTAAGCCGGCCCCGCGGGCGGGGCGCGTCCAGGGCGCGAGAGAGCGCTCCAAGGCGCGGGAGGGGTTAAGTTCCGACCCCCCGGCTGGGCGACAGTGAGACCCGAACCGTGGCCCTCAGGGTCACAGTCTGGGGGATCCCTGGAAAGCCCCCTCCCTCCGGGCAAATCGGAATCCCAGCACCAAAGCTCCAGCGTCCAGCCACTTGGAGCTCTAGCGGGGACTTTAGGGCCGTCTTTTGGGGTGTCCTCTGCTGCCCCCTTTCCGGGAGCACCAGCCCGGTCTAGGGCGGGCGCCCGATGCTCGCTTCTTGCGGACTCCAGGGAACTGAAGGGTCTTGCTTTTGTTTCTTAGAAACCCGTGACCAAGGTGTCTGGGGGAGACAAAGCCCCAGCCGTGGTCATTTCGTGGTGGTGTAGTGCCCATGCCGGAGGCAACCTGCCTGGGTCCGCGCACCCTTCCCCAAGCAGGCGGGAGACCACCCCTGGGGCACTGGCAGTGCCCCGCCCCGTGTCCCCCATACAGAAGAGGAGCAGTTGGCTCAAATCACAGGAGGTGGGGTGGGAGGGGCAGGCCATCCTGCCAGGGACACGAGTGGGGCTGTGGAGGGAGACCCCGTGGTGGAGACATGCGTGTGTTGTCTTTTTGTTTTGAAGTTGACCGGACTGGGGCGGATAGAGCGAGGCCAGCCATGTAACGCCTGTGGTGACCAGTGCCCTGGGTTCGCCTTGCATAAATGGAGGTAGGAAGCCGTAAATGCACAACACTACAGCAAGATAAAATATGCAATATGTAATATACATACATATATATATCTATAGATATATATATATTCCCCTCCGCCTTAAATCTCACTTGTAAGTCACATGGAAAGAATGCAAAGGCTGTTTCTTTAAGAGCGGAGCTACATCTGCTACAAATATTGGAGGTGGAAGTGGTGGCCAGACACTGGGAGATGCAGGAGAGCCGGGCTCAAGGCTGCGTTTCACTGATGTGAGAACTGTGGATCCCTAGCACGGGCACTATGTGTCTAGGTAACTCACTCCAAAACAATTCACCCTGGGCAAGGCAGTGTTGCCAAGTGCCACAGTGCTGTATGTGTAGGATTCCCTGGACTAGCTGGTGTTTTCCAGTTGTGTTTTTAATTCAGCGCCTGTAACTCTGGGTCCCAACCGCAAATCCATTGCTGCCCGCCTGGGCCGTGTCAACCCTCTGCGGCGGCCAGATGTTTCTTATTAAATGTGCCTTGAGTGTTGACTTCCAGGCAGCCCCAGCTTGGATTGGAATGATTACGTTTGGGAGACAAGGGAGCTGGTTGCCCTCCCAATGCATCTGGCTGCTGGGGCTCTGGTTGGGAAAAGTTGGGGTGCAGGCTTACAAGCTGTCAGTTTGCTGGTTTCAAGCAAAAGGTGAATCCTCCCTGGCGTCTTCATAAAAAGGAAAAACTGGTGACAGGAGAAAATTGTGCAATATCATAACACATTCTCTCTTGGATTAGCGCATCTTTCCCCCTTTCTCCACCACTCAAGCTGCTTATGAAGAGGGCTTTTTCTGGATGCTAGGCAGAAAAGCCTGCTTTGATTCCACACCCCGCCCCCCGCCCCCCACCCCCACCGCATTAGTGCATCTCTACTTTTCCCCATTTGTAATGTGTGCTGGGCACCCAGTTATAAGAAAACTCCCAACCAGCTCCTTCAGAAATTAAATGCTTTTGTTCCTGCTTCAGATGGGTCTGGCAGCCTCTTTGCCTTTGTTTCAGGGCACTGAGCGCAACCCTTATGGCTCCCGAGCATTTAATAACTTCTGTGTCAGAGTCAAGGCGGGCGACCTTATAAATATGTAATTGGCAGACATAGACATTCATCAGTGGTACCGATGTGGTAGCCCAAATAGGTGTGCTGTAGCCCAGCCCCTTGTTTGTCCCAAATATGAACCTGGGTGAAAAAATGAGAATAGGTGTAGAAGCCTTATTTTGTAAACCAAATCCAGCATGACAAAACTACTGAGTGCTTCCTTTCTGATGCATCTTGTGCTCTAGTGGGGGTGGGAGAGGCAGAGTAATGAACAGCAGAGTAAGTGATTTCCAACTTTCCTTTCCTCCCCTACTCTGCAGCCCTTGGGTCAACTTCTGAACAGGGGCTTTGTGGGGCAGTGGCGCAGGGTGGGTGTGTAGCCTGACTTCTCTCCTTCACTGTGTGATCCCTGATCACCTGTCTGTCACTACTCTCCCTAGTTCCCAGTTTCCCTACTGTTAAGTGGGCATAATAATGGCATTTAATGCAGAGCATGATTGTAGAGATTAAATGAGATCTTGAAAAACACATGCTTTGTCCAGTCCCAGGCATATCATAAATATTTGCTAATTTTGTTAATGATTTTTAGCATCCCCTCAACCACTGCTCAGGAGGGGACATAACTAGTGTATCTGGGGATCCTAGGGGTCCAGGGCCACTCTAGACCTTCATGATCACAGCCTTTTGAAGAATTTTAAGCTGTTTTAATCTAGCTGATTTTGCAAAGGGAAAACAAGTGTTTTATTTTCAGCCCATTATGGAACTATTCTTTTGGAAAGAGACCATTTCAACAGGCTTTACAGATTTTCATACTGAAGCAATTGCCCTACCCCAGCAGAAAGACCACTTTGGCTCCATGAATAGGGTTTTTATGGCACTTCCAGCCATTGCTGGGAAGGCAGCAGCTGCTTGCTCTTATCCCCTCCTTTTCCCCATGGGCATACTTTTGGGTGACCTTTCGGAGAAGAGAGACAACTATTTCTGGGTTACACAGCACGGTCTTCTTTTTGGCAGTTTGAAACCCACTTTACACCCCTCTCACTGGGGCAAGCATGAGCCCCTGGGAGAGAGAGTTGGGCCTGGGTAGGAAGAAAAGGCAGGCCTGACACAGAGGCCAAATGCTGCCTTTCGTCTGACCCAGGGAGAACGGAACTGTTCTCACCCCAAATACCAAGGAACCCTAAGATGATCACTTGTTGCCCTTGTTCACCACATCATCCCCTTCACTGGCCTCTCTGGTCCCCTTCCAGTACTTTGTCCACACAGCAGGCATCTCTTAAAAACAGGATAGAATTGTGTTACTGCCTCCCGGCATGACGGCACTAAAGTTCTAGGGAGGAAGTACGTTGTAAACAAACTTTGCTTCTCTCTGACGTGGTGGGGCTTTGAAGTCCAGACAGAGCAGGGCTGGCATTTGCAATGGCTTTAGCAAGCTGTGTGACCTTGAGCAAATGACTTAGGTTTCCTGAGTTCCGTCTTCCTCACCTGTCAAATTGTCAGCTCTCTAATGAACAAATATTTGAGGGCTTGCTCTGCGCCAGGTGCTCTGGTGACACAGCAAAGAACAAAACAATATTCCTGCCCTTATTCCACTAATCACATTTTAGATAAAGTAGTCAGGAAAGGATTCTCTGAGAAGGTGACATCTGAGCAGAGACCTAAATGAAGCAAGGGAAGAGTATTGTGCTCGTTCGCACCTGGTGCAGGTACCAGCAACATCAACATCTCGTGGGAGATTGTTAGAAATGCAAAGTCTCTGGCCCTGCCCCAGACCTCCTCAATCCAAACCTGAGCTTGAACGAGATCCCTGGCTGCTGCTGTTACGCATTAAAGATTGAGAAGCACTGAGTTAAAACACCCAGCACTGTGTATGGCAAATTACTTTTCCTACGTCGAGTCTTCCTCTGTGTCAGGAAAGATGCCCATGGTCCTGTTGAAGTCTTGTATATTTTATGGGGATTTTCTTGAGTGATCATATACCCTTTACATTTTTGTTGTCACCCACACTTTTAGGTAGCAAATGTGGGGTTTTTTAGAATTTCTAAAAAGAACAAAAACAAAAAAACCAAAAACCACCAAGACACAGGTATTTATGGGTCTTAGAGTACAAAGGTCTCACAATTGTCAGCAGGACCTTTCTCCTCCACCTGATGTAAGGCAGCTGGGGAGCAAAGGTGGCCACTGCAGGGTGCTCCCTGCAGGTGACCTATCCTGGAAGAAACATCACTTCAGGGTGGCCTAGGGGAGACTCTGTAGGGCTGGGCTGCTGAGGAAATTTTCATTAAGGAAGATTAGGGTATCTTCATGGACTGCAGCCAGAACAAAATCATTAATAACTAAGCACTTAGCTTACCCTGCTACAAGATAGCTTTCTGAGTGGGGGTTAATTGGCCTTGCTTGTTTGCAACCAGTTTGAACAGGGAGAGAAAAACAGCCATTTTTACAGTGAAGATTTGCGTATCTACATACCAAGAACTGATGGATAATAATAGTAATAATTACAGTAATACCAAAACAGCATCAGCAATAAGAACGAGTGCTTGCTTTGTCCGGGATCATGCTTCCGTGTTTTACATACATTTTAATGTAATCCTCACTAAACCCTATAAAATAGATGTGATTATTTTCCTGGTGAGAAAACTGAGGCTGAGGGTTGTTAAGTAACTTAACCCAAGGTCACCTGGCTAGGGAGAATGCTGCTGGGATTTGGCTCCAAACCAAATTTGGCTCATTTTCTTGTGAGTCACTGCCTCTTGTTACTTGCTCTAAAGCAGTGCTCACAAACTGGAAGCCCTTGAGTCAAATCCAGCTTGCAGATAGGTTTCGTTTGATCCATGCAACATATTAAAGAAGGAGGCTTTTTCTAACATAAACCCAGGTTTCCGGCTTCTGTTGAAAAATCCAAAGACCAGGTAACATTAGGGCTACTTTCCTGCATTTCCGACAGTATCTGGCAGGAGCTGAGTAGTTGCCCCTTAGATGGGCGTGACCTCAGTTCACCATCCTCTCCAGCAATCTAGTTGAGTTCAGGGAACTCTTCAAATATTTAGGTTACCTGTCAGGGACTGGAAGTGATTGAAGCTTGCAAATCCTGAATGAGCAATCTCATCTCCCCCAAAGAGAAAGTAAGCTTCTCTATCAGCTACCATTTTAAAGCTTGACAATGCCAGGAAAGTGTTTTACATCTTTTCCACCTTATCATTCATGACAGCCCTAGAAGGTAAGTGCAGTTATTTACATCCATTTTAACAGGTAAGGAAACTGAGTCTCAGAGGAGTTAAGTAATTTGCCTGTGGTTACACAGCCAACTGCTTAATGGTATTTTGTCCCTATCTGACTTCAGAAGTCTGTGTTCTGGGCCGGGACTTCTGAAACTTGCATACAAATTACTGAGGGCTCTTGTTCAAAATTCAGATTCTGATTCTACAGATTTGAGGTGGGGCCTGAGATTTTACATTTCTACCAAGCTTTAAGATGATGCTGTGAAGCTGGTTGAGGGACCACACTTTGAATAGCAAAGCTCTAGACTGGTGTCAGTAAAATACAGCCTGCTGGCCCAATGTGACCCTTTTCCTGTTTTGTATGGCTCATGAGTTACATTTTTAGATGGTTGGGGAAAAAATCAAAAGAAGAATGTAATATTTCACAACATATGAAAATTACATGAAATTCAGATTTTGGTACCCAGAAAAAAGTGTTATCTGAACAAAGTCATACTCATTTACTTACATCTTATCTGTGGCTCAGATATTTAGGTTACCTGTCAGGGACTGGAAGTGATTGGAGCTTGCAAATCCTGAATGAGCAGGTTTTCGTGCTGCAGTGGCAGACTTAAGTAGCTGCAGCCGAGATTGTATAGCCCAGAAAACCTAAAATATTTAGTATCTGGATCTTTACAGAAAATATTTGCTGACCCCTGGTCTGTATCACTACCTAGGGGAACATGCAAATAGCTTCTCTTAGTTTAGAATATAGGGATCTGAGAATCTTTTGGAATCAGGGCTAGAGGAAACACCCCCTCCAACTCAGATGAGAATGGTGGTAAAATCAAAGGCAACCAAAGAGCTAGGGAACAGACCAAAGCATTTTCTAAAGGGCGTGTGGAGATGAGCCTTGCAAGACAAGATCAATGAACCTCCAGTGGATTCTAAGCCCCTTGTAATCCCTTTAACGTTTCAGCTTTGCTGATAAATGTAGATTCAACTTGAGCATTAAAAGATGGGCTTTCCTAACAAGCCTCCTGGAGTCCCACTTTCATGGGCAACTGACATGGAATGCCCAGTGCAGGGGTAGTGTTGTGAGATCATTATAATTATGCAGAGTTGTTTGTCTCCAGACAACGGCTGCCTTTCCAGCCGGGATGCTTTGGCCGGGATGCAGTTGCTGCAGAGGCAGCACTCACTGGGCTAGCCAAGACTGCGACTTGAAAAGCCTCCCTCCTTAGTTGCCTGGGCGATTGTGTTGATTGATGACTGAGGCAGCAATTCGGGGTGATGCCGGCCTGGTTTCCTTTAATGGATTGTAATTTGGCTAAGAAATGGGTTCCCACTGATTATTTTGCTTGGAGAGGAAAAACACTCTGCCTCAGTCACTGACATGCCAAGAAATGGAAAACAAGGAAAGGCGTTTTAGGGGGTGGGGGTGGGGGGAAGCATAGATTGAGTTATTCCTAACATCAAGGCAGGGAAAGATACTTAGCTGATAAGAAGGTTGCAGGTTGGCTCACTTTATGTCATTGGCATTTAATAATACCCCTGATAGAAGTTGAAATACCTTACAGGGTTTTTTTCTCTACAGGAAATATATCAGTTTATGCCAGTATATCTGTATTATTACTTGTTTTTGGAAATAGACATAACTATTTTAAAAGATATTAAAATATCTCACACATGTGCAGAAATTAAAAAATACATATCATAGAGGAGGAACCCCTTCTTTTTCATACCTTCTAGACCAGGGGTTGGCAAGCTGCAGCCTGTGGGACAAAATTAGCCTGCTACCTGATTTGTATGGCCTGCTAGCTAAGAAGGGTTTTCATATTTTTAAATCGTTGAAAAAAAAAATCAAAAGAAGAGTAACATTTTTGTAGCATGTAAAAATGATACAAAATTTCAATTTCAGAGTCCATAAATAAAGTTTCATTGGAACACAGCCATGCCTGTTCATTTAGTAACATCTGAGGCTGCTTTTGCAGTAGCAGAGTAGTTGAGACAGCCCTTATGGCCTGCAAAACTGAAAGTATTTACTATCTGGCTCTATACAGAATCAGTTTGCTCACCCCTAAGCTAAAGATATATGTTGTTTATAGGCTGATATTATTTCCTTAGGTTCATTCAGATTATTTATTAATATTGCTTTAACAGAAAATACACATTCTACATATTGCCTTTTATAGCTTACTTTTTTCGTACTTAGAAATACTTTCTGGACATTTTTCCATGTCAGTATATAAAAGCCAAAAACATCTAATGTATTTATTAGTTTTCCGAATCCATTCTATGGATTATGATTGAGTCAAAATTTCTCCCTTCATGACCACGTTGGTTGTTTTCCATTGTTCCTAATTATATATCATATAATGATAGCTTTTCTCATGCTACAACATGCCTGTGTGTTTTTACCCAATTTTATGCTTCTGTGGTATAATTGGACTTACTAGGTGGGAGGAGGTTAACATTTAAAATTTTAAGCGCTCTTGACAAATTGTCCTCTGAAAAGATGGTGCCAATTTGCACCCGTATTCTTTTAAAAATTTGAGTACATTTATGTGCTCTTTGGGCTGCAACTTTGAAACATCTCAACTTGTATAGCAACCTGGTAATTAATCCTTGTTTAATCACCCCGAGTGACAATTTGTGCTTGATGACTACTGAGAAAACACAGAGCACTGATGTCAGTCATCTTTTGTTCAAAATAAATTTTATTTGTTTTTAACCATGAAAGCGATACCCACATTCTGTTGAAAGGTTGTCATTCGTCCTAATGCCTCTGTAGTTTAAGGTTGTTGGGATGAGTGAGAGCCTAATAAATTTGTTATTTCGTGGTTTCTTGGTTCAAAAAACTCAAAGGTTATCCTTTAACCATGTGATTAATGAGTACCCCAGAGGGATTTCCCTATGGAGAGAGGAAGCATTCCCTAATGGGAATGACTTCCAGATCTTGCGCTTTTTGAGATCAAAGGGGTTGAACCTGCCTGTGTATGGGAGAGTCATGGGGAACGATCTCTGGGGGAAATGTATATTTCTAGCCAGTGTCACAGAAACTTCTATGAAGCTTGTAAGGGTTTAAATGAAAGGATTATAGCCGAGTGGTTAAAGGGACTGGCTTTGAAGACATTGTTGGAATTGTAGATTTGGCTTTGTCTCTTACTAGCTGAATGGCCTTGGGCAAATGAGTTAATATTTTTGAGCCTTGATTTTTCTCATCAGAGAAATGGGGATACTACTGCTTGTCTCGTGAGGTTGTGGTGAGGGAATGCATGTAATGTGTCTCCCACTGTTCATGGCCTGTAACCTGGGCTTGATATATGTTTGTGGTTTCAAGAGGGTTTAATAAAGACAGGGTGCATGAGGAGGAAGAATATCTGGGTTCAAGGGCCTGGAAATTGTAGGTTATATAATCTATAACAAGTTACTTCCCCACTGTATTAGTCCATTTTTATGCTGCTAATAAAGATGTACACCAGACTAGGCAATTAACAAAAGAAAGGTTTAATGGACTTATAGTTCTGTGTGACTGGGGAAGCCTCACAATCATGGCAGAAGGTGAAACTCATGTCTCACATGGTGGCAGACAAGAGAAGAGAGCTTGTGCAGGGAAACTTCCCTTTTTAAACCATCAGATCTTGTGAGACTTATTCACCATTATGAGAACAGAGGTGGCTCATGCCTGTAATCCCAGCGCTTTGGGAGGCTGAGGCGAGTGGATCATGAAGCCAGGAGTTCGAGACCAGCCTGAGCAACATGGTGAAACCCCATCTCTACTAAAAATACAAAAATGAGCCAGGCATGGTGGCACGCACCTATAATCCCAGCTACTCAGAAGGCTGAGGCAGGAGAACTACTTGAACCTGGGAGGTAGAGGTTGCAGTGAGCTGAGATCATGCCATTGCACTCCAGCCTGGGCAAGAGAGTGAGACTCCATCTCAAAAAATAATAATAATAATAATAATAAAGAGAACAGCACAGGAAAGACCTGCCACCATGATTCAATTACCTCCCACTGAGTCCCTTCCACAACACATGGGAATTCAAGATGAGATTTGGGTGGGGACATAGCCAAACAATATCACTCCACCCCGGCCCCTCCCAAATCTCATGTCCTCACGTTTCAAATCCAATCATGCCTTCCCAACAGTTCCCCAAAGTCTTAAGACTCATTTCAGCATTACCTCAAAAGTCCACAGTCCAGTCTCATCCAAGACAAGGCAAGTCCCTTCTGCCTAAGAACCTGTAAAATCAAAAGCAGTTTAGTTACTTCCTAGATACAATGGGTGTACAGGCATTGGGTAAATACAGCCATTCCAAATGGGAGAAATTGGCCAAAACAAAGGGGCTATAGGCCCCATGCAAGTCCCAAATCCAGTGGGGCAGTAAAATTTTAAAGCTCTCAAATGACCTCTTTTGACTTTATGTCCCACATCCAGGTCATGCTGATGCAAGAGGTAGGCTCCCATGGCCTTGGGCAGCTCTGCCCCTATAGCTTTGCAGGGTATAGCCCCCTTCCTGGCTGCTTTCACAGACTAGTGTTGAGTGTCTGCATCTTTTCCAGGCACACAGTGCAAGCTATTGGTGGATCTACCATTCTGGGGTCTGGAGGAAGGTGGCCCTCTTTTCACATTTCCAATAGGCAGTGCCCCAGTAGGGACTTTGTGTGGGGGCTCCAACCCCACATTTTCTTTTTGCATTGCCCCAGCAGGGGTTCTCCACGAGAGCCCTGTCCCTGAAGCAAACTTCTGTCCTGGCATCCAGGTGTTTCCATTACATCCTCTGAAATCTAGGCAGAGGTTCCCAAACCTCAGGTCTTGACTTCTGTGCACCCGCAGGCTCAACACCATGTGAAGGCTGCCAAGGCTTGGGGCTTCCACCCTCTGAAGCCACAGTCCAGACTGTACCTTAGCCCCTTTTAGTCATGGCTGGAGCGGCTGGGACACAGGGCACCAAGTCCCTGGACTGCACAGTATGAAAGTCTGGGTCCAGCCCACAAACCCATTTTTTCCTCCAAAACCTCTGGACCTGTAATGGGAGGGCCTGCAGCAAAGGTCTCTGACATGCCCTGGAGACATTTTCCCATTTGTCTTGGTGATTAACATTCAGCTCCTCATTACTTATGCAAATTTCTGCAGACAGCTTGAATTTCTCCTCAGAAAATGGGATTTTCTTTTTTAGTGCATTGTCAGGCTGCAAATTTTCCTTTAATGCTCTATTTCCCTTTAAAACTGAATGCCTTTAACAGCACCCAAGTCACCTCTTGAATGCTTTGCTACTTAGAAATTTCTTCTTCCAGATACCCTAAATCATCTCTCTGAAGTTCAAATTTCCACAGATCTCTAGGGCAGAGGCAAAATACCTCCAGTCTCTCTGCTAAAACATAACAAGAGTCACCTTTGCTCCAGTTCCCAACAAGTTCCTCATTTCCATCTGAGACCACGTCAGCCTAGACCTTATTGTCCATATTGCTGTCAGCATTTTGGGCAAAGCTGTTCAACAAGTCGCTAGGAAATTCAAACTTTCCCACATTTTCCTGTCTTCCTCCAAACGTTCCAATCTCTGCCTGTTACCCAGTTCCAAAGCTGCTTCCACATTTTCAGGTATATTTTCAGCAGTGTCCCACTCTACTGGTACCAATTTACTGTATTAGTCCATTTCCATGCTGCTGATATAGTCGTACCCAAGACTGGGCAATTTTTTTTTGTTTGTTTTTTGACTGAGTCTCACTCTATTGCCCAGGCTGGAGTGCAGTGGCGTGATCTCAGATCACTGTAGCCTCTGCCTCCTGGGTTCAAGTGATTCTTCTCCTCAGTCTCCTGAGTAGCTGGGATTGCAGATGTGTGCCACTATGTCTGGCTAATTTTTGCATTTTTAGTAGAGATGGGGTTTCACCATACTGGCCAGGCTGGTGTCAAACTCTTGACCTCAAGTGATCTGTCTGCCTTGGACTCCCAAAGTGCTGGCATTACAGATGTGAGCCACTGCACTGGGACCAAGACTGGGCAAGTTACAAAAGAAAGAGGTTTAATGGACTTATAGTTCCACATGGCTGGGGAAGACTCACAATCATGGCAGAAGGTGAAAGGCACATCTCACATGGCAGCAGACAAGAGAAGAGAGCTTGTGCAGGGAAACTTCCCTTTTTAAACCATCAGATCTCATGAAACTTATTCATTATTATCAGAACAGCTTCAGAAAGACCTGCCCCTACGATTCAATGATCTCCCACTAGATCCCTCCCACAACATGTGGGAATTCAAGATGAGATTTGGGTGGGAAGACAGCCAAACCATATCACCCACCATGAGTAAAAGCCTTTCATTTGGTGAACGGGAGTGATGATTCTTGTCTCATGGACTAAACTTAGAAGAAATAGAGTGGAGGGCCTCCTTGTGTAGAACTTTAGGTTCGAAAGGAATGAGACTTCTGATGGAATAATAGATTCATATTGCACGTTACACACTCACTTTAGGTGAAATGGAGTTTGATAGAATTGGACCCTACAACCTCACAATCGTTTTGCCTGAGTGAATTATGCATATGATGTTTATAAAAACAGTTTGTAAACTGTAACAGAAAGGTAACTTTCAAACTCTGCCCCTGGGGTCAGTACATAAAAAAGGGCCTTTCTTAGACCCTGCGTCCCACCAACTGGACAATGGAGATTCATGTCTGTGATGAAAACCACACATCATCAAGGCAATACTTAATCAGTTTCCCTCTAGCCTGCTTAATAAGTATGAGTTTTTTTGACTCCCGTTGTGCCACATTAAACATTTCCATTTACATGGTCACAAGTCCCTAAGTAGAAGCTCCCTCTTCTGAAGCATGAGAGACATGGATATTTATATAAAATTTGAACCTGAGATCACACTCTGGAAACTCCTGAGATTAGATCTGGCCTATAGGTGTATTTTGTTAGCATTGCACAGGCTTTAAATTTTAAATTAGTGGCCAACATTTAAGATATTGTGTAAAAATTCAGATTTGGGCTTTCTCTGGAAAGATGACACTATCTGGCAAAAGTAGCCTAATATTTCTTCTTTTCCTTTAAGATGAGACGTGTTCAACTTTTTTACAGTTTCCACCATTCCCTATTGTCTTACACCTGGCCTGCCTTGCTCATTTACATTACTCATCGGCCACTGCAGACATCAGATTTTGTGACTACTGATTTGAAAGAAACCAGTGAGTGAGTGTACATGACTGGAAGGATGAAATGAATGGTGGGGTGGCATAAAGTCACTACCTGGCAGGGGCAGCTGTGCTAAGCAAGTCGTCTCAGCAGCTAAGCCCTCCCTTTCTGGGAGATACAGTAAAGGAGGAGCAGACATTATTGAGGGCCTGCTGTGTGCTTGATTTCTTTCAGGAATCACTTCATTTCATACTCAAAACAGTTTCCTGAGGCGTGTCTTTTATCTTCCACTTTTTAAGTATGGGGACTCAGGGAGGTTAGGTAGCATGCATTCATTCACATTGGTAAATAAGTAATGGAATCAGGATTTGAAGTCAGGTCTTTGAGGCTCCAGATTACAAGCTCTTGAACCCAGAGTGTGTTGAGCTCTGGCATTTGATTCTTCTGGTCTAAATATAAACCTGTACCTTGGGGAAAACAGTTTTATATTCTCTATGACCTGGGGATGAGATCTGACTAGTGTCTAAAACAGAACAAAATGTCTGAAGAACCCTGGACTAGTTGGTTTATTTGGGGCAAGAGTCTTAAAAGGGAAACTCCTTCAGATTAGAGGTTGTGGGGTTGAGCTTACCGAGGTGTCTGAAATGTGCCACCTTGAGAAAAATGGAATCGAATGCAACGTGACTTCCAGTTCCATAGGAGGCCACTTGCAGTTTTCTAATCAGATCTGACTACATTAAATGAGGCTCCATTCAGCTTGTTAAAAACTTGGGTGTAATTTGGGCTGTCTGGGAGAGTTTGTGTGTGGGGAGGGCAGCTTTAAAAATGCCATTTGCATAATGTTTCTAGAGGAAAACTCTACAAAAGGGATCAGTCAAGGGAGGGAATGTACGGTACCTCCTTTCAGCAGCCAACTATACATCAACAAGCATAAAAATAAACAAGATGGTCGTTATCCAGCCTTTGGACCTAGGCTTTTGAATATATGTAGCGACCTTTGGTGTCACATTGGCAAAACAGACACAAGCACATTTGACTGTTGGAAGGCGTTTAATGAGCACATTATTTGATTTTTGTGTTTGGTAAACTACTTGGTGATGCAGAAACAGCTTTCGCAATTCTTAAAAACCGGCTCATTATATGTACCTATAACACCCAGAGTGGGTTCTCCTACTTTGAGTGCTGAGGAATTAGGCCTCCAGGGGACTTATTAAAAGAATGCAGGTGTTTGCTTTCTTCAACAACACTATGAAATTACCCCGATAATATAATTTCCTAAAGTCTTTTGTTCCACAGTCAGGCACCCAGGGGTACTCCCTGTTATTTGCATCCTTGGTGACTCGGCCTTTGGAACTCCTCCAGCAACATATTGAGTTGTTTGGAAACACAATGACAAGCTCCTCTCATCTTTATGAAGCCAAAAGTTTGGAGACAATAGATAATTGAGGAAAGCGTTGTTCATTTTTGGGTTTGGCATGTTTGTAGCCACAGAGAAGGACACATTACATATGTTTTCCTGGGTTCTGGGAGATGGAACTTTCTTTTTTTTTTTGGTAAAATTTTGGTGTAACAGCTTTTTTTTTCCTGTAAGTCTTCCATGTATTTTTAAATTGTTTTTGAGCTTTGAGTTGGTAGGAGATGCTCCTTACAACCTTTGATTTGCAAACATTTATTCCTTGGTTTAACCCATCATCATTATGACCACCATCACTCAACTGACTTACCACAAACTGGGTAAATACTTATCTTTCTTTAATTATCTTGGTTTTTAATTAACCTTTCTTAAATGTATGCATAGCTTCCATCTTATTTCAATGTTTAATATTTGAAGTGTTTTGGGTCTTTATTTAGAAGTTTGTTTTTTTTTTTCCCCCCAAAAAATTCAACTTTTCTTTTAGATTCAAGGGGTACATGTGCAGAGTTGTTACATGGTTATATTGCATGATGCTGAGGTTTGGGGTACAAATGATCCCATCATCCAGGTAGTGGGCATAGTATCCAATAGGTAGTTTTTCAGCCTTTGCCCTCCTTTTTCTTCTCTACCCTCTAGTAGTCCTCTGTATCTCCTTGATAAAAACATTTTTAAGGCAGGTGTACTTCTTATTCTAAAATAATTTTGATCAAATTGTTGGATGATAAATATGCAGTTTAGACAATTTGGAAAATGCAGCAAAGTCCAGCGATTTACGCAAAAAACAAGCACAACTTTATAAGCCAATCACCAGTACACTTAGCACTAGTCTGTGATTTCCTTCTAGTCTGTTTTTGTGGAGGCTAGAAGTCCAAAATCAAGGTGTCATTAGGGTTGGTTCCCTCTGGAGGCTCTGAGGGAGACTGTTCTGTGCCTCTCTCCGAGCCTCCAGTGGCTGCTGGCAATCCTTGGTGTTCTTGGCTTGTGGATGCATCACTTCCGTCTCTGCCTGCATCATCACATGCCATTCTCCCTGTGTATTCTGTTTCCCTTCCCTTCTCTTATAAGGACCTATCAATGGATTTAGGCCTACCCTAGCCCAGAATGAGCTCATCTTAAGATTCGTAATTACATCTGCAAAGATCCTTTTTCCAAATAAGGTCACATTTAGAGGCAGACATATCTTTTGAAAGGGTACCATTTAATCCACCATAATAGTTTTGTTAATAAAGCATATGCAGTTTTATATTCCTTTTTTTTTTAGATTTATTGTACTTTAAGTTCTGGGATACATGTGTAGAATATGCAGGTTTGTTACATAGGTATACATGTGCCATGATGGTTTGCTGCACCCATCAACCTATCATTTAGGTTTGAAGCCCCACATGCATTAGGTATTTGTGTTCTAAATGTGCTATTTGTAAAACCACTGTGGCAAGAAAGGGCTGGGCCTTGACTTTGGGGCAGCTTTGTGAGAAATATGCTATACTTGACTTTTCGAGGCACAGTTGGATGCTTGCAACAGGAAAGGTTTGTATTGGTTGGTGCAAAAGTAATTATAGATTTTTGCCATTAAAAGTAATGGCAAAAGCCACAGTTACTTTTTTACCAACCTAATACATGCTACTAATAGTGGATGGAATTCTGTGATGGAATTTGCTGTCTGTATTGATGAGTTCAGCTCCCTGAATCAGTTGACCCTCAGGTCACCCTACAAAGTCCATCCATCTTCTTTTAGCTTTTGTTGGGCCTTGCCAGGAGAGTGTATAGGAAATGAACTAATAGTGTGTGGACAGTTATTTGTGGGAAGAGCTTTTGACCCTGGGGCCTTTTAATTATTGTCTATGTTATATAATTCATTTTCAAAGGAAAAAATAGGCATCCTTAGAAAAGGAAATTCTTAGCAATTTTAGAAATGGGTCCCAACTCCACAAAATCCTGCCAGAGATTTCTGTCTCCACCCCTCACTTCTCTGTCAACACAGCCATAAAAAATATGTTAATTGTCCTACCCCATTCCCTGATTTCTTTTAGATCCAATATGAAAGGATCCAGGTTTAGCAGAGTAAATTATCTGAAACAAAATAAAAATAAGTTCTGAGTTTATTATCATCATTTTAGGTACATTAAACATTTACAATGTGCCAGGAATATTATATTCTAAGTAATTTTTAAAATCACTTATGAGATAGACACCAATATTCATATTGTTCTCATGAGGAAGGGGATGCTACAAGTTTAAGCGACAGGCATACCTCAGAGATATTGAGGGTTTGGTTTCAGACCACTTCAGTAAAGGCAATATTGCAATAAAGCGAGTCACACACATATTTTGGTTTTCCAGTACGGATAAAAGTTATGTTTACACTATGCTGTAGTCTATTAAGTGTGCAATAGCATTATGTCTTAAAAAAAAACAATGTGCATGCCTTAATTTAAAAATATGGCTGGGTGCAGTGATTCATGCTACCTGTAATCCCAGCATTTTGGGAGGCTGAGGCAGGAGGATCACTTGAGCTCAGGAGTTTGAGACCAGCCTGGAAACATGGCAAAACCCCATCTCTACAAAAAATACACACACACACACAATTAGCCAGGTGTGGTGGCATGCGCCTGTAGTTCCAGCTACTGGGGAGGCTGAGATGGGAAAATCACTTGAGCCTGGGCAGAGGTTGCAGTGAGCCAAGATGGCGCCACTCCACTCTAGCCTGGGTAACTGAGTGAGACCCTATCTTCAACAAATAGAATAAAATAAAAATTTTATTGCTATAAATGTTAATGATCATTTGCGCCTTCAGCAGATTGCAACCTTTTTGCTGGTAGAGGGTCTTGCTTGGGTGTTGGTGACTGCTGACTGATCTGTGTGGTAGTTGCTGAAGGTTGGGGTAGCTGTGGCAATTTCTAAAAATAAGACAACAATGAAGTTTGCCACATCAGTTGACTCTTCCTTTTGCAACAGTTTTCTCTGTAGCATGCAGTGCTGTTTGATAGCATTTTACCCACAGTAGAATTTCTTTCAAAATTAGAGTCAGTCATCTCTAACCCTACTGCTGCTTTATCAACAACATTTATGTAATATTCTAAATCCTTTGTTGTCAGTGCAACAGTGTTCACAGCATCTTCAAAGAGTACATTCCATCTCAAGAAACCACTTTTGTTTTTCTTACCTATAATAAGCAAATCCTTATCCATCAAGTTTGATCACAAGATTGCAGCAATTCAGTCACATCTTTAGGCTCCCCTTCTAATTCTATTTCTCTTGCTATTTCCACCCCATCTGCAGTTCCTTCCTCCAATGAAGTCTTGACCCCTCAAAGTCATCTATGGTTGGAATCAGTTTCTTCCAAATTCCTGCTAATGTTAATATTTTGACCTTCTCCCATGAATCACAAATGTTCTTAATGGCATCTAGAATGGTGAATCTTTTCCAGAGGATTCTTAATTCACCTTGCCCAGATCCTTCAGAAGAATCACTATAGCAGCTGTAGTCTTATGAGATGTAGTTCTTAAATAATAGACTTGAAAGTCAAAATGACTCCTTGATCCATGGGCTGCAGAATGGATGCTGTGTTAAGAGGCATGAAAACACATTCATCTCCTTGTACATCTTCATCAGAGCTCTTGGGTGACCAGGTGCATTGTCAGTGAGCAGTAATATTTTGAAAGGAATATTTTTTTCTGAGCAATTGTTCTCAACAGTGGGCTTAAAATATTCAGTCAACCATGCTGTAAACAGATGTGCTGTCATTCAGGCTTTGTTGTTCTATTTATAGAGCACGGGCAGAATCGAATTCTTAAGAGCCCTAAGATTTTTGGAATGGTCAGTGAGAGTTGGACTCAAAGTCATCAGCTGCATTAGTCCCTAACAAGAGAGTCAGCTGGTCCTTTGAAACTTTGAAGTCAGACATTGATTTCTCGTCTCTAGTTAGGAAAGTCTTAGATGGCAACTTCTTCCAATAGAAAGCTGTTTCATCTACATTGAAAATCTGTTGTTTTGTGTAGCCACCTTCATCAATGATCATAGCTAGACCTTCTGGATAACTTGCTGCAGCTTCTCCATCAGCATTTGCTGCTTCACCTTACACTTTTATGTTATAGAGATAGCTTCTTTCTGTAAGCCTCGTGAACCTACTTCTGCTAGCTTCAAACTTTTCTTCTGCAGCTCTTTCACCTCTCTCAGCCTTCATAGATTTGAAGAGAGTTGGGGCCTTGCCCTGGATTAGGCTTTGCCTTAAAGGAATGTTGTGGCTGGTTTGCTCTTCTATCCAGACCACTCACACTTTCTCTATATCAGCCATAAGGCTGTTTTGTTTTCTCATCATTTGTGTGTTCCCTGGAGTAGCATTTTAAATTTCTTTTAAGAACTTTTCCGTTGCATTCAAAACTTAGCTCTTTGGCATAAGAGGCCTAGCTTTTGGTCTATCACGACTTTTGACATTCCTTCTTCACTAAGCTTAATCATTTCTAGCTTTTAAAGTAAGAGAAATGCAACTCTTCCTTTCACTTGAACACGAGGAGGCCACTGGAGGGTTTTTAATTGGCCTAATTTGGATCTTGTTGTGTCTCATGGAATAGGGAGGCCCGAGGAGATGGGAGCGAGATGGGGAATGGCTGGTCTGTGGAGCAGTCAAAACACACACATTTATCAATTATATTTGCCATCATATATGGGCAGAGTTTGTGGCTCCCCAAAACAACTACAATAGTAACATCAAAGATTACTGGTCACAAATCACCATAATAGATATAATATTAATGAAGAGGTCTGAAAGAGTTCAAGAATTAGCAAAATGTGACACAGAGACATGAAGTGAACACATCCTGTTGGAAAAACAGCGCTGATAGACTTACTTAACAAAGGGTTGCCGCAAACCTTCAATTTGTAAAAAATGCAGTATTGCAAAGTGCATAAAGGAAAGTGTGACAAGCTGTGGCATGCCTGTACTTTCCTGTGTTACCTTGGTCACACAGCTAGCTGGTGTTGAAACTAACATTGGATCTTAGGACTCTGACCACAGACTTCCAGCTCATGTAATACACCTGGCTCTGGATGGGTGGTATAGACCCAAAATCAGTGGTTTTTAACACTTTATTATACACTAGAAGCACCTGGAGGGTTTCTCTCCGTCTTCAGAGTTTCCCATTTATTAATTCTTAGTTGGGGCTTAGAATTTGCATTTCCATAAGTTCCCAGGTGTTGCTGCTGGTCCAGGACCACAGTTTGAGAACCACTGGTCCAAACCCTAGCCCAGCCCTCCAAGACTTAACAGTCACATCAGAGAGACCAACTAAACAGATAAACATATGTGGCTTAAATGATTTAAATGACTGTTCAGTTCAGCAATCCACATGCTTTCTTAACACAGTCGTTTAGATTACAGTTAAACAATAGGTAGGTGTTGAAGGCTAGGAGTTTGGGTTGGAAGGAGAGTTCGTTTGTTTGCCTTGAGCTTGAGTATGTTCTTCACCTCCTCTTCACTATCACTTAGAGACTATGGAGTTGAATAAATGATCTTTAGGATCTTTCATCAGATGGAAAATATAATAGAACCAGCAAAGGTGTATGAAAATGACTAAAGATTTATGAGAGGTTAATCGTAAAATACAGGGTAAGCCTACAGAAATCAAAATACTATGGTACTGCATTAGGAATAGAGAGATCCCTGCGACAGACTAGAGCATCTTCAAAACTAGATCCAAGTCATTATGGGACAATGGTAGATGAGAAAGATGATGTTTCAAAGCCCTGGGGAGATGGAAATATAATAATAGACACAGGGGAATCCTAAAAGGGGGAGAGCTGGATGGGGGAGGGTTGAAGAAATACCAGTTGGGTATAATGTTCACTGTTCAGGTGATGGGCATCTTAGAAGCCCAAATCTCACCAATGTGCAATATATCCATGTAACAGAGTGTACCTCCTAAACCTATTTAAAAAAAAAGCCCTGGGAAAAAAGTACAATAAAAGGTTGAAGTAATTAAGAGATGAATCAAAAACTTTTAAATAAAAAAATTGGAACTGTATTATAGATGAATGCCTTCACAAATTTAGTAAGTAAAAGCCATGTCTACATTTAGATATTTTCTCTTAGGTTTTCTTCCCCTTACTGCCCATTCTCTGGCCACACTGGCAACCTTGCTGTGCCCCAGACAGAAGGGCATTTGCTACCTCGTGGGTAGCATCCCTACCTCAGGGCATTTGCCCTTATGGGTACCTGCCACAGATATCCATGAAGTTTGCTCCCTCACTGCCCCCGAGGCCTGTAAAATAACACTCCATTCACTCACTCCCTTTCCCCTTCCTCTCTTTTCTGTTTTGTCATAGCACTTATCACTACCCGACATATTATACTTCTGGTAGATTGTTTTTCGTTCTGCCTTAAAATTAATTAATTTAGCCTACACAAGAATTTAAACCTCGTAAGCATGTTTACTTCCATGTCTCTTTGGTTCAATTCTCTAGCACCCAGAAAAATCCTGCTGTTTAGCAAAAATCCTGAATATTTTGAATGAATGAATACATGAATGGATGACATGAAACTGGGAAGTCATAAAGGAAGATGAACTATTTTGACATGAATAACTTGAAAATTGTCAAAAGTCAAAAAACATTGAGAAAATTATTTGGAGCGCCTATGTTATGGAGAGACCCAATTTTTAAAAAATATGAAAAACAACTCTAATAAAAATAAACATTAAACAGCTCATTAGAAAATTGGGCAAAGTATCCTAGCAGACAGATGTGTGAGAAATTATCATTTGTTGTCTTAATGAAGATGTAACCATTTCTAATGTTTCCATTTATTTGTGAGTCCAATCTAAATATCCATTAGATAATAGGTGTAGAATGATGAACTCTGTGTTCTGTGAATGATAGCATCTCTTTTCCTAGAAATTATTTATTTGTTTTTAAGATGGGGTCTTGCTATGTTGCCCAGGCTGGTCTTGAACTCCTGGGCTCAAGCAGTCCTCCCACCTCAGCTTCTCAAAGTGCTGGGATTACAGGCCACCTCGCCTGGCCTTTTCCTAGAAATTATTAAAATAGCAGACATACTCTCATGTTTTGATTGAGCTTGTTTCACTTCTGTCAATAAGATTAAAAGATCTCTTAAGTTTCCTTAGGATTTGGAATTGCCCTTGGTTGTAAACAAGATTGACAGCTGTGATTGTGTAACGCAAAAGAAGACAGGAAAATAACTATAAAACAACAATATCTACAACATCAAAAAAATCACTTCTATATCTAGAGACCTGGGCATTTGGACACTCAGAGGTACATTTCTGTTTTTCATGTTACAATGACATGAGAGTGGTGCTACTGGCATTCAGTGAGCTGGGCAGTGATAGTAAACATTCTGTAATCTGAGAGAGAGCCACCAAATAAAGGTAGTCCTGCTCAAATGCCAACAGCAACCTCCCATTCATGGAGATGCATCAGACACTCTTGCCAGCAGCAAATCCCTTTGGGAAGTGCACAGTACTCCTCTGGTAGTGGAAACCTACTTAACTTCTCTAGACCTCAGTTTTCCTCATCAATAAATTGAGGGAGATAGAGTGTAGAATCAGGAAAGGCCCCATCATCATTAGCACATAGTGGTAGTATTGCTGGGCTTTATTGTTGAGATAGCCAACCAAGAAGATTTTGGCAAGAAGAAATTCAAGAGAACAGAACTTCTTTACTCAACCCCCTTGATTTCGTGGAAGAACCAGAAAATCTCCATTCCTTTTGTAAAACATGCAGTTAGTAGGTCCCTCTCCAAAGTTCTCATTCTTTTGATCCCTCTAGTTGTGTTGTAGAGTTGTATATTTACCAAGAGTGAGTTGTGTTTGTTTTTAAATAGGTGTATGCTGTTATAGCTGCTGTTGTAATTACGTAAGTTATTTTTGTGAACCCATGAAATATGAATGTGAAAAGAAAGAATTGTTGTTTCTCTGGAAACTCAACTGAATGCTTGGAAATGTCTCAAAAATGTATGCTAAACAAACAAACAGTTGAATTAGGTTTTGAGAAAAACAACTATAAAAGATTAGGGATGAGGCAGAAATTATAAAATGACCTAGATTTAAAAAGAAAAAAACAAAACAGTGCCTTTAAGTTTTGACACTGCTCTTAAAAAATCTTTTAGACTTGGAAATTGAAGAGAATGCATTATATGTGTGTCTTATGCATGAAATGTAAGGTACTCTAATCTGTAAACTCATGGGCAAAAGCTCCTCCCCCACCATAAAATGAATGTATGGTTATATATCTCAGGAAGGACATTTAAGATTTAACTTATATATGTATTTTGTGAGTCCTTAATGTGACAGATCTGCTAGTTGTCACCACATTCATTGTTTATTTCTTAGAAATATAACCTTCAAATTATTGTCTGGCACATAACCTGAGAATTAAGACAATATTTCCCAGCCCTCGTTGCTCCTACGGGTTGCCGTTTGACTAGGTTCTAGCCAAAGGAACATAAATGTGAGTGGTATGTACAACTTCTGGGAAGTGCTCTTCAAGGGAAACCATTTACCTTTCTTTCCTGCTTCCTGCCCACAAGAATGTGGATGTGATCGTTGGAAGCCCTGTGTTGAGGAAAGCAGAAAAAGATAGGCAGTGCCTAGGTCTCTGATGACCATAGAGGTACCATAGTAGCCCTGAACTGCATAACTCCAGACTATATTTAAATGGGAGGGAGTTAATTTCTATCTTGTATAAGCTGCTATTATTTTTGGTTTTCAATTGTTCTCAGCTGAATTTCATCCCAAATGGATTTTTTTTTTAAATTACTGACTGCAGATGTTGCTTATATTAGATAAGAAGCTCTGTCATACCAGGTACAGCCCAAGGGTCAAGAATTAATTTTGACTACTTCAAAAGATTTGCCAGAACAGTCATTTCTAACAATAGGATACACACTATATTCTCAATGGTTGAAAATCCAAAATCATTCTTTTCATTTTCAGAGCACTTGCTAAGGGCAAGTGTGCTATTGCAGAATATACTGTTTTGAAGCAGGATGACTTCATTTGAAACTTTGACTTTTCATAAGTTACTAGATATAATAGATATTAAAAGGAAGAATTTTTTTCATACTCAACTTCTCTGTAAATTTATGCCATTATCTGTCAAGGAATAACCTGGGACATTTCGAGAATGTCATCATGTAACGCTAATTTCACCATCTGAGAAAGCACATATGCTGTTTTGGAATGCATTTAGAACTGCTTATTTTAGGATTAAAGGGTATAGAATGAAGGAATATGATTAATCCCTTTGATAGCCCCTATCATTTTACCAGCAGACTAAGCAGAGAGATTGAGTTCACATTACATATGTGGAGAAGTATGCCACAGTGCTACTGTATGTGAGCGTGGGTGAGGGCTGAAACCTTATAGCTTTTGTGCAAACACAAAACAGCATGCGCCTTTTTAACCTCTTGATTAAATAATCGTCATCCAAAAAATTTTCTTGCTAGAAAGTCGATCTCGTTGGTTGTGTCCCAGGATAGTTTTGTGTGAAAGTCTTGAAGCTGGAATTATCTTTCTGAGGGTTATTACTGACAGCTTTCTCAGATTATCTGAAGAGTGTTAAACTGGTAACAAAAAATGTCTGAGAAAAGTTCGGATGACATTTTGGGGTCAAGTTTTCACAAGTAAGGGGAACACACTGGGAAATTGATTTATAAGGAGTTTAGAGGGAATTCATTCATTCAATAAAATTTGTTTGCCTACTATGGCCTCATATGCCGTGAAATACTATAATATTGATATCATAAATTTATATATCTAAAGTTAGATGGCCTTTCTTGATATATGTATAGTATATATATGTACATATAAATAATACTTATGCCAGTATAAATATATATGTATGTATGTATGTATGTGTATATGTATTAATATATATGCTTTGTTTTTTTAACACAAATGGTGGTACACCCAGATACTACCCCTTTTTTTGATCTTTAGCCATAGATCTTGGAGAGATTTCAATATCAGTATACATAACTATTTTTTTTTCTTTTTGAGACAGAGTCTGCCTCTGTTGCCCAGGCTGGAGTACAGTGGCACAACCTTGGCACACTGCAACCTTTGCCTCCAGGGTTCAAGCAATTCTTGTGTCTATCCTCTAGACTAGCTGGGATTACAGGCATGCACCACCACGCCTGGCTAATTTTTGTATTTTTGTAGAGATGGAGTTTCACCGTGTTAGCCAGGCTGGTCTCGAACTCTTGGCCTCAAGTGATCCGCCTGCCTTGGCCTCCCAATGTACTGAGATGACAGGTGTGAGCCACCACACCTGGCCAACATAACTATTCTTAATTAAAAATTTAAAACATCCATATAATGTCCCTTTATATAGCTTTATTATAATTTATTTTTTACCAGTTCTCCACTGATGATCATTTAAGATGTTTTAAGTTTCTGGTGATCACAAATGGTGCTTCAGTATACATTCTTGTCTGTACATCATCACCTCTATGTGTGAAAATATCTGTAGGATAAATTCCTAGAGGTAGAATTATGGAATCAAATCATATATGCATTTTAGTTAGGTAAATATTGCTAAATAGAAAAAAATTGGTTTTCAAAAATGTATAGACTTATCAATTTGGATTACAATACATGGCTGGCTAATTTTAAATGGCTAAGCACTTAACTTCAACAAACCTTTTGGAATCTCATTTAAAAATTTTTTTTATTGTGGTGAAATTTACATAACTGGAACACCATTTTTATTCATTATTTTCATTTGTCAACTTCACGTTCTTGCAAAACCACTAAATTGGATTTCATCCGCTTGTACTTAAGATAGAAACTATTAAATAATTTTATCCTGGCAGAGTCTCTATGGAAATAAGACCTAGCATCCTTATCATAGATAGGGACCAACATGCTGTCAATGTGTAACTCTTGATAATGCAATCAGCTACTGAGTTTTGGTGTTAGCAGACTGTGAATTTGTGTTCAATGTGAGTTTGTGTTCTGCCACAAGGTCGGGTGGAATGAGGCAGAAGGCTGGGTGTTAAGGATTTCGGTACTGGTCTGTTTTGCCCCCTCATTTTTTCAACCCATCTTTGGGTCTTGATTTACACATCTGTAAAAGTCAAGGGGTTAAGTGGATTAGGGAATAAAACTCTTCCCCCTCACTTTTCCCATCACAACCTCCAGAAATGTTTCTTTAAATTAAACCTTGAACCCAGTTTGGAAATGACAGGATAAATGTGCCTGGAAGCATCTGTTTCTCTCCACTCCCACCACAACACTGCTGTAGTCCAAACCTCCACTACTTCTTGCCTAAACAACTGCCCTCACCTCCTAAATAGTTCTCTCTACTTCTGCCTTTCTCTTCCTCTAATCCATCCCCTGCAAAGCAGTCAGATACAAAGAAATGGTTCTTATGAAACATTGAGCAGATACAAAAATGTTGATAAAATATGTATAAGGCATAAACAATGGTGATATAATGGACACCCCTGAGCCTACCACCTGGCTTTAGGAAAAAGAACCTTGTTGTTATGTTTTCTGATTCCATTCTCTTCCCACCTCCCCACCCTCCACAGGAGGTGTACCACTCTCTTGAGTTACAAATTTATCGTGTCCTTGCTTTGCTTTTTGCCAGAAGTATGTCTCCCTAACAGTATTTTGTTTGGCGCTGCATGTGTTCTTTTTGGACATACATGCAAGAGCTTCTCTGGAGCATGTACCTAGGCGTGGATTTGCCAGGCTATGGTGTATGTACCTGTAACTTTACTAGATAAGGATGCGTTGTTTTCCAGAGGGGTTATGTTAGTTTATTGTCCCATCAGCAGGTAAGATTCTCTTTGCCTCTCATCCTCACCTGCACTTAATTTTGTCAAACCTCCCTTCAATCCTTTTTAGAAGTGTTTTTTTTCTGTCTGGAACGTCCTTTCCCCATTGATTCCCAGCGCTGGCTGCTTCTTCTCTCATCCTCCAGGTTTCAGATTAAATGCCACCTTCTTGGAACATTTCTCTGACCCATGTCCTCCTTGCCCCAAGACTGTAAGCTCCAGGAGGGCAGAGCCCATGTCTGTTTGGGCCACTGTTGTATTCCCCAGGGCCTAGAGCTGCACCAGGCACCTGATAGATGCTCAACACATAATTGGTGAAATGAGTAAGTGACTGTGAGTCAAGTCCTTTCCAGTCTGAAGTACCCCCTGGTCCAGTGAAAGGAAAGAAGGACATGAGAAAGTTAAAGCAAACTCACTCCATGTTTGCTTCTGGCTTCAAGGCAGTTTCATGATGGAGCTGATACCTGAAGGCTTCTTTCAAGGAGTGTAGGTGCTAAGCTACTTTGATGGAACAGATCACTTCCAATGCTGGATACTAAAAGTGATGTTTGGATGAAATAAATGAACAAATAGCATATAAATAAGCAGGAGTTGTAGACTTGATTGTCTTCAAAGAAAGAAGGTGAGTGAGGATGCTTTCAGGGCATAGAATTAACTTATATTCCAGGCATCAGAATGTGGAAAAACTATGTTAAGCCTAGATGGGAGGCCTGGGGACATTTTACTTAAGAGCCCATATTCCCATGGTGGACATCCAAATTTGCTTATGGGTGTTTTTGTTTTCCAGCCTGTGCTGGTGGGAAGTGGATTCTTTCAGTCCTTGGCAGGAGCACACTGGCTGAGAGCTGAGCATGTTTGAAGCTGGGCAGTACAGCTGCAGTATTGGACAGACTGCATGGGGATGCCATACCACAGTTTGAGGTACCCAGATTTGACGCAAGGAGGTACCCAGAGTACCGTCATAAAGAATGAAATGTGTTACATAGCCTTTCACAGCAGGCAAGGTATTTTCTCCTACATAATTTTATCAAATTAGATGTGGGAGAAAATCGACTGGTGACCAATATTCCTGTGAAATTCCAGCAGCAGTGATGCCATGCAGAGGGTATGTAACAGGCTCAGACTGGAATCTGTTTGCTCATTCACTAGCTTTGTAAACTTGGGCAAGTCACTTAGTTTCTCTGTGCCTCAGTTTTCTCATCTGTAAAATAGGAGTATCAAAAGCTAACAGGTTTCCTGTTGGGAAATGGTGGTATAATGAAAGTGAAACACTGAGCATAGTATCTAGCACATGAGAAGTTCTCAAATATTTTTTTTTCTTTTAAAGAACTGTTATCCTTATTTAATACATGAGTAAGTAAAGGTTGACTTATCCTTATTTTATACATGAGGAGGTTGACTTACCGGAGTTATGTATTTGAAACTGGGCCCAGAACCCAGATAATAGGGACTTATTGCCAGTGTTCTTTCGACCCATTACTTCCCACCATGAGAATAACTCAGATATCTTAAGCCTCTCTTAATTAAACTCTTTGTGAAGAGGCAGCTCTTTAAAAAAGTTGTACAAGTCGTTTTTTGTTGTTTTGTTACATTCTTAATCACTTATGATTTAAAATGGGAGGATTAAAACTGAGCAATTGGTAGCAGCCTGTAGGTACAGATGACTTTGAAGATGTGATGAAAATGAAGCAAGAGGTAGCAAAAGGTGAGGAGAGCTGTCTGAGCATCAGCCACGAGACTGCAAGCTGGTGGGGAGAGAGGCTTCAGGGGGCTTTCTGTGGCTTTGCTTGCCTGCTGACCTGGGTAGGCCCTCTCTAAGCCTGTGGCTGGGAGGAAGTGCCTTTTTGTGAAAAGTCAGCTTAGTGTGAAAGGACGGGCAGGCTGCCTTGTAATTAGTGACTCAGCGAAGCAAAAAAAATCCTTTCTCAGGCTTCTTACCCCCATAGCCAACACATCTCCCCCTTCAGCCCTGACCTTTTCTTGGCATTTTTCTAGAACAGGGTTTCTGAATCTGAGAGTCTACAGATAAAACTCAGAGCACCCCTGAACTCGGATGGAAAACAAAAAAATTGTATCTTTGTTTCTACTAATCCCTGTTTGAGCTTTAGCATTTCCCTCAAATATGAAAGAAGACAACAAATCATAGTAATTGCATTAGCAATACCTGTGGTTTTCTCACCAACAAAAACCCTGGATGTTTTTCTGTCACATAGAAAAGTTATCCTGAAATACTGTTTATGCCCATTACCACTTGGAAATTATGGTAGTTATTAGACTTGTGGCTAGATCTTTGTATATCATGTGTTAATAAATATAACCATGTGTACTAAGTTGTATGTATTATTACCATATATGCTGAGTTATATGTTATGTGATAATGTTTTATAATACATATAACTGATATCCTATATAACGTATACTATATACTAAGTTATACAGTGTGTATGTATATCCATTTACCCTATATACTAATGTATAAGAAGGACATATATTACTGCATCCTATGGTAATTTTTAAAAATAATTTCAATTTTTATTTTAGATTCAGAGGGTGCATGTGCAGGTTTGCTACATGGGTATGTTGCCTGATGCTAATATTTGAAGTATGAATGATCCTGTCACCCAGGTAGTGAGCATAGTATCTAATAAGTAGTTTTTTAGCCCCTGCCTTCCTCCCTTCCTCCCCCTTCCGGTAGTCCCCAGCGTCCATTTTTGCCATATTTACATCCATGAGTACCCAATATTTAACTCCCACTTATAAGTGAGAACATGCAATATTTGTTTTTCTGTTCCTGTGTTAATTCACTTAGGATAATGGCCTCCAGCTACATCTACATTACTGAGAAGGACATGATTTCGTTCTTTTTTATGGCCGTGGAGTATTCCATGGTGTATATGTACCACATTTTCCTTATTCAATCCACCAATGATGTGTACCTAGGTTGATTCCAGGTCTTTGCTATTGTGAATAGCGTTGCACTGAACATGAGGGTGCAGGTGTCTTGTTGGTAGAATGATTTATTTTCTGTGGCGTTTAATTGCTGGGTCAAATGGTAGTTGTGTTTTAATTTCTTTGAGAATTCTGCAGACTGCTTTCCACATGGCTGAACTAATTTACGTTCCCACCAACAGTGTATACGCATTCCCTTTTCTTTGCAGCCTCACCAGCATGTGTTGTTTTTGACTTTTTAAGAATAGCCATTCTGACTGGTGTGAGATGGTATCTCATTGTGTTTTTGATTTGCATTTCTCTAATGATTAGTGATGTGGAGCATTTTTTCATATATTTGTTGGCTACTAGTGTGTCTTCTTTTCGGAAGTGTCTGTTCATATCTTTTGCCTGCTTTTTAATGGGTTTATTTGTTTTTTGCTTGTTGAATTGTTTAAGTTTTTATAGATGCTGGGTATTAGTCCTTTGTTGGATGCATAGTTTGCAATATTTTCTCCCATTCTATAGATTGTCTGTTTACCCTTTGATAGTTTGTTTTGCTGTACAGAAGCTCTTTAGTTTAATTAGGTCCCACTAGTCAAATTTTGTTTCTGTTGCAATTGCTTTTGAGGACATAGTCATAAATTCTTTCCCAAGGCTGATGTCCAGATGGTGTTTCCTTGGTTTTCTTCTAGGACTATTATAGTTTGAGGTCTTACATTTAAGGTTTTAATCAATCTTGAGTTAACTTTTCTATATGGTGAAAGGTAAGGGTCCAATTTCATTCTTCTGCATATGGCTAGCCAATGATCCTAACACCATCTATTGATAGGGAGTCCTTTCCCCAGTTGCTTATTTTTGTCAACTTTGTTCAAGATCAGATGGCTGTAGGTGTGTGGCTTTATTTCAGGGTTCTCTATTCTGTCTCATTGGTCTATGTGTCTATTTTTGTACCAGTACCATGCTCTTTGGGTTACTGTAGTCTTTATAGTATACTTTGAAGCTGGGTAATGTTATGCCTCCTGCTTTGTCGTTTTTGCTTAGGATTGCTTTGGCTATTTGACCTCTTTTTTTGGTTCCATGTGAATTTTAGAATAGTTTTTTTGCTAATTCTGTGAAAAATGATGTTGATAGCTTGGTAAGAATAGCATTGATTCTGTAGATTACTCTGGGCAATATGGCCATTTTAAAGGTATTGATTCTTCTAATCCACGACCATAGAATGTTTTCCCATTTGTTTATGTCATCTGTAATTTCTTACAGCAGTATTTTATAGTTCTCCTTGTAGAGATCTTTTACCTGCTTGGTTAGATGTATTCCTAGTTTTGTGTGTGTGTGTGTGTGTGTGTATGTGTGTTTGTGTGCGTGTGTGTGTGTGTGTGTGTGTGTCTATTGTAAATGAGATTACATTCTTTTTTTTTTGTTTTTGAGACAGAGTTTTGTTCTTGTTGCCCAAGCTGGAGTGCAATGGCACAGTCTCGGCTCACTGCAACCTCCGCCTCCTGGGTTCAAGTGATTCTCCTGCCTCAGCCTCCCACGTAGCTGGGATTACAGGTGCCCACCACCATGCCTGGCTAATTTTTTTTTTTTTTTTTTTTTTTTGTATTTTTAGTATAGATGGGGTTTCACCATGCTGGCCAGGCTGGGAGTTCGGGATTGTATTCTTGATTGGGCTCTCAGCTTGAACGTTATTTGTGTAGAAATGCTACTGATTTTTGTACCTTGATTTTGTATCCTGAAACTTTACTGAAATCATTTATCAGTTCCAGGAGCCTTTTGATGGAGTCTTTAGGATTTTAGAATCATCATCAGTGAAGACAGATAGTTTGACTTCTTTTCCCATTTGGATGCCTTTTATTTCTTTCTCTTCCCTGATTGCTCCAGCCAGGACTTCTGCTACATCAAATTTTTTAAAAAATTGAATAAACATATTTTAATGTAATTGATTTTCCCTATAATCTGATATATCTTAATCACTCATTTTACTTTGAGAAGGTGTTCCAGGCTTTACCAGGTGCCCAAAGGCATCTAAGGTTCAGAAAAGATGAAGAACGCTGACAGGAGTTCAGGGGTGGGAGTGGGGAGTGGGAGGATGTGGCCTCAGGTATTTTTCTTGTTGCCTCTCCTTAGAAGTCTGTGAACACAGCTGATGGTTTTGGGATAGTTTTGGCTTTTCTTTTATATATGTTTTTTATTTTTGTTATTATTTGTTTTTCACGCTTGGCTTTCCATGATTTTTTTAAAAATTATTTTTATTTTTTTGAGACAGGGTCTCACTCTATCACCCAGGCTGGAGTGCAATGGTGCTATCTCAGCTCACTGCAGCCTTGACCTTCCGGGCTCAATCCATCCTCCTACCTCAGCCTTCCATACTACAATGCCCAGCTAATTTGTGTATTTTTAGTGGAGACGGGGTTTCACCATGTTGTCTAAACTGGTCTTGAACTCCTGAGCTGAAGTGATCTGCCCACCTTGACCTCCCAAAGTGCTGGGATTACAGGCAGGTTTTGGCTTCTCTCAACCACACTACTGAGTAGTCTTTATTTTTAAATCAAACTTTGCTTTTTACAAAGAAAAGCATTTTTCTGGTCGGAGATTTGTCCTCCTTACTCATGTGTTCTGTGAAGCGTCTATTTCTTTGAATCTTTTCGTACAGTCAAAATGAGAATGTCCAGAGGTGAGTCAGAGCTTCTCAAAGGACATTCGTGTGTTTCCACCTTTTCCAATAACCAACCCATTCTTCCTGTTTACTAACAACCACATAATACACACACGCATGCCCTAAGGATTCCCTTCCTCTTCTCTTCACTGCATAGTGAACATTTTCTTGCCAATCCTCCTCCTAATCAGTGTTCAAAGAGGGGAGAAGGCAAAACCAGGACATCACCAGAACCCTCCGCGAACACCTTCCTCATCAAGAGAAAACTACTATGTGCCATTTGGAAAGGGGCCAGGCCTGGCATCTCCATCTTTTCCTCCCAGACTGTATTGCTTAGAACATTTCTTCCCAAGCCCAGTCACTCATGGCCCCCTCCTTGCCTCTGGCCATGTCTAAGGACCTTTCCTATTGCAGAGAGGAGCTTCTGTGTTGTGCTTCTGTTAGGAGCTCTGGCTCGGAGCTCAGACTGCATAGGTTTCTAGCCCAAATCTACTCCTGAGCCCCTGTGTGTTTTTGGGCAAGTTGTTTCACCTCTCCAGGCCTCAGTGTCACTTTCCTTATCTACAAAGCAGGGATTGGAATAGTACCTTCCTTAGGGGGTTGCTAGGAGGACTGAGTGAGTCAATACACGAACCGTGTTGAGAGCAGTGTGTGACACGTAATAAGCATTCAGCAAGCATTGGCTATCAAAATTAGTGATTGTTGACTTAGCATTTTCTTTAAAACTAGCCCTTAAAAATCAAGATGAGCTTAATTTAGAAAGGAAACTAGTGGATAGTAAGAGGGAAAAAAAGACAAGTTTAAGAGTAGGCAAGACCATGGTTTCAGGCAGAAAGGGTTGAACTCCAAGGGCAGGAAGTGGGAATTCCTGAGCCAGGTAGAAAAGCTGGGCCTGGGCATAGTGCCTGTGGTGAAAGAGGTGGTGGGAACAAGGAGGGCTGGCAGGACCCGGGGCATCTGACTGTACATGGACATCCGGGGTTTGAGGCTGGGGAAAGACAAGCTGGATGAAAGATTAGAGAGGGTAGGGGCAGAAGTTGAGAAACACAGGTTCTGTAACTGGGGTGAGGTGCCAAGATAAAGGGTCATGGGAAGAGAGAGACGTAAGTTGGAGCCTAAGGACAAGCTCTAAGAAAGGACCTGAAGGAATGGGAGGCTGGAAGAGGCAGGGGCTGAGATTGGGGGCAGGTGGTACCTTAAGGCATAGTATTAATATATGATTAGGGTATGAGACCCAATGACATATAGTGAAGACTCTTCCAAGGGATGTGCAAGCATGGACATCCTTTTAACAAATTTTGTATTGAAATACAACATGCATAGGTAAAAGTACACAAATCATAAGTATACAAAAAGAAAATTTTTCCCCAGGTCGAACACTCAGGGCCTGGACCAAGAAACATTACCAGCTTCACTACATGGTGCTCCCATCGTCGATACGTGTGCCACACATTAGAAGACACTCAGAAGAATTAGATTGGGTGGGCATAATCCTCTTAGTAGGGACTTTGTTTTTATGCTGGAGTCATGAAATTCGGGTGCACATTGTAGCAATGAGGAGGGTTGAATAGCTCTTTCCTTAATAGTCCTAGCAATGAGTAAGGACAACTGGCCAAGTGTATGCCTAATATTTCCCCATTAGGCAAAGAAAAAAAGAAAATAACCAAACATAAAAGAAAGGGATGAGAACGAATGTTTGCTGGACCCCTACTTTGTGGTCCCTACTGTGGTAGGTGCTTATTCATATGCCTTCCCTTCAGTGCTAACAACAGCTTTACAAGGTAGGTTGCCATTTTACAGAATAAAACTGAGTCTCAGAGTCCCGGTATTGACTTCACTCACACTGCTGATAAATTACAGAACCTGCATTCAAACCCAGCTCTGTCTGGTCCTTAAAAGCTGGGACAAGTTGCTTAACTTTGCTGATCCTTATTGTTTCTCCTGTACATGAAGACAAGGATACCTTCCTCAAAAACACTGTTATGGGATCTAATGCAGGAGGAAGGCTATGAGGTTCATGGAGTTTTACAAGGAATAAATGAGATAATACACATTAATAAGCTTAGAAAAGTATCTGGCACTTATTAAACTTTCCCAGAAATGCTAATTACGACACCTGACAAATAGAGGTATTTAATAAACATTAACTTTTGTTGTCAAGCCTGTAGACTCAGAGCTTTTTGTTCAGTCTCATTATTGAGTATATGTCTTTAATGCTATTTGTTAGTGGCCACTCCTTGGGGCTAAAACATCTAATTGCACAGGGAATGTTTTTGAATGGTGATGCCTGATAAGAATGGAACCTGTTTTTACCCATCGACTCTCACTGAACAATTAGTTCACTTTCAGTTTTTGTTTTTCGTGACAGTAGGTATGGATTCCATGAAAAGAGCCCTGCATATTTTGTTTCTTAAAGGTTGTGATTTTTTTTTTTTCTTGTCCTGGTGCTCACACCTGTGCTAGCTACTTAAAATTAAAAGAAAAAAGTGGTATTTGAGAAAGCCATTTTAACATCATCCATGTAGAAAATGAAAAACTCACAGTAAGATATTCAATTTAAAATACTATGAAAGATTAGCCCTGAAAAATGAAATGTATTCATCTAAAAAAATTTAAAGGCGTATTACTTTCACTTAAACTAAAATAGCAGCAGTGATTTTTAATTAGATTTTTTTTAACACCCAAAGTTCCCAAGCTAGAATAGAAAAAGTCAGGACGGTTTTTGGAGAAAAAGTGATCTAAGTTTTATTTTTCTATTTTCTAATCATATTCTTGTTTTCTTCTTCTCTCTTTCTCTGCAGTAGCCAACATTCTAAAAATAATCTTGTGTTGGGTTTGTAAGTTTCCTCAGTCTGGCCTAGGATGAAATTTTTTTTTAAAAGATGTTATCATCACATTTGGTTTCCAGTGATAATTTACATGGACTTAGAAGAATTCCCCAAGCAAAATCTTGTGAGGTCAGCCGGGGCAAATGTTTAACATTTCGGCAACTTGTCTCCATGTTTATTTAGCATTTCTTAGCCTTTGAAGTTTCACATAAATAGTCATGAAGTTATCACAGAGGAAATCAGCTGAGATGGATTGATGTTATTCCCAAATGCAAGTCTAGTACCAGACGCTGGTTGGTATCTTGAAAAGATGGCAGCAGGAGCAGTATTATCTGCATCGTGGAAAGTCCCTCTTCATTGCCTGATAAACTGTGCTGTTACTGGTTCTCTTGATGGCTAACCTTACTGGACCTTCGATAAATCTTTTGAATTTTTATTTCATCCTGGTGGGATAAAGTATGAATTGAGGCTGGGCACCGTGGCTCACGCCTGTAATCCTAGCACCTTGGGAGGCTGAGGCAGGCGGATCACTTGAGGTCAGGAGTTCAAGACCAGCCTGGCCAACATGGTGAAGCCCTGTCTCTACTAAAAATACAAAAATTACCTGGGCATGGTTGTGCACACCTGTAATCCCAGCTACTTGGAAGGCTGAGGTGGGAGGATAGCTTGAACTCGGGAGGTGGAGGTTGCAGTGAGCCGAGATCATCCCATTTCACTCAAAGTGAGTGAGATTGAAACAGAAAAACTATGTTTTCAAACTATACCATTAATTTACCAGTTATATGAATTCCTCTGGTTGGGGAGGGGAGGATGTAAGTACCTCCAAAATACTCCCTAAAATACATGGCCATGTGTCAAGGCTGCCATCAAGCACCCAGGGAATTCAGAATAGAAAAATATATCAGACTCAATGGACTGGATAATTGTACTAATTACCTACTTTGCTTTGACCGTAGAGGCTGAATGTTGTGAAACATGTCGTGAGGCAGTTGTATTGCTCTTTACTGAAAGTCATGCCTCAGGCACCAATGTCAGCTCCAGAAAAATGATGATCCGGAGCTCTTGGTGGAAAATACAGCACCGTGAAGGCCTTTGTTGGAATCTGCCCTTTCCCCTGACCCCTTGTCCCCTCTTATAGCCCAGTCTGGAGCAGTGTGAGGCTTGAATCTGTGAGCCGTTTCAGGATAAGAATCCTGAAAATTCAGTGACTGATTCACGATTGAAGGATTGAAAGAGAGGAAAAAGTTCTCCATTGGGAAGCTGAGTGATGCTGAATACCTCAAACAAGAAAGATAGGAAGAGGAGGAGAGAAGATGTGGGGAGGGGAAAGAGAGTCTAATTTGAATAAGATGGGGTTGAGTGACTTGTAGACATTCTGATTGAGATATTCTGGCCTATCTTAGATTAGTTTAAGACTATGACTAGGGCCTGAGATAAAAATATTAGAGTCCTTAGTGTTAAGGTAGTTGCTATGGTTTGAATGTGTCCCCCCAAAAGCCTGTGTTGGAAATTTAATCCCCTATGCAACAGTATTGGGAGGTGAGGCCTAATGAGAGGTGATTTGATCATGAGAGCTCTGTCCTCGTGAGAGGACTAATGCCGTCTCTCAGGAGAGTGTTCCTTATAAAAGGAGGAGTTGGGCCCCCTGTTGCTCATGTGTGCTCCCTCTCCCTCCCTCACCAGATGCCAGTGCCTTGATCTTAGACTTTCAAATCTCCAGAGCTGTAAGGAATTAAATTTCTGTTCTTTATCATTACCACCTCAGGTATTCTGTTATTGCACCAAAAACCAGACTAAGACAACAGTTGAGGATTGGTAGTTGAAGCCATGAGAAAAACATGACCAGGTATAGACACTACATTGTAAAATAAACACGGTATAGTTATTGGCTACAGTGACACAGACCCCTACCTTCTCAAAACAAAGGGTAGCTTAAATGGCAATTAGTTGTGTGTGTGTGTGTGTGTGTGTTTGTTTGTTTGTTTTTGAGGCAGGGTCTCACTCTGTCACTCAGGCTAGAGTGCAGTGGTGTGACTGCAGCCTCGACTTCCTGGACTCAGGTGATCCTCCCACCTCAGCCTTCCAAGTATTAATAGGCGGGACTACAGGCGTGCACCACCACACCAGGCTAATTTTTGTATTTTTTGTAGAGACAAGATTTGGTGATATTGCCCAGGCTGGTCTTGAATTCCTGGGCTCAAGTCATCTACCAGCCTCAGCCTCCCAAAGTGGTAGGATTGCAGGTATGAACCACCTCGCCCAGCCAGTTGAGCATTCAGGAGTTGTATGCGAGCTTGATGCCTCCTCTGGAACCCATGCTTCTCTCTCTGCTCATCCATCCTCAGTGTGTCCTCTCATTCTCAAGGGGACAAGAGGGTTTCTTTCTGCCCAGCTCCCATTCCCCCACCTTGCACAATCACTATACTGTGTTTGAGGCAGAAAGAAAGGAAAAAGGAAAGGGGAAAGCAGTGTTTCAATTGAGTCATCTTCCTTTCATGGAGATCCACCCATGACTTCTATATATACCTCACTGGCTAGAATGTGGTCACATGACCATCTGTGTGGGATATTAGGAAATGAAGTTGAGCTAGATTTATTGCCATCCTGGGTATAAAATTAGGGTTCTGTTTAAGGCATTTGGGTCAAAGCAATGAGTAAATGAATGAATGAAGCATTAAGCACATGCTTATTGAATGCCACCTGTGTGTACAATGTGTAGATATTCTTCCTCGAGCAGCTTTCTTTTCTTTATTTTGAAGTCTTCTTTCAACTGGATCATGGCCAGCCCTAAATAAAATTATAAACTGTTCATTGAATACTATGGGTCAAGAACTGTTCTGTATTACTGCATTACGGAATTTGATCTTGACCCACAACCTTCTGAGGCTGGCACTGCTAAATCCATTTTATAGGTGGGGAAACTGAGACACAGAGAGGTTAAGTCACTTGCCTTGTGTCACACAGCTGGTGATACTATTTTCAATACTCTTGACTTCTTTTTTGGCCCCATAAAGCCAATCCAACTTCCCACCTTCTACAAAGTCCCTCACTTTTTGGTGCCCAGTTTTCTTATACCAATTCATTTCCTGAGTTAAAAGAAACTCCTCTCTACTTAAAGGTAAGGTGCTACTCACTGTTTTTAAAATAAAAATTACTGCAGATTTATATTTCCTAAGAAAATTTGCGTTTTAAGGGGCTCATTTTATATGAGAAATGGTGGATCCAAAGGAGTGCATCTCTAATAGTGGAATTTTTACCTACATGAAAGTGGGAAGCATTTAGGGGATGTGGATAGAGGGAATCCAGTGGAGAGAAAGCTGGCTCTTTCGGCAAGATTGTGACAGGAGAGTTCCCATTGAATCAACTCATCCCTGTGGGAAAGACAGTGAGAGAGAATTAATAATTTAGATATGCATGGACACTTTTGCCTGGCATTCTACTCAAGGTGCCTAGCCCCAGCGTGAGTAAGACAGAAAGGACATGACTTTCCAAGTTCTAGTTGATTTCAGTTTTTTAATGCCTCTGGTGGTGTCGGCTTCTTGCCATGCTAAGTGAGATGTTAGTGTTTAAAGATACATATTTTTTAATGCACTATGGCCCTTTAGTGCAAGCCAGCAACTTTCTTTAGTTTTCAACTGAAGCAGTAGCATCTGTTTCAACACTGGAGAAAAACCTGCTGGGATAGACCAGGAGAGGTGGTTATCACTCTGCAAGATGGCATAAGTGGATCATGAGGAATATTTACAAAATCATTTCTGAAATGGATCATTAAGGGGAATGTTCTCTCTACACCAGAGTTTCTGAACCTCAGCACTATTGACACTTTGAGTCAGGTAATTCTTATTGTGGGAGCATTCTTGTGCATTGTACAACATTTGGCAGCTTCCTGGATGTCTACCCACTAGATGCTGGCTGTGACAACCAAAAATATCTTCAGATGTTGCCACATGTCCCTTGGGGGCAAAATGCCCCTGGTCGATCACTCTCTACTTGACCTAACATTGCGTGCTGACTTTAAAATCTAAGCCCTACCTAAGCTGTAGCTCTAGTCCATATTTATGAGACTCCTGTAAAGATGCCGTAGACGTGGTGATTGGGGCTTACAGAAATACCATGTGTTGACATTGGGGAGGGAGAGACAGGTAGAATCTACCTGTGACATTCTCTTAAATCATTCATTCATTAAATATTTACTGAGTGCACGTGCAAGGCACTGAACAAAGGCCTGGGTGCAGCAGGGGAAGGCGGAGATTTAGTCCCTGCCCTCATGAAGCTTCTACTCCACTTCTTTGTGCTCATGAAGCATGAAGCATCTAATTATAGATTAAATAAATTGCAGCAGGTGCTCTATAGGGAAGGTCAGGATGGCCTGACCAAGCTGGTTGGGGGGTGAGGGGCCAGAGAAAGTGCCATTGAACGTGAGACCTGAAAGGTGACCAGATGATGGGGCGGAGGGAGCATGAGTGTCCCTAGCAGAGGCGACAGCAGGCGCAAAGGCCCTGAAGCAGGAAGCCTCTTACCACATTTGATGGGCTGAAAACCAGGGCGGCTGCCATGCAGGAAACAAGGCAGAGAAAGAGATGAGGTGGAACAGGATGCCCGGACCAGACCGTCATGGATATTAAGGATTTTATCCTAAGAACAGCGGGAAGCTGTTGAACGCTTTTACACAGGGGAGTGACATGATTCGATTTGTGCTTTAAAAAGATCCATCTTTCCCTGTCTAGGTCCAGAAAGTGCAGGTTTCTCTCCAGACCATGAGAGATTGATTTTGTCCCCTGCTGGGCAACTCTGATATGGAGTCTTTTGAGGTTACCACTACCATTAGTGCCTGTACCCAACCTCCAACCATCCTAATTTGGAACCTTTTAAAACTTTAAATAAAAGAAGCAATTTCTGTCCGTGTTCTACCTTTGTTCTCCTTCTTTAAACCGTGATTGAAGCTGGGCTTGGATATCTTTGAAAACCCCAGAGAAGAAAATGATTTCCATAGCAGCTGTAACCATGGGAAACCTTCAAAATAGCTTCCGTTCCTATATTCCACTCTGCTCCTTTCCCCTCTCTATTGGTTGACTAGAAATGAGGGCTGGCATTTTTGGTCTTCTTCTTTTTGTCCAAATATGTGTATATGAGAGTCTTCTTTTCACTTCCACATCCATCTTATCATAGCTTGAGAATCAAAGGCTGGCATATTTGGGGAGGAAAAGAAAAGAGAAGCTTCTAGGATACCTTCATTTTTTCATAAAATAGAGGAACCAAGTGGAATGTTGATTTAGAAGATGAGATCTCAGGTTTCTTTTCCTGCTGTTTGTTTCTTCCCAGGTCACAAGATAGGACCAAGTACATCATCTTTCAGACATACAAAGATCAAAGGTTTTTTTTGTTGTTTTTTTTTTTCGGAGACACTTAAAAGTGGTTTTCATCAGTTTCCCTTCCATTCTGCTCTCACATGCGCTTGGTAGTGAGCCGTCTCGTAGTCAGGTCAGAGAGATGCTCAGAATTCTTCCAGAAACACATAATTCCCCTTTGGAGAGTTTCTGTTGTAAAAATCATCACAATTTGTGAGCTTAATTTCTGGTCCAGTGCAAAAACCTCTGATGGGTACAGGGCAAAAGCGGGCTACTCAGTGTTTCTCTTGATGGACAGATTTTAATGAAATGAGGGCATGACAAGGAATCTGAAGTAATTGCTATAGAAGTTAATAAAGAGATGGGAACATATGAGGATACTGTTTGCTTCTGGAATTTAGCCAGGCCACTGGGAGAGGCTCAGGAGGAAAACTGAGAAGGGAAATATGAAGTTCAGGCAAGTCTGTTACATGCATTCTCATTTCCACAATGTTTGAGAACCATGTCAAGAAATGCATTGCATAAGTTAAACCAGCTGCCAGCAGCTTTGTATTCAGCACTTTCCTGGGTCACCAGATAGCAGGGAAACCTCTCCAAGATCTCTGTGTATTATAGAAAACTAGGGGAATTTTCTTTATGCAACATCCTTATCCTAACAGTGCAGCATCTTTTTGTCTCCGGAACTCACTGTATAAAAAGAAGTAACTATTGTTGGGTTGTGCTTATCTTTATTGTTGTATGTTTGGGTTTATGTTTTCAAACAAGGGATGGAGGACCTGGCAATCAGTCAGAATCATGATGCTGGCATTTAAGAGATTCATTCTGGCTCAAGAGCTTGGCCTGGCCTTCCAGAGCTTTCCCATTGACACCCATGTGCCTGATTAGAGTACACTTGTAAAAATTAAATAAGATGACCTATGCAGTGTGCCCCACATATGCTCCATAAATGTCAGTTCACATTTCTTGTTAAACTTTTATAAGGTTGATCTTAAGAGACGACAATTGAGTCTGTCTAAGTGAACCATCTGGGGGGTGAGCATGTTGATGTATCTTCCACAGCTTTAGTTTTCCAGGAAGCACATGGGATATAGTCAAATCAAGAGACAGGATGGTACTGATAGTTTCTTTAGTCTCTTGCTTGCTTGCAGTTAAGCTAGTTAGCCTGAATGCACTCCTTCTCTCATAGCAGTCTCCAGAGTGACTCTGTTAGCTCACCTGGCTAGCATGCTGTGGCCTCCTTGAGGCGTCTAAAGTTGGCTGTCACTGCCTGAGATACTGGTGCCTCAAGCTTAGAAAACTCACTTTACCAAAGTCAGCCTTCACGAACATGTTATTCCTGGTATGAAAGTCCCTAGTCTTTAAATAACAATTGCCTCTGTTACCTTTAGACTATATTTTGGCTCATTAAATTTTTTTTTAGTATGCATCATCTTCCAAGAGTGCATTGAGAAATTTCTAGATTTAAGACCTCCTTTCTTCCCAGACCCTATTGCTCAACTCGTAATAAACAAAAGATTTTACTTAAATAATTTCAGAGAAAACTACCTTTATTTCTTTGACTTATATAGAATCTTAGATATCGGAATACTCTTGGGAAGTACCTGGTATATCCAATAAAGAAAATTGATTTATAGGGAGAGTAAGTGACTTTTCCTAAGGAAACATATTTGGTGGCATAGCTGAGACCAGAATCTGGGTCTAATGTGGTATTTTTCAAACTAAGTGTATAAGTCTTCTAAAAATTTAAGAAATTATTTTAAAATATTAATATTTTAAAAATTATTTTACTAGTTATAAATATAAAACTTCTATTTTATAATGGGCAGTTCAGAACTGATAAATGTTTTAATTGCATAAGATTTTGGTTACCTACATTTCTCTCAAACTAAGCCCTAACCCATAGAGACTGGCAGGTGGTGGTGAGAGGGTTGAGCAGATGAGGGCACCGTGTGAGACCTTTCTCCTTTAGGAGTTTTTTTTTTTTTCCATAAAAATTGATTTTGTGCTTAAGATATCTGATTCCAGATGAACAGAGATTGATGCTTCAAATCTCTTTGTGGATATTATTTGGGGGAGGTTTTGGTTTTAGACAGGCCTGGGTTTAATTTCTGGTACTTCTGATACCTGTTTGTGAGCAAGATACTGAAACTCATTAAGGCCCCATTTCCCTCTCAGCATGATGAAGTTCATAATACTTATGAGGTTATTGTGAAGATTAAATTATGTATAGTATCTGTAAAGGCTGTAGCATAGTGCCCGGCAATAGCTGAAAGTATTATTAGCTGTTATGGTTGGTGCCTGATTTCTGCTCTTGAAATTGAGTCCATGCTAACAAAGAAGGCCCTTGCTACTTCCCTGTAATAGGAAGAAGTTTTTCTAACTGGCTGAATGTTTTTTTTCCTTTTTCCTTTTTTTTTTTTTTTTTCTAATATCTCTCACCCTGACTGAATCAGACTATTCTTACCACAGGAAAAGATATTTGTTAGTTACGTGTTAACTTTTTTCCCTTTAAAGTCTCCTGTGTCCATATTCAGATGAATCCTCTGATTTTAGGCTATTTATTACCAGGGTCCTGATAGACCTAGTGTATCTACATATTTTGTTTCCAGCCCCTTCGTTTATCCTTGGGAATCTGAGTCCCACAGCAGGGATACAAAGGTGCTATTTAAAACTATGTGATGATGAAAAGAACAAGAAATCCAGCAGGAACAATGCAGAGATGTATAATATCTCACCCTTTCTCACACATGGAACTAATTGTGACATTCATCCTAGAGCCCAGTTTCTGCACACAGACCCCAGAGTCCATGCTGCAAAGATGTTTTGGAATCCCACCTCTGCCAATGCCCAGTTGGAAAGCCTGCGACATCAGCTCACAGCTATGCGAAAATAATAAAATTGAACATTTTTTCGGAAAGATGACCCATATGTTTAATAAATTTCAGTATGTGAACCAGAGACAGGTTTGATTACAAGCCACGTAAAGGCTTCACTTAGATGGTGGTTCTTAGTTTTCAGAGTGGGGATTTACTGAGCTTGATTCTGTGTGTGGCAGTTGCTCTCCCTGCCACTGTTCACCCATTCTGTGTGCCCATAAAATGAGGAAACTTTGAGTCCTGTATTCACTCTTTTATGTTCTAGGATATGGATTCATAGACATCATCTCTTCACACCAAAAGAAATGTTAATTATAATATTGCAAATAGTAGAACTATATAGTTTTACACTCTCTTATAATACTTCTTTAAATTGCATTTTCACTTTCGATTGGCCAGTTCTTAATAAATGGATCTCATTTAAGTTCATAGGGGTTTTCATAAATAGACTTCAGTAGTATTTATTAGGTATCCATTATTAAGCATCATTAGTTAAGTTTCACTTATTAAGCACCATTGGCTGGACATGGTGGCTCATGCCTGTAATCCCAGCACTTTGGGAGGCTAAGGCAGGCTGATAGATTGAGCCCAGGAGTTCGAGACCAGCCCGGGCAACATGGCAAAACCTGATCTTTACAAAAAATATAAAATTAGCCAGGTGTAGTGTCACACACCTGTAGTCCCAACTACTTGGGAGAATGAGGCAGGAGGATCACTTGAACCTGGGAGGCAGAGGTTGCAGTGATCCAAGACCACACCATTACATTCCAGCCTGAGCAACTGAGCGAGATCCTGGCTCTCTCTCCATATATATAATTTTTTTAAAGCACTATTAAAACAGAAGTGCCCCCTGAACATGTACATGTGGCCCATCCAGGAATAAGAATAACGTTGTATTTTCCTGGCTCTTTACAGTTTTTAAAATTTTACATATATTATTTTATGATACAAACACCTCTGAATTTTTTGGGTTTGCTTTTTGTTTTTAAAATTACCACTTTCAAAAGATGAAACCAAAGCTCAGAAGGGTGAGTGGCTTGTTCAACATAACTGGTACGTGGCAGAGCCAGGATAAGAATCCAGTTCTGACTCTGAAACCTGAGCTCTTGCCCCTGCCCTGACTGGTGTCTCCATACTGCAACTCAAGTCCATGTCGAGAAGCACAGCAACATGCAATTTTCTGGGCACCTTCCATAACCAAGTAATGTATACATTACTTCATTTAATCTTCTCTATCACTCTGTGAAATAAGTAAGAGTCCCATTTTGTGGATGAAGAAATGGGCTGATAGAGGCTAAGTGTCTTGCACAAGGTCAAAAATTATTCAGTTGTAGACTTTAGATTTATTTCAATAGCCTGTGTTCCACATTGCCTTTTAAAACAAAATTATAACTGTGTGCTATATGCTCTGCTTGCTGAGGTAGGCAAGGCTATAAAATATCTGGAACAATTACAAGTAAAAATGATTAAAGGTGGATTTCAAAAAGATAATCTGCAAATATTTGAAAAACTCACACATCTATTGGAGTTCAGCGACCAAAATAACTGAATATGAAGACTCAGCTCATTTGTTTTTCTTTGCTTGAGGAGAGGGGACTTAACTTGCTATTAGAGCCAGTGACTAGGCAAAGATCCAGAGAGCTTGTATAGAAGCTGGGTGGGAATGAGATGGAGAAAGAAGCTGCACTGCATCTCCTATCACTATCTTCTACTCTGCCGTAATGGCATCAGTTCACCCTCTTCTACTCTAGGAAACTTCTGGAATTTGGGTCCTGTATCAGTTAGCTATTGCCATTGTAAGGATGTGTAACAACTAATCTCAGAATCTCAGTGGTGTGCAAAACTAGGCACTTATTTCTCACTTGTGAGTTTGTGGATTGGCCGAGTGGCTGTGCTTCTCACATCTTTCATCCTCTTCCTGGGACCACCCAGGGTGTGCTCACCTTCTGGCAGGGATGGAGGCACAAGAGAGCAAGCTGGGAAACATGAGGCCTCCAAAGGCCTAAATTTGGAACTGGCACGTTGTCATTTCCACCCATTTGCTGTTGGCCAAAGCAAGTCATGAGGCCAAGTCAAAGGTGAGGAAGGAGTGGTAGTTATACTCCATGAATGATAGCCACGATGAGTAAAGGTGTGGATGCAGGGAGGTGTGAAAATTGGGACCAGTATTGCAATCTACTACAGGTTCCAATAACATGTATTTTGGAATTCATCCTTTTATATCAGCGCCTTTCCATTTTTGAGTTCATGGGCCCTTTTGTGAACCTGTTGGAAGTTCTGCACATGCTCAAACAAGTGTAGTCTACACCTAATTTAGCTTTCAGTTTTCAGGGAGTCTCTTAAGTTAAACCACAAGGCCCAAGTTAAGATATCCTGTACGGGAGTGCTGCCCTGCATGGTGCACTGTCTTCTCCAGGAGCAGGAAGGTAAGACAACAGGTGCTGTTTCTGCCCCTTCTCAAAACCTTCTGCTCTGCTGATTCCAAATGCTCAAACATGTTCAAATGCAAACACTCGGATTGGATGGGATCTTTTCTTTTCTCCAACATGAAGATAGCTTTATCAACATTTTTGACTATTGAAGAAAGTTTCTGCAAAGGTAATGGATAAGCAAGTGCTGCTCTGTTATAATATTTTTGTTGGATCACTTTAACAAAATGTGAAGATTAAGTGTTGTGAAGTGCATTCATCTCCATTCATTCAATGTAAAGAATAATGATGCCTGTTTTTGTTTTTGTTCCTGTGTTTTTCTTTCTTTCTTTTTTTTTTTTTTTTTTTGAGACAGAGTCTCACTCTGTCACCCAGGCTGGAGTGCAGTGGTGCAATCTTAGCTCACTGCAACCTCTGCCTCCCCATTCAAACTATTCTCCTGCCTCAGCCTCCCAGGTAGCTGGGATTATAGTCACCAGCCACCATATCCGGCTCATTTTTTTTGTATTTTTAGTAGAGACAGGGTTTTGCCACGTTGGCCAGGCTGGTCTCGAACTCCTGAGCTCAAGTGATCCACCCGGCTCAGCCTCCCAAAGTCCTGGGATTAAGGCATGAGCCACCATGCCTGGCCATTAAATGTGCTTTAAACACTCTCTTCTTCTAAGAAGTCATAGTCATATTAAATAATCATTTTTATAAATGTCTTTAAACCCTATGTAATTTCCCAAAATTATTTTGGATGTTTTTCTGATCTGTGAAGTCTCAAACTCTGAGAACCACTGATGTAGACTAACTCTCCTTCTGGAGCTGGAATCTTGAGATTTCTCTCCGTCCCTAAGGAATCATCCAGAATCTGTTTGATTACCTTGAGAGATGGAAGCTCATAATCATTGGTCAGCTGTGACCACTGGATCATTCTTTCTTATGTCAGTCTGAAATCCTCCCCTGGGTCGCTGCACCATAAGAGACATCAGAACAGCAGAGTTATCTTTAAGAATTTTCCAACCACTTTTAAATATGGGAAGAGGAGCAGACTTATTTTCATATGCCTATGGCTGTTTCCTTAAGCCTACCACTCTGGTATTTTGTAACAAGTTGCTATCTCTCTGAAATTTAGGGATGCTTCATGGGGCTGATTAGCCTTTATTCTACTTGTGAGCCCTTAACTGGCCTCAAGGTTGAGACAGCAGGGATGTGTGTGTCAGTCTGTAGCAACATCTCCTCTATCTCAGCTGCACCCCTAGAATTCTTCATTTGGTTGAGAACCCTTAGGGTTGCCCTTTTCCATTTCAGTGGGGACAGTGCTGGAAGAACAAGTCAGTGTCCTCCACTGGCACAGGTTCTTCCAGACTCTTGGACTCAGATCCCCTGCCTGCCCCAGGTCTCCAAACCAACACCTACTGCACTAATGAAAATTCACAGTAGAGGGCAGTCTCTCATGCATAACAAGGCTTCCTTTGTGGAGATGTGTATTTAATTGAAGAACTGATAGAAAAGTTTCTTTAATTAGGCTGACTTCATAAAGGGGAGACAAATCCCTTGCCATCCTAGAAGCCATCTTTTGTCTGTAGGAAAGGCCATTTTGTTTTTGAACAGGAGATTTCCCTCTTCTTATTTCCCCACTGTTGGGTCTCATTTGTGAAGTTCAAAGATAGAAGGGGGTTAATTTTAGAGTAGCCTTTCTGATTTTTTTTAAACCAAATATGCATGGTGGTAGGAACATTTGAACACACTGCAGCAAGACTTGCTGATTTCTCAATCTTTTTTTTTTTTTTGAGATGGAGTCTCTGTTGCTCTGTTGCCCAGGCCGGGGTGCAGTGGCATGATCTCAGCTCACTGCAACCTCTGCCTCCTAGGTTCAAGTGATTCTCCTGCCTCAGCCTCCCAAGTAGCTGGGACTACAGGCATGCACCACCACGCCCGGCTAATTTTTGTATTTTTAGTAGAGATGGGGTTTCACCATGTTGGCCAGGTTGGTCTTGAACTCCTGACCTCAGGTGAGCCACCCACCTCGGCCTCCCAAAGTGCTGGGATTATAGGCGTAAGCCACTGCGCCCGGCCTTCTCTGACAATCTTAACAGCTTCCCTGACTACAAAGGATAAGCCTGGAGAGGATTATTAATGCCAAACATCTGTTTTGCTTTTTATGGTCAGGCTTGTGCTGAGTCTGTCTGACACAATATTTAATAGTCACAGAAACCCTACAAGGGAGATCAGCTTGTGGTTATCATTTACAGATGGGGAGACTAAGATAGTGATATTGAGAAATTTGCTGTGTGACCATGAGCAAGATACTGGACTTCTCTGGGCCTTACCTTGTTTATCTGTAAAACAAAGACATTGAGATTAAATAGCTTCCACCATCCCCATTTTCTCTAGGCTTGGGACAAAATAAAATCAAAAACACTAAAGCCAGACTTACCATGGCAGTGGGATTGTCTGGGGGTGGAGGTGTTGATGTTATTGACAAGGAAGCAGGCCCATGCTTTTGTCATTGGTTTAAAATTCCTTGAGCCGAGCCTATGGCATGTTGGAAACCCAGCACTGGCTTGGTTTAACATCCATAAATGTTAAGACGCTGAGCCTCATCCAATTTTAGCAGTAACCTGCTTCAGTTCCCTAGGAATGTTAAAATGGGAACTGCGTTAGTGGCTCTGAAAGCCTGGCCACTGAGCGTATGCTTCTGCTCTTCCATGAAATGCAGAGGCGAATTGTGAATGTACTGAATTATACCAAGGAGATTAATTTCATTTTGTTCTTCCCAATAAAACTCACCAAAATGACCTGACTTGTCCCTTATTCTTAAAAAATTTCCAAAAAGGAAACAAAAGAACTTTTGGTGGTCAGTCTTGTTAGATGGAAGTTTTATTCTCCCAGGCATGAACCAACTGTCAGAAGACTTATTCTGAGCAGGTTTCTAATCTTTTTATATTCTCTCATACATCCCCAGCCTGGCCCTGGATGCTGGGTGCTGTTTAGCAGAAGTGGGATAGAGGCAGGAGTGAGAAAGCCATGCTTTCTGAAATACCAGTGAGTATACCTAGGTTGCGTCTGAACTCATCACTGATCCACACAGGTTATATATAACATGGCGGTGGGTGATTATTTAATGATTTGGGGGGGTTTACAAATCATATGACTAGAAGGAATCATTTTAAAGAGAGCAAAAAAATGATATGAGTGAGAGGTTTTTTATTGGTTGCTATATTAAGCCATACCATATGAAATTGCTCTTTGGTAGGGAAGGTCTGAGCTGGGGAAAATAAATTCAGGAATCATCAGCATATTGATGGTATTTAAATCTGTGAATGAGATCATTTAAGGAGAGAATGGAGCTAGCACTGAGGGCCGGCTCAAAGCCTGAGGCTCTGCAATGTTTAGAAGATTTACAGAGGAGGAGGAACGGCTAAGGAATTAGAGCAGGGGAAAATGTGTCCTTGGTTAAATATTCTGCTGGGGAGGTTTAACACACACACACACACACACACACACACACACACACACACGCGCGCGCGCACACCCCTACACACAGTTAGAGGTCCTGGTTCCAGCGTTTCTTTTTATGAGTGAATCCTCCCCTCCCAGATAACCTTGCCTGGCAAAGATGCTATTTTGTGAGAGGAAGCAGCAGGAGCTGTTAAGCTGAGATGATGATTCATTATCTGTTAATGGTTTCCCCCTGTGGTTTTTCTCTGTCCTTCAACCCCCTACCCCTTTTAGTGGAGTTTTCTTTGTGCTAGAAAATTCATCTCTGTAAAATCTCCAGAATTCTTAAGTCTTCTGGACTTTTCTTGACCCATGGAACATGGAAACTTCTACACTAATCCGCAACCAGTGACAGTTAAGCTATGCCTGATTTGTGGCTGTTTGTGATGGTTAATTTTATGTGTCATCTTGGCTGGGCCTTGAGGTGCCCGGATATTTGGTCCTATATTATTCTGGGTGCTCCTGGATGAGATGAACATGTAAATCAGTGGACTTGAGTGAAGCAGATCGCCCTCCACCATGTAGGTAGGCCTCATCCAATCAGTTGAAGGCCTGATTAGAACAAAAAGACTGACCCTCTCCTCGGTAAGAGAGAATTCCGCAGCTGTGACTGCCTTTGGAGTTCAGTTGCAATATTGGCTCTTGCTGGCCTTTGATGGGACCATCAGCTTTCCCTGGGTCTCCTGAATCACTCTGCTGATGTTGGATTTACCAGCTTCCATAATTGTGTGAGCTGATTCCTTATATTTTTCTATATATCTCTACCTCTATTTCTATCTCCATCTCTCCAAGTCTCTATCGCCTATTGGTTCTGTTTCTGTAGAGGGCCCTGATGAATAGAATGTTTTCTACTGCTCTTCTATACCATCTGCCTTTCTATTCCCATGAACTTCAAAGGCCTTGTCCTGATATGATCTATCTCTTGCACTCAGGAGATCCCCATTTGTCCTGGGACAGCATCAACAGGAGTGGAGGTCTTGGGACTGTCACATCTAGTGAAAATATTCACATTTACTACACAGACCTTTATCCTGGGAGTGGTGCCCTTATTAGATGATGCAAGCAGGCTGTGAAGGACTATTTTCACCCCTTTCTATTAACTACTTGAACTCTGCCTCACACAGTAGTAGTGCACTAACAAGCTTAGCCCTTTTCATTTATTTTACATGCTTTGCAGATTCTTAGAGAAGGGGTCTTACTATGTTGCTTAGGCTGGCCTTGAACTCCTGTGCTCAAGCGATCCTCCCTCCCCAGCCTCCCCACTAGCTGGGATTATAGCTGCACACCACTGCACCAAGAGAATAATGAAGGACTAACATTTCGAATTTTCTATGCTTTATCAAATGCACATTTGGTGATTAAAAATCATGTTTAAGGCAATATTTACTGTTTGTTTTAGAAGACATTTTCTCACACATTAGTTCCTTTAAACAACACAGGAATCTATACAGCAGGCAAAAACAAGTATTTCTCAGGGTTGAGATTTAGTCATTGGGCCCCAGAATAGCTGTACTGTGGTTATGCTGTTGATTGACTTTGGTACCAAAGCAATGTGGTGGTGAAGACATCCTGGGAGTAGCACCAACAGAGAGGGTGATAGGTCCCTAGGGGCTGAGTGGACTGAGGTGGGACCAATACAGCACCTGCCCACTGTTCCAGAGTAGCTAGCACTGGGCGGGGCTTCAGAGAAGGAAGCAGAGCAGGGGGTGGTGGTGTGCATGTCAGTAGAGGCCAAGGTTGGGTCCCTACAATCCAGGTCATGTGGGAAGAGCTGATACCCGGTCATTGGCCAGGATGCAGCAGTAGCATCTAGTCATAACAAAGTGCCAGGATCCAGGGTCCTGATGGCTATTGATGAAATGTCGTTGAAAGAACTTAGTGTGGTTCCCTATGCCAGCTATGGTTCAGAAGGGGCATCACTTACCAGTGACAACTGTTTCAAACAAAAGTATGTGCCAATACATCTCAAAATCTACAAATGATTTAGAAAATCTTAGAAGAATTTGATACAGAATATGTGGTACAGCTTACATCAAATAGTAATTTCTGGCAACAGCTCACTTTAATGTACACATATACAGAATAAAAGAATACATTTTAAATTTTGGTATACATTTATATATCAATTTATATTAATTTATATTTGGGATATAATCAATGAATAGTCTCATTTTACAGAAAAGGAACCGAGGATGTCTGATGCCAAATGCTGGGCTCTTTTCCCCTCCATTCTGCTCCTTGGAGCTTTGTTGATTTCCTCTCTGCATGATTTATATTCATAGATTGGCAGTAGCCAATCAGACATCATGTCTTGAGTCTTGTCCTAACTTCTCCCTAGAAACTGTCTTAGTTAATGTACAAATGGAAGAAACGCTAAATTAGACTAGTCAGGCATTGGGTAAAATGTAGGCGTTTTTAGACAGAATAGACTTTCTGTCAGTAACTGAAGAGGATTCAGAAGCTCTGGAATTGTCTATAAATAAAGACAGCAGCATGACAAGCCCATTGAGGCTCATGTGACTACAGAGAGGGATGGTATAGCAGAGTGGTAAAGAGCATGGAACCAGACAGACCTGGGTTCAAGTCCTCACACCTCCTTTTACTATTTGTGAGTTGTTGGCCCAGTTGTTTAACCACTGGCTTCAGTCTTTTCATTTGTAAAATTGATATAATCATTACATATGAGAGAGAGGGAGTACGCATACATAGTTTTATTGTGAAAATTAAGAGGAATAACGGGTAGAACGTGCTTAGCACAATGCCCAAGACATAATAATTGCTGAATAAATGTTTGTAATTATTGTTGCTATTTCTGTTTTTAAGCAGTTATAGACAGTAAATAAACTCTACTCTAGCTTTGTAAGAAATGTGCAACCTTTGTTTGGAGGTACTTTAATATTTCCATTTATTGGTGACATCCCTCTTAGTTCTCAGTACAGTCCCAGTTTATAAATATAGTCATTCCTTGGTGTCCTTGAGGGATTGCTTCCAGGACCCCTGGGGATACCAAAATCTGAGGATGCTAAAGTCCATGGAATAAAATGGTATAGTATTTGCTTATAACCTATGCTGATCCTCCCACATACTCTAAATCATCTCTGAGGTATTTATAATATCTAATATGATGTAAATGCCATCTAAATAGTTGTTATACTGCATTTTAAAAATTTGTATTATTTTTATTACTGTATTGTTATTTTTATCGCCTTTTTTGTTTTGTTTTGTTTTTTGAGACAAAGTTCCACTCTTCAAGGCTGGAGTGCAATAACGCAGTCTCGGCTCGCTGCAAACTCTGCCTCCTGGTTCAAGCAATTCTCCTGGCTTAGCCTCCAGAGTAGTTGGGATTATAGGCGCCTACCACTGTGCCCAGCTAATTTTTGTATTTTTAGTAGAGACGGGGTTTCACCGTGTTGGCCAGGCTGGTCTCAAACCCCTGACTTCAGATGATCTGCACGCCTCGGCCTCCCAAAATGCTGGGATTACAGGCGTGAGGCACCATGCTGGCCTTTATTGGGTTTTTTTAAAAAAAAGTTTTTGATCCTTAGTTGGTTGAATCCATAGATATGGAACCCACGGATACGAATGGCTGACTGTATTTTTCCACGTGACTCATGTATCAACTGGAATACACCAGCAACACATCTCAGAAATGTCCACCTTTTGCCATCTAGACTGCTCTTCCCAGGATGTGTTTTTCAGCTGGAAGAACATAAAAATCCTAGTCGAGCCTACTGTGGGTTTTAGAGCATATGGCCACTGTCTCTCTAATTTACCAGGACTAGCATGGTCTCTTATTACATCAGTCACCCTGATTCTTCCTTGCTCCTCCTGTCCATGCTATTTGTGTTGCCCTCCCACTCTGACTCCGAGCTCACCCATGGCCATGGGACTGCTTTGGTCAATAGGATATCAGCAAACCTGAGGCAAACAGAGGCTTGAGGAAGTGCAGACATACTTCTGCTCTCGCTCTTCCACTCCCCCATCATCACAAGAAAGATGTGCCTAGTGAGCTGACCATTCCAGGGAAAGAATGAGAGGCACACGCAGTAGAGCAGAGTAGACCGGCCAGACTGAGCCGTAGTCAGCCAACCCCCAGGTGTGTGAGGGCATGCAGCCTAGATAGGCTGAACTCTGTAGATGCATGGAAAATAATTGCTGCAAAGGTCTTGCATCTGGCATGGTTATGCCACAGGTAACTCATAAAACCAGGTTTGGAAGCTTGATTTCTGGTGGTCAATTTTTCTACAGCAGAAGTATTGAATTTTTAAAAAAATGTTTAAAAAAATTTATTTTCCAAATATGTTTAAGCCTTAAAGGGAATGTAGCTGCAAGCTGGCAGATTTTCAGGAGTGCCTACCAGATTTTCATCTCATGGCAGGATGTTGTTAAAGTCTGTAGGGAAATAAAACCTGTGTACTCATTTGAAGCTGCTTGTAAGTGCCACAAACAATCCTCTGTAAAAATAAGGAAGGGGACTTTGTTTCTCTGCAGGATTCTACTTATAATTGCGTAGAATAGTGAGAGCTTGGGCCCTCAGATCACTACAAAGCAAACTCTTGGAGGTGACAGTGGCTGGTACAGGAGTGATGTGGACTTCTTGTGTGCTCTGCTGCTGAGGACACAGGATAGTACCAAAGGGCAAGTCATTCTTGCCCTGAGTATTCTACAAACTGGGGACATTCACCAGAAGACCCCATTGCCAGGGACTTTAGCAGGGAAAACACTCATGACCACCTGAATCTACCTCCTTTGGGATGCCTGGTCCCTGAGCTGTTTAGGGACCTGAACCTCCCCCATTATTGCACCTTCTACTAAGTGCTTGTTTGGGGGAAAGTCAAACTCCCACTTGACTATGATTGCTTAGAGGGCAGTGGGTGGGACTTATTCTTATTTTGTTTATCAACTGTCTGGCATGTAATGAATGGGTGAACCAACAAATGAGCAAATGGATGAATGAATTATGTTCCACTAAGTATTTACAGGTTGCTAGTTTGCTCTCCGTGGACTGCGAAAAGAGAAAGAGACATGTGTGATACCAGACAAGCTATGTAATCTTTTGAAGCTTTAGTTTTCACATGTGTAAAAGGCAGTAATAATAGTCATTGCTTCATAGGGTTGGAATGAAGATTATTCAACCAGGCCTAAAGGATGTGGCATAGTGCCTGGCACACTGTACGAGGCTGATACTAAGTCAGTGGTGGTGGTGATGATGCTGATAGCATTTATACTTTGATACGATACATTATGCTTACAGACATAATTTCCCCCAAAGAGAATCCATCTGCCAGCATTCAGCGGAAACGTCACCATGAGAAAGACAAAGTCCCAGTGGGAGTGAGGGTACTGCAGCTGGGAAAGGCGGAGGGGGCCATAAAATGGCACAGAGTGGGCAGAGAAGAGGACATCTAAGGAGAGACACTAAGAAGTAGGTGGCGTTTGAATGGTGGGTGAGATTTTGACAAAACCTAGTTTATGTGACACAGACTTCGGGCCTTCAAGGAATTCTGAGAAGGTACAGATCTGCCTTGGTTTGTGGACCTAGAGCTGGGAGAACTTGGTGAGGAAAGTGTAGCTGCCATTGGCTTTGGGAAAAAAAGAAGAGAATTCCCCTGGGAGTGAAAATAGAGGAGAAAGCCTTACTTTACTTCTCTTATTCCTTATAATTTTGCTTACTTTCCAAACAGGTATAGCACATTATAGAATACCTCCTTGGTTTCTTTTCCTTATTTCTCCTGTTTCTTTCTCCATTTCTTTCCTTTCTTTTCACCACTCATAAAAGACCACAGACTGTATCTGGACTCTAATTTCAGACACTGTTGCTTATTTATATTGTGGCTTCAGGAAAGATATTTTGCTTTCTGGGTCTTGACTTTCTCATCCGTGAAATGGGAAAATAATTCCTACTTCAAAAGGTTTTGGGGAAGGTCACTTAAGGTAGTGTATAATAAGGGTTAGGTTTAAGTGTTCTTAATGAATTATGGTGACCTTCATCATTCAATTTTTATTTCTTCTGCCACTCAAGTAAAAGGGATCCTGTTCACCCTACCTGAGATGCTTTTAATAAATCAGTATAGACCCAAAAGTTCCAAATGACTCAGCTTTATTTTGTGGCTCAGTGACCTCACTCTTCATCTGAGTGGTCCTCCCATTGGACAGTGAGTTGGTTACCATAATATGCCATCATATGCCCATGGATGTTTCCTTTGAGCATGTGACTTCCCTGAGCCCTTGCCTTCCACTGTCCAGTGGCTCCACATTCCACATCTTGCCTTTTAACCAAAGGGTGCCACTCCTATAGCTGATAACCAGTGTGCAAGAAGAAAGTCTAGTCCCTTAATTTACATAGACCTCTCTTCTGATTTCTTGGTGCTTGTTACTAAATATTTTAATTATCACCCCAGGCTGCCAACTTCACAGGCATAGATTTGCAAGAGGAATCATTTAGAGGTAACTAATCCATGCCTATCTATGAGGAATATAATTTAGACACTGAAAACACCTAGCCTGTGACCAGATGTCCAGACACAGGTAAAAGAGAGTGAGGAAACTGGAGAGAGTTTTCATTAAGAAATTCATTTTCTAGAAAAGTTAAGTTCATTAGAGAATCCGTGTTTCTGAGGCATCTGAGTTGGATCAATTCTCTGTGGTACAGAACTGAATCACACATAGAACACATTTGTCCTTCACTCACTAAATACCCGTAGTACCAAAAATGCCCCCAAACATTTCCAGATGTTCTTGGTGGAAGGGTGGTAGTGGAGGGATACACAGTAATGTCCTTGGTGGAGAAGCCACGTGTGATTAGCTAAACAGAAACAGTGAACATTTTATAAATATAAATTTAAAGTACAAAGGGCTACTTAATAAAAATAATTATTGAACATTTAACTTGCCACCCAGCCTAACCTTTGCCTTTCAAGACTGACAGGTAGCAGCCCTGAACTATTTCATTTAGCACAATAATGGCACTGTTGTGGGGACTGGGCTAGGAACTAGGGGCATGGCAGGGAATAGGATGTAGTTCTTGCCCTTCAGGAGCTGACATCTGTAGGCAGACCAGGGTATATAAACACTTCAGCTTCAGAGCCCTGGCAGCAGAGGCCTGGGCAGGGAACTCCCACTTACCTTTCCATCCCATCCTAAAAGAAATAGATATTTATCTAATTTGTCTGGGATCTTATAAAGCAACATTTACCTCTATAAGGTCCTAGTTGATGGATTTATCCTCCTCTTACCCTTGAAGTAGACAGGGAATGAAAAGGAAACTTGAAGTTCTTTCATAGTCAGGTACATATTCAAAATATTTTAATATTCAGGCTATTTAATAAATACTATGGTACAGATTCCTGAAATTACCAACCAATACTGGCTATAGTGCTAGAAATGGATTTTGGAGACCCCTTAATTAACCCTTTGGAGGCCATGAATTAACCCTTTGGTGATGGTGGGGTTGCCTCAGGGAAGGTGCCAGAGAAATGGCTACGTGTCAATAAGTATTTCAATATTTTAACAACTGGTATGGTTATTCATGCTCACCATGGAAAGGCAACCCTGCAGGTCGGTCCTTGTAACCTTTCCTTTTCAGGGATGAAAAGATTGCCCATTAAATTCTGAGCGCTGTTTAAGTCTGTCTACCAGGTGGCTTGCCATTTTCAGCTCGTCAGCGAGATGGCCTCATTAGGCACTGTTAGTGACACACAGGCTAGATGGAACTGCATTTGGAAAGAATGTGTCCATGTACCTCAGGACAAACATTACAAACACGTTTAATGAGGACGTAAGGAGTTTTAAGCCAAAACAAAGTGGTTTCTCTCCCATCAAGCACCAGGGCTAGTCTTTCTCTCTCTCTCTTTTTTTTGAGACTGAGCCTCGCTCTGTCACCCAGGCTAGAGTGCGGTGGTGCGATCTTGGCTCACTGCAACCTCCACCTCCCGGGTTCAAGCGATTCTCCTGCCTCAGCCTCCCGAGTAGCTGGGACTACAGGTGCCACCACACCCAGCTAATTTTTATATTTTTAGTAGAGGCGGGGTTTCACCATGTTGGCCAGGATAGTCTGGATCTCTTTACCTAGTGATCCACCCACCTTGGTCTCCCAAAGTGCTGGGATTACAGGTGTGAGTCACCACACCCGGCCATCTTTCTTTTTTATTTAAGCTCACATGGTATATTTTTAAAGGTGGCTCCACCCTCCCTGGGACCAGATCACTTGCACGCAGCTGGCTGTCTGGGAATCTACTCCCAGTCCCGCTGTTTAGTGTTTTTGTTTCTGTGGTTTCAAGACAAGCCCCTAACATTTGTCCAATGTAGCATTTTGTGGTCTCATACATGCATGCCCAGAGCTTATTGAAGTTGATTGGCATTCTTGTTTTACAAATTGCTAGTTTTGAGATTTTCTTTTGGTTTTCTTTGGCATAATAACTTCGGTGTTGAGAATCTTGGCAACATCAGATGTCTGTGTAGCTTTTGTGTGTTTAATATTATAATTGCTTTGATATCTGTTCTTCTACCTCCAACTTGGTAGGAATGTTTTTGCCAGTGCCTTTGGTGTGCAAAAAGGATACTGTAAATCCATAAATGTGTTTGATTTATGTTCACTGGTTTGTTTTAAGATGGCTTTTTAGTGTAGCATGGTAGAAATGGATGCCTTTGAATCTATTTGATAATTGTCAACAACTCAAATGAGAACCTGAAAAGGAGTATTGATCTCAATCATAGTCCCTAAATGCATATTAGCATTTGAAAGAAAAATGTGCCTGAGATGACAGAACTACAAAATGGACTGTTTAGCAAACATTTGCCGAGTTGTAAGTCATTAAGACATCTTTGTTCACGACTTTAGGGGAAAGAACTTAATTTGTTATCTGCCTTACAGAAAAGAAATTTGTGCCTCTATAGCTTGGTAATTTTAGTCAAATCAAGTCTTTATTGACATGTATTGCTGAAACTCTGCCTAGGAATTTTTTAAATTTTTTTAATTTTTTTTTTATTTTTTGAGACAGGGTCTTGCTGTATTACCCAGGCTGGAATGTAGTGGCATGATCTCAGCTCACTGTCACTTCTGCCTCCCAGGTTCAAGTGATTCTCGTGCCTCGGCCTCTGGAGTAGCTGGGACCACAGGCACACGCCACTACACCTGGCTAATTTTTGTATTTTTTGTAGAGATGGGGTTTTGCCATGTTGGCCAGGCTGGTCTTGAACTCCTGGCCTCAAGTGATCTGCCTTCCTTGGCCTCTCAAACTGCTGGGATTACAGGTGTGAGCCACCATGGCTGGCCTCACCCAGGAATAACTTTTAGATAATTATTTAGTCACAAATCAAAGCCTCAGTAAAAGAAACATGTCAACTGAGCATGATGGAGAGTGCTCCCTTTGATAAGTGATGTAGCTCAGTGTGCTTCTCTTCTGAAAGTAAGAGAGATGCATTCTGGGTCATTTTTTTCCTGGTCTCTTGTGGTTCTGAGCCGTTTCTCGATTTCTATTCTCAAAGTCCCTATTGAAGGCCTCTGAGCACGAGATAGAACATAGAAAGTAGGGGTCATTGGAGAATTTGAACACAAGAAGTGGTATTGGATAGGAAAGGAGGCATAATTGCGGATGGAGAAGGGAGGGCAGAGTGAGAGGTTGGGGAAGGTAAAAAGACAAAGAATGAAGGAACAGTTCTATACCTGGCTGAATTTCTGTGGCAACTCTAAGCACAGTGTACAACAAGCCTGGCACAATGAACTTTTTTTGTTACGTTGAACCATGGTAGAAGTTCATAAAAGTAGTAGTAGTAGTAGTAATAGTAACAGAAATGGCAGCTAACTTATTATTGGGTGCTGACTATCACCCTTTAACATGCTGTGTTTTAATTGGTTTATCTCATTTAATCCTCATAACTTGAAGAGGATGAAATTTATTATCCTCATTTTCCTATTGAGAAAACAGAGGCTTAAGGAAAGAGTTAGAAACTCAAAGTTAAAAGAAGTAATCATTAAGTTGGAAAAGGGGATTTGTAATATATACCCTTTTCTTTTTATGTGAGATATCTTTAGGTGCTCGTTTGAGACCATCTCCATGAGAAAATTCTCATCCAGATGAGACAGAGATGTCATGAATGTGAAAGTGGAAGATATCGTGAGGTGGGCTTCCACTATTTGGGAAATATTACATTACAGTGAGTCAAAGAGAGATCAGAATTTATCAATTTCTTTGCTTGCTTTATTTTTTATTACAGGACTTGGAGCTTTGAATGTAATCATTTGTGTCACACATTTTCTAGAAGGGGATCTAATGTACATTTTTCCAAACTTACTTGGCCATAGAACCACTTTGTTCTTTCCTTTCTTTTAGGGACTATCTATCGACTTCTCAAAAATAAAAATAGATGAGGCACCTTTTGAGAAGCATGGACGAAAGCGTAGAATGTGGGACTAGAAGGAAAACAGCCCGAGGCTCCACCTAGTTTCATTACTGACTCTTGTTGGTTCAGGGAAAATTTTCACTTTTCTCTGCCAAAGGTTTTCCTCCACAGCTTGGAATGTGCGCATCTCTTGTGCTATGTTATAGAAATGTGTTATTGTGAGTGGTTTAATGAGAATCAGAACATAGTTTCTGGTGGGCTCTAACTGATATGAAAGCATTTTGTAAATAAAAGTGTCCTAAAAATATGTTTTCATTTTTTAATCATAGCCCCATAGAAAAAGGAATTTGAATTTTCTTTCGTCACCTAAGAGTTTAATGATCTAAACTATTGGAATCAATTGTTTTTCTTTATGCTTGGGAAGTTGGAGAGAACATTTTTAAAAAGATGATTGAGATGATCAAATCCTGACATGTACGTGCTGGTATTGAATCAGTTGAAAGCGTCAGATGGAAGGCAGTCTACTTGGAAGAAGAGCCCTCGATTCTGAGATGGAGTCCTCCAAAACCATGGTCTGTTCTTCAGATGTAGTGCTTATGGTGATGCTTGAACCCAAGTGAGAAACAGCTAGACAGCAGGCAACTAGACCAAGGGCAGTCAAAGAGGAAAATGTCACACCTCCCAAAATCCCATGGGCCAAAAGAGCCTGGACCAACTTCGGTATCCACAGAACAAGGGAGCCATCATGCAGGAACTCATCCTTGAGTGTTGCATGGGGTTTCCTTTTTTTTTCTTTTATTGTATCAGTTGTGGAGCCAGCAGAATTCAGGCACTTCCCTAACAGTAAATGGGAAAATGTAGTAGAGTCTTCTGAAATGAACTGTAAGAGAAACAGATGTGTGAAAAGAAGAATGCATTTTATCCTCAGCAAGGTTATGTTTTTAGCAGCTCTTTAACTGTACTTGACCTCTAAAGCATAACTGTAGCACAGTTACGTTGTTGAAACGTAAGACTGCACAGAAGGCTAGGGAAGCAAGGCCACCATCTCACCGACAGTCAACGGTTCAGCTCTGGTTAGAAAAAAATGTGAAATATCTTTCCATCCCAGCAGTGCCAGGCTGGTGGTGGGTTTTTGGTTTTGCTTTTTCCATCCTTCTTTCTTTTACAGTTCATTGACAATTCTGCTCATGCTTTAAAATAATCTGGGCCCGAAATGAGGCTTGCGTCTCACTGATTTTGATTACTCCCACATACTGTATTTATTTGCCATTTAAATCATCGTTGTCTGGAGGAGATTCAGTTTCTGCAGCATCTGATCTCTGCTGTTGTGTACTAACGAAAGGCGAAGGGGAGGCAGGTCCCTTCAGTGGGGACGATTGTATGAGGAGGCCTCATGGGAAGGGGGGCAGATGAAATTCAAAATGAAGAGGAGGGGTTAGCAGGGCACTCCAATCTTTGTCTGGTGCCTTTCACTCTTCTGGGGGTTGATGGATGGGTGTGCCTTCAGGACTGTTCTTATCATATGAAATACACAGCGCTCATTGTTTCCCTCCCAGCTGGGCCTTTCATTCAGTTCTGCAGGCTCCTGTCCTGGGGCTCTGGTCTCCTTTGTCACACCTCAGGGTGACATGAGGGGCTGGGTGATGAAGAGCCTCCCAATTTCCCATGAGTGCAGTAATCTGTCCCCGCCCTCCTGGCAGAGGAACAAAATATCAAAGGTTTATATAAATTAAATCAATTTTAAATAAAGACAGGACATTAACAGTGCAGTTCAGTGCCGTATCAGAGCCTGAGCCGAAAGAAAATAAGTCATACTAACCCCGATTTATTTAAGATTTTGGATATTTTGCTCATTGTTGACGTTTTTGGCATTAATTTCAATCTTTAAAAATAGTGCATGAAAATATTTTTTTGATCACCAAGGTTTTTGGTGTTTCTTAAATTTTGCACCCAAGATGAGTGTCTCACTTTCTCCCCCCAGGCCCAGGCCTGGTAATAAATTCTACACGAGTGCTTTTCATAAAATTATTATAATTAATAATGTTGCTAATGCCATTTATGTTGTGTTGAGCTCCTGTGCCAGGCACCATGGGAAACATTTACAAGCACTGACTCATGACATCTGCCTGAAGTAGGCACGGTGATTACTCCTACTGTAGAAATGAAGAAATCAAGGCACTGATAACTTATTTACCTAAATTCACTTCTTTGCCAGGCTGGAAGGGTAGACACAGGATTTAGAGCCTTGATATGTCCGGCTCTAAATCTCTTCTAATCTAGGCTGTCTCTGAAGGACTGAATGTTTTTCACCCATGGAGGTTAATGCTCTGTTTCATCTGTTCAGCAACTTGAGGTTTTCTTTAAGGAGGAAATGTCTCGTCTTGATTTTTGCCCAGGAGATAATGCATGAAAGTCAAGTGGAACCTGAAATATAAGGTATGACAAAAGTATGTGGAAGTCCTTGATTCTGTTAATCCACAGAGAAAGGGTAGGTGGGTGTTAGCCCAGTTTCCTTCCACTTGTAATGGAGATGGTTTTTATAAAAATGGTTTTTATAGCTCTTTTAAAAATATGTAATAGAAAATATCTGTGTGAGTGTTGACTGGTTCTTCAGCAATATTGCAACATGGTTTCTTTGCCTTCACTGGCTTTTTCTTCTAATGCGTTCCTCTCAGAATTCTTGTTAGGACGTTTAGGTCTTGACTTGAAATTTTACCACCCCTTTCTATAGATCTACATTGTCTAGTACAGTAGTCACTCGCTTCATTTGGTTGTAGAACACTTGAAATGTGGTTTATTCTAATTGAGCTGTGCTCTATTTGAAAAACACTCTGGAGTTAGAAGGCTTTATGTGATCAAGAGAATATAAACTATTTCATTAATAATTGTTCTTATTGATTACATATTGCAATGATATTTTAGATCTACTAGCTTAAATAAAATGTATTGTCAAAATTAATTCCATTTGTTTTTATTTCCCATACAGCCAGTAGAAATTTAAAATTACATATGTGGCTCACATTTTATTTCTGTTGGACAGCACTGCTATAAAATATTACCTCTCAGATGTTCCATTTGTGAGGCAAAGGTTGATGTGTTTTGTTTGTAGCTGTCACAGAAACACGTAGAATTTGTCAAAAAACACACAAAAGAGGCCAGGTGCGGTGGCTCACGTCTGTAATTCCAGCACTTTGGGAGGCTGAGGCAGCAGATCACAAGGTCAGGAGATCAAGACCATCCTGGCCAACATGGTGAAACCCCATCTCTACTAAAAATATAAAAATTAGCTGAGGGTGGTGGCGCATGCCTGTAATCCCAGCTACTTGGGAGACTGAGGCAGGAGAATCCCTTAAACCAGGAAGTCGGAGGTTGCAGTGAACCAAGGCTGCACCACTGCACTCCAGCGTGGCGACAGAGTGAGATTCCATTTAAACAAACAAACAAACAAACCACACACAAACAAAACAAAAAAGAACCTTTTTGGAGCTTAAGACTCTTAGCCAGCAGATAGTGATTTGTGCCACTTCTGCAGATAATGAATTCTTTAGGCGGTAGCATTCACTTATATGCCAGGAGATTAGTAAACAGCCCAGTCTGTTTTTCAGATCAGCTGCTTTTAAATGACTTCACTGGACTCTACATAGTGTTTAGATGCCCACTTAGGCATGGTATATTGACAGCACTGCCTGCGTTTGCCAGGTTCAGGACTTTGTTGCCTCTTCTTCAAAGCCAGGGAGCAGAATGGTTGTCTGGGCCCTGGCGCCTGGCATCTTTGCTCTCATTTAGTCCTTTTGGGCCGCTGTAACAAAATACCTTGGACTAAGTAATTTATAAGCAACAGAAATTTATTTCTTGCAGTTCTGGAGGCTGGGAAGTCCAAGAACTAGGCACCAGCAGATTCAAGGTCTTGTGAGGACTTGCTGTCTGCCTTAAAGATAGTGCCCTCTTACTGCATCTTCACATGGTGAAACTCATGCTCCCTCCAGTCTCTTTTATAAAGGCGTTAATCCCATTTGTAAGGATAGAGCCCTCATGATTCAATCACTTCCCTAAAGTTCCCACCTATTAATGCTGTCACACTGGAGATTAAGTTTCAACATATGAATTGGGGGGAAGGGGACATTATCACTACTATAGCAGCTCTCAAACTGTAGTTGGCAAAAGAATCACCTGGTGACCCTGATGAACATGCAGATTCCTAAGGGTTGCTCCCTGGAGTAGAGTATCTGGTTTAGTTTCTCTGCACCAAGCACATTAGCTGTATTAGTTCTCACAATCTCCCTCCACCACCTCTCCTCTCCATTTTGACATCGGTATTCCGGCCCTCTTTTTACTCTGTCTTGGGCATATCTTTGCTCTTTCCCGAAAGCATTCCTCAGTAATCCAATTCATTTCCCATTCTCCTTTTTTTCCACACTCTGTAGGGTCTAATTTACTTCCAAATAAATATTGGCAACTCTTAGCTTATACTTGAAAGCTATTCCTCTAAGTGCATGGAAGGCCGGAGATGGTGGGGAGGGTGTCTTTGTTCTTTTTTCCTCTTAATTATCTTATGGATCAGTGAGGTTTATTTAACTTGAAAGATATCTGAAGTCCCCTTTGACGTAGATGAGATAAAATTTTTCAGCCAATGTTCAGCTTTAGTACTTGGCACATAGAAGGTACTCTATAAATATTTATTGAATGAATGAATGTGTTTCCTGTTTGTCTTCCTTGGAAGCTGCATTAACCCCTCCTGGTCACCAGGGTACTGACTCTAGTGCCCTAAGGCAGTAATTAAGTATTAAGCAAATGCTATATGTGGAGAAATTGAGTGGAGGCTTTAATGCCACACTGTAGAATGTGCCTTAATGCAGCAAATAAAAAGGACCTTCAAGAGTAACTGAACATACCCACTACCCTCATGTTTTTCTCCGGCCTCTCTTCGTTCACCACATGTACCCATTCTCCATCTCTCACTTACAGTGGAACTGTATTTGCTGACTCTGTGTTGCAGGTGACAGAATCTCAAAGGAGCTTAAGTAAAACCATGATAATTTTTTGATTGAGGTTGTTGAGATACCCAGGCAAGGCTGCATCCAAAGTCTCAAGTAGCATTATTAGGGCACAGCTCTCTCCTTCACGTTAACTCAACACTCAGGCTGTCTGCACCCTTGTAGGTCAGATGGCTTGTCATTGTTAAATCTCTTCTCAGCACCCCGAGGAATCAGAAGACCCTGGCTCTCCAGATAGCTCCAGGAAAAATTTCTGGGATTCTGAACCTCCTCGTGAGGTGTGGCCAAGATGATTAAATGCTCTGACTTGCTGTATCTGGGTCACAGATCCTCCCGGATCAGGATATGAGAGCAGCCTCATCCAAACTGCTTGCATTGAGAGAAGGGAAGGAGAAGGCATCCCAAAACGAATTCAAGGTTGATTTATCACTGAAAGGAAAAGAAGGGTGCTGAGTCAGCAGAATATATCAAAGGGTCATTCTAAAAACCTGCAAAGGAATCATTTTTCTGTTTCTGTTTGAGATTGAATCTTGCCACAGAAACACAGCCCTCCCCCCACCTCCAAAGCCATTGTGCCCGGAGTTCCCCAATCATCAGTAGGCCAGGATCTCCTTACAGTCAGAGGGCACACCATATTGATTTTTTAACATAGTCTAGTACATTGCACACAGGAGCTTTTAAATAATTTTTCCAGTCAATAGAATTTGACTGTGTACCTACTGTGTGTCAGGACTGTTCAATCAATGAAGCATCTATTCTTGCAATAATCAGTCAGATTGGTTTTTGCACCATAGCCTGCTAAGAGCATGAGCTTGGAGATGATGGAAACACAGCTCCAAATCTGACTCTGCCATTTACTAGCCCTGTAGATTTAGGAGAGTTTTCAGCCCCTATAGGCCTCACTTTTCTTCATTTATAAAATGAGGCTAATATAGTACCTTCCACATAGAGCAGGTGTGATGATTAAATGAGATGATGTGTGTACAGTGCTCTGCACAGCAGCTGGCTAATAGTTAGTGCTGATATATAGCACTTAATATTTATATTTATATATTTAAAAGAGCAAATATTTGTTAACCATTTATGTTCATTCATTTAGCAGTTGTTTGATTTTTTTATATGCTAGGCCCCTTAGTAGACATGGCATAAAGATGAGTAAGATAAAATTCCTGTATTAAAAAAATTTGTGGTTTCTTGGTGGAGACAGTCGTGGGAACAGACAATCAAAGATAATGGTTATAATCCCATGTGGTCCCTGGGATTATGTGGTCCCCAGAGCTGTGTACAGCCAAAAGTAATTTCAAACTAGTTCACATTTCTAGGATACCATGAAGGAGAAGCATATGTTCTACCAATACTTACCATCTTCTCTTTTGTTCTCTCATCAACCATCCTTAGCCCACTCAGACAAGCAAGTCACTTTGTGTCATGGGCCTTGCTGGACTCTTCTGGCCTACCCCAGCCATGCCCTCCTGCCAAGACTCCCTGAAGATGCCATTCTGTTTCTTACCTCAAGTTCTCTATAGCCATTTTTCTCTGCCCAAAAGACTCTCTTTATCTCACTGTAACCTGACTAACATCTAATTTTCCTTTAAGACTGAGCCGGAGTGTCACCTTCTATGATAGGCCTTGCTGGTCTTGTTAGATACCTCTCATCTCCTCCTTGTTCCCCCAGCACCCAGCGCAGGCCACCGTGACATTGTTTAACCCTCTGGTATTGTAATTGTCAGCATCCCTCAAAGCCTTCTTGACTGTTGTGTGTGGATTACAAGCTGATCCTCCCGAGGGGACATCATGATTTCCTGTATTCCTTGGCACCCTAGCACCATATGGAATGGAGGTAGGAAAGAAGGAAAGTGGCCCAGAAGCCATGCAAGGAGTCCTCCAAGTTTGGCAGTCATCTGTGGGGCATTTCTAATGTGTCTCCACCTGTAACCTGTAAATGATGATTTCTGGTCTAGGTTATATAGTGACAGTAAGAGCAGAATAGTTTAGTCCAACCACTACACAGTATAGGCGTTGCCATCAGTTAGAACTGGAATGGACTTTTAGCTTCTGCTGACAATGAGCAATTTACTTAACCTTTTAAACCTCATCACTAAAATGGACCTGTCATAGGTTGCTGTGAGCGTTTAATGAGGTGATGCAGGGAGAGCCCTTGGCAGAGAACTTAGCACCTAATAAAGCCCCCAATAAGAAAGGATGCTATTGTTGTAGATGTAGGAATATATTTTGGAGATTGCCAATGCTTTTTCAAGATGAACCACCAATAGTTTCCTTCCAGGAAGTGGCTTGATTTTTAAAAAATGATAATTAGGAAGAAAAAACAAACAGCATATTGGTTGCAGAGAAGGAAAATTATTTTGTTTTGGTTGTTTTTTGCTTTTGTTTTTCACACCTGTTTTCTCAGAGGAATGGGACTTAGTGTCTCGCCAAAACTTGACAACAAGTAAAATCCCTGGTTTTAAGTCCTCAACAGTCCTAGCAAATGTGAAATCAAATCTCTCATTTGCTTTGGAGCATCCGGACGGCAAGGACAGCTGGAGTGTTGCTATTTTTTATTTCAAATAAAAGAGTCAGCTCCTCGTTACCATAGAAACCACCAACCTAATTATAAGGAGTTTTGTTCACTGGATAAAAGTCATCATTTCTCTTTCCTCCCCACACTCAGACAGGTCCCCAAAATATTGGCTTGGATTTGATCGTGGATAAAGGGATTTGCTCTCTTTCTTAAAATGATTGCAGCACACTGACCACTAACATAGAAAAGAAAGTGAATGGCACTGACCAGAGACTGGGAGAAATAGTGTCTGCAGCTTGTCTTCTACTTTGAAAACAAGCGTGAGCATTTCGTGAGAACAAGTTAATGTTTTAAAAATACAGTGCAAAGGAAGATGCTCTTGATCTATCCTACCACTAGGTAGATGTACCCCTTTTTGTCTGGGGGTAGAAGGATGGACTCTATTCCATCTTAATGTCCATTCTAGCTCTGGGATCCTTCTGTTCTAGGATTTTATACTGGGACTCTAAGGTTAATCATATTATATAATATTGCAGTGTTTGGAGAGGAAATGCTAAACCATGGGTTTCTAAGAGCTCACAGGCAGTTTGATATATGTTCGGGGCTTGCTAGAATAGTAAATACTTGTATCTCACCATCAAGGCTCAATCCAAAAAATGTGGTGGTTTCTTGTGCATGCTTCTCTCTTATTTTGGTTGGGGGAGGGATTCATTTGATAGAATGTACCTGCTGTAGGTTGATGCTGTTTTTTGGCATATCACTTCAGCTTTGTAGATACTGAAATACTCACTTGAGACTTGAATTTTCTGTACATACATGCCAGGAGTTTGGGAAGATGCATCAGGCTATTTGGGATTGAAGGATGGAGGGACATGTTTTAGAGAGGGGTTGGACTAGGATGTGTCCAGGTAAAAGTCTGTGAAGACAGGGGTCCCTGAAGGGATTGTAAACATCAAAAGAAGGTTACATGAATGTGTGTGGAGGATGAGTTGGAGAAAGAGTGGTGGAAGAAATGAGTTAGCCCCTGTAACTTGGTTAACATCCCATGATAGGTCAGCATTTCACTTTATGCATGTCCAGAGCAGATTCCTTGATTTGGATGCAGATTTCCTTTACCTGTACTCATTTCTTCCTCCTCTCCTCTCCTCACCTTGCCTCACCCCACTCAGCTCCCCTCCCCTCCCATCCCCTCTCGTCCTCTCCTCTCCCTTCCCCTCTTCTTTCATTGTTTGGCAACAGGGTCTTGCTCTGTCACCTAGGCTGGAGTGCAGCGGTGTAACACAGTTCACTGCAACCTCAGCCCCCTGGCCTCAAGCAATCCTCCTGCCTCAGCCTCCCAAGTAGCTGGGGCCGTAAACTCATGCCACCATGCTTGACTAATTTTTACATTTTTTATGTAGACAAGGTCTTGCTGTGTTGCCCAGGCTGGTCTTGAACTAGGTTCAAGTAATCATCGTGCCTTGGCCTCCCAAAGTGCTGAGATTACAAGCATGAGCCATCACGCCCTGCCTTGTACTTATTTCTTAGGTGGTTCTCTCTCCTCTTCCTGCCTCCTCTCCCTGGTCTGTCTATATATATGTATGTGTGTGTGTGTGTATATATGTATATATATACACATATATATACATATGTACATATATATGTGTATATATGTGTATATATACACATATATACATATGTACATATATACATATTTGTATACATATACACATATATATACACATATGTATATATACACATATGTGTATGTATATACGTACATACATACACATATATGTGTGTATATATACATATATGTATACATGTGTGTATATATGTGTATATATACATATATGTATACATGTGTGTATATATGTGTGTATATGCGTATATATACACACATATGTATATACACACACACGTATATCATGTATATACATATATACATGTGTATATACATATATACATGTGTGTATATATATATACACACACACACATAAAAATTGAGTGTTTGAGACAGGGTCTCACTATATTGCCCAGACTTCTCTTTTTTTTTTAAAAAAATTTCATTTTGTTTTTAATTGACAAATAATAACTGTATATATTCATGGGGTACAATGTAATGTTTTGATACATGTGTAGATTGTGCAATGATCAAATCAGGCAAATTAACATATCTGTGACCTCAAATATTTATTTTTTTAAGAACATTTAAAATTCTCTCTTAAATATTTTGAAATAATATTGTATTGCATTATTATTAACTACAGTCACCATGCTGTGCAATAGACCACCAAAGTTATTCTTCCTGTAAAAGTGAAACTTTATACCCTTTGACCAATGCCTCCCCCTTTCTCTGTCTGCTTCCCTCTGCCCCCAGCCTCTATTAACCACCATTCCACTCTCTACTTCTGGAAGTTTGACTTTTTTGAATTCCACATATAAGTGAGATCATACATTATTTGTCTCTTTGTGCCTGGCTTATTTCACTTAGCCTTTAGGTTCATCTGTGTTGTCACAAATGACAGAATTTCCTGCTTTTTAAAGACTAAATAGTATTTCCTTGTGCATGTGTATATATTACATTTTAAAAATCCATTTGTCTATTGGTGGATGCTTTGATTGCTTCCGTATCTTGGTTATTGTGAATAGTGCTACAGTGAACATGGGAGTGCAGACATCTCTTTGACATTTCAATTTCAATTCCTTTGGATGTACACCTAGAAGTGGGATTGCTGGATCATATGGGAATTCTATTTTTAGTATTTTTGAAGAAACTGCATACTGTTTCCAAAATGGCTAATTTACAATACTACCAACAGTGTATAAGAGTTCCCTTTTTTCATATACTTACTCATCAACACTTGATAGCTTTCATCTTTTTGATAATAGCCAATTTAATAGGTGTGAGGTGATAGATCATTGTGATTTTAATCTGCATTTTTCTGATGATATTGAGGATTTTTTCATATATCTGTTGGTCATTTGTATGTCTTCTTTGAGAAATGTCTATTCAGGTCCTTTGACCATTTTTGGATAGGGTTATTTGTTTTCTTGTTATTGAGTAGTTTGAGCACCTTGTAGTATATTTTGGGTATTAGCCCTTTATCCAATGTATGATTTGGCAAATACTTTCTCCTACTCTGTGGGTTGTTTCTTCACTCTGTCGTTTCCTTTACTTTGCAGAAGCTTTTTAGTTTGATGCAATCCCATTTGTCTATTTTGCTTTTGTTGTCTGTGCCTTTGGGGTCATATCTAAGAAATCACTGCCCGGACCAATGTCATGGAGCTGTTCCCCTATGTTTTCTTCTAATAGTTTTACAGTTTTAGGTCTTACATTTAAGTCTTTGATCTATTTTGAGTTAATTTTTTATAAGTGGTGAGATAAGGATCCAGTTTTATTTTTCTGCATGTGGATATCCAGTTTTATCAACACTTATTCCTTTCCCCATTGTCTGCTGTTCTTGGCATCTTTGTTGAAAATTAATTGACTATAAATTTGCTGGTTTATTTCTGAGCTATACATCCTATCGCATTGGTTGATGTACCTTCTTATATGAGTACCATGCTGTTTTGATTACTATAGCTTTGTAATATACTTTGAAATTTGGTAATATGATGCCTCCAGCTTTTTTCTTTTGGTACAAGATGCCTTTGACTATTCAGGATCTTTTGTGGTTCTATATGAATTTTAGGATTGTTTTTTCTATTTCTGTGAAGAATGACATTGACATTTTTGGCACAGATTACATTGAATCTGTAGATTGCTTTGGGTAGTATGTACGTCTTAACAATATTCTTCCAATTTATGAACACACGATATACTCCTATTTATTTGTGTCATCTTTAATTTTTTCCATTGAGGTTTAATAGTTTTCAGTATACAGACCTTTCACCTCCTTAGTTAAATGTACTCCTAAGTTTTGTTTGATGCTATTATAAATAGAATTTTCTTAATTTATTTTTCAGATAGTCTGTTATTAGTGTATAGAGATGTTACTAATTTTTGTAAGTTGATTTTGTATCCTGTAACTTTACTGAGTTCTTTTATCAGTTCTAATAGTTTTTTGGTGGTGTCTTTAGACTTTCTATATATAAGATCATGTCATCAGCAGAAAGAGACAATTTCACTTCTTCTTTTCCTGTTTGGAAGTCTTCTATTTCTTTCTCTTCCCTGATTGTTCTGGCTAGGACTTCCAGTACTATGCTGTCTTTTTGCTTTTGATGGTGGTGGTGATGATAGTGATTGTCATGATGGTGGTAGCTGTAATGAGGGTGGAGGTGGGATGGAGGAAGTTATAATAATAATGGTAGTTATAATGATATTGGTAATAGTGATAGTGGCAGGATGGTGGTTAATATTTTTTGAGTACTTTCTCAGTTCCAGACCTTGCTCTAAGCAGTTATATCTGATGTCTAGTCCTTCTGCTTTGGGCAGAAACCCAAGATTGTTCCTTCCTGGATTGTTCCTTTTTCTCACACATTCCGTAAGACTCTCAGCAAGCTTGGATCAGCTCTGCTTTCAAAACCCAGCTCTATCTTACCTGTGTGGACATGTCCTTTGCTATCACCATAGGTCCAACTACCTCCCTCTTTTACTTTCTTTCTGATAGTGACCTTCTCCCTGGCCTCCCTGCTTCCAGTCTGGCCTCTTATAATCCATTCACACCACAGGCAGTGTGATGTTCTAAAATTATATATCCCCCTTCTACTCAGAACCTTCTGAATGGCTTCCCTTCAAGCTGACAATAAAATCTAAGACCTTATGACCATGGTCTTTAGTCCCCAAATTCCCATTTTACCAGCCTCATGGCCTTCCACTCTCCCCATTGTGTGTTCTGCTGTTGTCAGATATGATCCTTGAGTACACCACATCTTCCAGTTGTGGCTCCTGCCGTTCACATCTTAGCATGGTGTGTTCCCTTGTTTCATTTAGGCTTTCCTCAAATTAGACTTCCTCAAAGAGGACTTCCCTGATCACCCTCTATTAAATAGCAGCCTGCCCTCCCTCATCCCTCACCTTCTATCTATCTCATTTACCCCATTAATAATTTCTTCACAGCACTTAACACTCAGCCATCATATTGTAAAGTTTAATAATATATTAGATCTAGCAGAAAATGTGTCCCTTCTAGAATAAAACTTTGTAAGGACGGGACCTCTCTGAATTATTCATCTTTGTATAATTTTGGTTTAGAACAGTGTCTGGCTCATATTATGGCCTTCCATCATAAGTCTTGGTGGAAAGAATTAACAAAATGGGAGCTTATATGATAAAAAATAACTCTAAGAGTTATAGTTTCCTTTTACAGATGAGGAAACTGAAGCTTAGAAAGATAAATTATGCCCTAGACTTCTGAGAACAAAGCTAAGCACTTCAATTTTTCTGAGAAGCTGATTGTATAGAATCTTGGGTTTATAACTCATTTGAACTTCTCATTCAGAGCTCCAACCCTGGCAGGCCTAACATAATGTTTGCCCAACTATTAAATATATAATCCTTGGCATTTGTTGTGTGCAAGGTATTTTAGATAATTAATTGATGAGGCATTTCTGTCTTATTATGTTTTTTGCTTCAGTAACAGAATAACAGAAGCTGGGTAATATATAATGAGCAGAAATTTATTGGCTCCCATTTCTGGAGCTGAGAAGTTCAAGATCAAGTAAGCAGTGCCTGGCAAAGGCCTTCTTTCTTTGTTATTCCATGATGGAGGGTGGAATGGCAGGAGAGTACTAAAGGAGAGAGACAGAGAAAGAAAGAGATAAAGGGGGCCAAACTCCCCCTTTTATAATGAACCCACTCCTACAATATTGGCATTAATTATTCACTTCACTATCATGGCCTAATCACCTCTCATTAGGCCCTATACCCCAACAGTATCGCATTGAGGATTAAGTTTCCAGTGCATATTTTTGGGGTGCATATTCAAATTATAGTAATTAGTATTCTTTATTTTTTATTTCTTGTAGAGATGAGGTCTAGAACTCCTGGCCTCAAGTGATCCTTCCACTTTGGTCTCCCACAGTGCTGGGATTACATGTGTGAGCCACTGTGTGCAGCACGGCAATTACTATTAAGTCACAGCGAATTTACTGGGATGATATATATATATTTGGCAATGGCATGTTTTAAGTTTTCATTGTATTTTTAACCACTTTGTTGAGATGTAATTCATGTCGTACAGTTTACCAATTTAAATTATATAATTCAATTTTTTTTAGTATATTCACACAGTTGTGCAACTGTCACTACAATTTTAGAATAATTTTATTACCGCTGAAAGAAACCTCCTAATACACAGTAGCAGCTGCTTTCCATTTCACCCTAACTCAAAGCACTGCCCTAGACAACTTCTAATCTACTTTCTGTCTACAGGTTTGCCTTTTCTGATCATTTCTTACAAGTGGAATCATATAATATGTGTTTTTTTTGTGTTTGATTACTTTTAGCAAAATATTTTCAGGATTCTTCTATGTTGTAGCATGTATCAGTACTCCATTCCTATTTATGGTTGAATAATACTCCATTGTATACATATACCACATTTTGTTTATTCACTCATCATTTGATGGACATTTAGATTGTTTTCACATTTTGGCTATTATGAGTAATGTTGTTATGAATATTTGTGTACATATTTTTATGTGGACATGTTTTCAATTCTCTTAGGAATAGACCTAGGGGTAGAATTGCTGGATCTGGCCAGACGCAGTGGCTCACACCTGTAATCCCAGCACTTTGGGAGGCCAAGGCAGGCAGATCACTTGAGGTCAGAAGTTCAAGATCAGCCTGGCAAACATGGTGAAAACCTATCTCTACCAAAAATACAAAAATTAGCCCGGCATGGTGGCACGTGCCTATAGTCCCAGCTACTCAGGAGGCTGAGACACAAGAATGGCTTGGACCCAGGATGTGGAGGTTGCTGTGAGCCAAGAGTGCACCACTGTACCCGAGCCTGGGCAACAGAGTGAGACTCTGGAAAAAAAAAAAAAAAGAAGAATTGCTAGACCATAAGATAATTCTATCCTTAAGACAGAGGAAGCACCAAACTGTTTTCCAAAGTTGCTGCACCATTTTATATTCTCACCAGCAATGTAACGAGGATTACAGTTTCTCCACATCCTTTTCAACACTTGTTATTATCTGTCTTTTTTTTTTTTTTACTGTATCCCTTTGAGTGTGTGTGCAAGTGAGTTCATTTTTGCATTCCCTTTTTTAACAGAGAAGGTGGGTCCTCAGATCTGTCAGCAGAGAGATTATAGGGTTTAAGGAGAATTTTGACTTTTATTGTATTTTTTTTTATAACAAGTCACTTTCCTGTTACTTTGCCATTTTAAGTTGAGGGCATTAACTTTTTTTAAACAGCTTCTTTGAGATATAATTTACATTCTACACAATTCAGTCATTTAAAGTGTATAATTCAATGCCTTTAATATATTCAGAGTTATATATCCCTCACGGCAATTCTCAAGTATTTTTGTTACTTCAAGAGGAAACCGTGTAACCTTTAACCGTCATCTCCCCCATCCCTCTCCCCCACAGCCCTAGGCAACCGCTAATCTAGTTTCTATCTATAGATTTGCCTGTTCTGGACATTTCATGTAGTTTTTGTAAATGGTCAGTGTCCATTTATAACAATATATATTGTTTTTTCTATGGGAATATAAAGTTTCCTTTTAAAATAAATGTATTATGCTGAGCACGGTGGCTCACCCCTGTAATCCCAGCACTTTGGGAGATGGAGGTAGCAGATCATGAGGTCAGGAGTTTGAGACTAGCCTGGCCAACATGGTGAAACCTCCTCTACTAAAAATATAAAAATTAGCTGGGTGTGGTGGCAGGTGCCTGTTATACCAGCTACTCTGGAGTCTGAGGCAGAAGAATTGGTTGAACCTGGGAGGCGGAGGTTGCAGTGAGCCGAGATAGTGCTACAGCACTCCACCCTGGGTGACAAAGCAAGACTCCGTCTTGAAAAAAAATAAAATAAATGTATTACAATAAAAATTTAATAAGCTTAAACAATAGTAAATACAAATAACAAAGGTGATGTGTATAGACAAGGTTGAAATTGCTACAGTGATTGGTGGTGGGCTACAAGCAGAAGAGATAGCCTCATGGTTGAATGCAAATGGCCAGGATTTGAGAAATGGTAGTTGATAGATCTTGGTCTAGACTGGTCAAGGAAAAGACTTCATCTTCAGACTAGAATGGAGGGAGCCTTGAGTGCCTACTAGGCCCACACATCCTCATTGCCAAAGAACATCTGCCTCTCGGGAGCTGTGTGACCTTATATACATCAGTGTCTCCATTTGCCGATCTAGCCAAATGGGTATGGGTAATAGCAAGATCTACTTCATAGAGCTGTCATAAGGAATAGGTGATTAACATGTGAAGAGCATTTAGCATACTGCCTGACACAAACCAAGTGCTCGCTGAGTGTTAGCTGCTAGCCAATTTCAATCACAGCCAAGGGGAAGCTCTGATCCCTCCCCATGTTCCATCCCATCCCAATTTGATCTCGCAGTCCTGTCTTCTCTCTGCCCATGCTGCTCACCTTTCCAAACAGAGAGTTCTGCTAGAAAAGTACCCCCTTCTGAGAGTGAGGAAAAGCTTTCTTCAGTGGAGAGTATTTGAGTAGCTGCATTGTCCTGCTGAAACATGCCGGCCAGCTTTCAAGCCAGAAACACATTGCCCTTAACCAAGTTTACAAAACCACAGGTTACCTCTTTATGTTTTGGCAAACTGCATCAAATCAAACCCTGAAAGCCAAATTCCATGGGGGAAGAGCGCCTTCGTTATCAGTTTACCAAGGAACCCTTGGACAAGTACACATGTCCTTGTACCCCAGCGTTTGGAACACATCAGTAGACCAGACGCATGATAAATATTTTTTACAAAACCATTCTACAAGCAAGTCGGGATTTAAAAAATGCATTTGTAAAGTGTTTTTCTTCAGTTGGATCAACCATATGTTAAAGTAAGCTTCACCGATGGCAACAGTTTTCATCTGAGGCTTATTTTAGCTTAATAAAAGAGTGTGTGGGTGGTAAGCAGAACCTTGTGCAGAGCTGCTAGAAAATCGCGACTAATGGCTTTTGCCTTTCTGCCTTGTTGATCTAAGATGGCTTGATTTTTGCCTGGGTTGTGGATGGGTGAAGCCAAGTCACCATTTCTGCAGGACTTAAGCTAGGCTCTGGAGAAGCACTCCTTTGGGCACGTGCAGAATGCCCTTGGATATCGGTCCGTCTAATTGCATGTAATTGCTACATTGGCCTCTTCTCTGTTTCTGGAACATCAAGGTTGTTCCAGCCTCAGAGCCCTTGCACTTGCTGACTCTCTTGCCCAGCTGACCATTCCCCTGGCCCTTCACATGGCAGGTGTTTTTAAACCTTCAGGTCTTCTGCTCATACCTCTACCCCACCTCAAGTGCTCTGCCATCTCACTGTTTCCTTTATTACACTTGCCCCCCACCTGAAATTACCTTGCTCATTTGTTTGTTTCCATGTCTGTTGTCCATCTCCCTCTTAGAATGGAAGCTCCATGAAGTCAAAGTCTTCATCTGTCTGATGTGAGGTCATATGGGCAGCACTCAGCTCAGTACCTAGTACACAGTAGGCACTCCTTAAACATCTGCTGAATTTCAATGTATAACTTGGACTTCAAATACAAAGTTTCATAAGTAATGAGATAGGACATGAAGCTTTAAAATAAGTCTTGAGCTAGAAAGGCTGCTTAAATACTTTAAACGCCTGTGTGCTGAACTTTTCAGTGTTTCCTCTTCCCTAGCTCTCCCCTTGATACAACTTGACACCATAAAAAGTCAGGCAGGGAGGGTGACAGTGACTATTGATGAAAGCAATTAGAACAGGCTTAAAGGCTATTAAAGGGTCTGGCTTTCATGCTAAAATATAGAAAGGCATATTTCACCTTGGGCAAAATGCAGATGAGGCGATGGACCGTGTTGTCATCTTTTCAGCTAGTTAGTAGATATTTCAAGGGAGCCATTAAAATGGTTATAATGAAAATTTTATAGTGCCTCAAATGACAGGCATTTAAAGGGAAGAATGTTCTTTGGGGGCATGATTGTCATGAGATCTGTGGTGTTCCATTTCTAGTTTCCCCATATCATTAGAGATGGAGATAAGGAAGTAAACTAATAAATATACATATTATTAATTGCTTATTTTAATAAATGCCATGGAGGGAAAGTACAGCTAAACTATGGTTTCTAGAAGAGAACTAATTATTGGAGAAGACCCACTTTAGGTTAAGTGATCAAAATAAATGAATGAATTCCTTGGAGAAAGTCAGTATGGTTTCCTGTATTTTGGCCTGACAACTAGCTGTTACACCAGATTTCTTCTTCTCCATTGTTGGCACAGGGCAGAGGGGAGAGCACTGATTCTTTAAGCACTGAGTTAATTTCTCTCCTTTTCATACTTGCAGTGGAAGCTCATTTCTCTCTATGCTTGTTTTCCTCTCCCTCCCTGCCACCCTCCCCAGCTGATAGGAATGAGCTTTTATGAGGTCCAAAGCCACACCAGAGACTTGGGTCTGCTGGACAGCCAGCTGCTGGGGCCCGTTAATGAGAAACCACATTCTGTTGCGAAGGAGTGAGGACAGTGGTGGCTTCTGGGCCATGTGCTTGGCAGGGCACAAGCTTACATGCGGTGTTTCAGATGCCTCCAGAGCAGATCCTAGTGCTGTTTGGAATCGCACAGATGTTTTGGCAAGTGGCTATCCCTTCTCCCATCTCATTCACCCCACCCAGCTGGGGCTGTCTTACTGTTCAGATGTTGGAGAGCAACCTGTGCACATATGTTCTGGCAGTGTTGTCCGAAAGAACATTGTGTGCATATTTGTTTACTGATATCCATTTGTTTCCTTAAACCTGCTTCTGTTTAAAAGTTATCGATTTATTGGAGGGCTGTGAGTCAGCATCTGGGTTAAGCACTTAATGTGTGTTGGCTCACGTCAGCCTCACAACAGTGCTATGAGAAAAGCATGATTTTGAGACCTGACTCCTTTTTCAAACGGGGAGATTGATGGCTGAAGGGGATTATTTTACCCAGTGTCACATCGATAGGAAGTAGCTGAGTCCAGACCTGCACAGCACAGCCCTTTCTCTTAACCACAGTGTTCTCTCTTCCCTGATCAGCATCACATTTTCATTGTAAATAACTAGAAACTAGGGACGGGGAAAAGAAATTTAAAAATATACCTGTAGATTTCTCATAATTCTACTACCTACCACCTACCCACTCATAATTCTAACCACTGGTAAATTTTTGGTTTCTAAAGTCTGCGTGGGTGTGTATATTTATATGTGTATATACATGCATATCTGCTTATGTAAAATATCTAATTCATTTACCTCTGTATAAACATGTTATTATAACTGGCCACTTTTTAAATAAATAGCAAATAGTAACTCCTAAGATAAATATGTATCCACATTGCTGTTTCAATAACAGCCTAATACTCTATGCATGATTTACTGTGATTTATTTCACCACATCCCTTGTACTGGACACTCACTCTTTCTTTCCTCCAAGATGACAGGAATAAGCATCCTGTGGTACCCTTGTTTACTATTTGAAACAACTGCAATGGGTGGCTTTTTACATGTGACTTTTTTGAACTTGTCTTGTTACTTCTGTAGGCTAATTCCTAGCATAGTATCGACCACTTACCACAAAAAAGATTTCAGAATAATTACGTGGCCACAGACAATCATACCTTAGAAGAATACAGTTGTGATTAGCATTTAACCTGGCTCTCTGCTTCCAGGATTAGTAAATGCTGGTTGGCTGGCTGCTTCTAAGGAGCCATCAGGGTAGAAAAAGTCTGAAGCGTGGTGTTATGTGACATGGTGGGTTCAACAATAGAAATATACTCAATATGTGGGACAGAGAGAAGTTGCAACTACTTAAGTCCATGTAAGCATCAGGTGCTCCTATGGAGTTAGCCAGGTGAAGAGGTGATAAGCAGTTTATGCTTATTATGAGGTGTCCTAAGCACAAAGTGGCCAAAGATGGGGCTAGAGAATGTCAGAGCAATAGCTGAACAGAGAAGGCCCGCCTGATGTATATTATTGAGAGTAATAAGACCTACCTCTGGATTTGATACCACAGGTGATGAGGGGATCTGGACAGGCTCTGAGTGAAGGATGATTTGTATTTTAGAAGATCCCTTCTGACCAGAGGATGGAGGATGGTTGGATGGGAGAAAATGTTGGGGACAGAGACACGTTGGAAGGAGGGTGCAGTTGTCCAGGTGTGAGATGATGGAGGTCTAAACACATGCAGTGGTCAAATAGATAGAATGGAAGGGCTGGATGGAAGGATGTTTAAATTTGGAGTTTCAACCTAGATATGGAGCCAAGCTTACAGGAGTACACCTCTAAAACTCCATCTAAAATTATGCATATATACAAGATATTATTCCAAGTTTTTACAATGGTAAGACTTGGATGCTGGGCATAAACAACCTATAGGATTGTACCTGTTTGTTACAGCCAGAATAAGATTTTCAAAAGGATCTGCATACATGAGTGATCTTTCTGGAATGATAACAGTCCTTTAAAACTGAATTACGGTGATGGCTGCACAACTCAGTCAACGTACTAAAATCACCAATTTATGCGCTTAAAATGGGTGAATTTTGCATGTCCCCATAGTCCGAAGATTAAAAGCCACTAAATTACATGTGTTGAATAAAGGTATGATGGTTAATGTGTCAGCTCAGCTAAGCTATGGTATCCCGTGGTTTTAGTTGTCAAAGACTGGTCTAGGTGTAGCTGTGAAGGAATTTTTTAGATATGATTGACATTTACAGTCAGTTCACTTTAAGTAATGCCTATTACCTTCTATAATGTGGGTGTGCCTCATCCAATCAGTTGGAGGCTTTAAGAGGAAAGACTGAGGTTCCTTGAGAAAGAAGGAATTGCCTCCACACTACAACCTGGAATCCCTGCCTGAGTTTCCAGGATGCTGGCCTGCCCTACAGATTTCAGACTTGCCAGCCCTGACATGAGCCAATTCCTTAAAATCAGTCTTTCTCTCTCTCTCTCTCTCTGTGTGTGTATGTTAACATAATATATATAAAATATAATATATATTTTATGAATTTTTATATATTATACATATATAATATTTATATATCATATTGGTTCTGTTTCCCTGGAGAACAGTAACTGATACATAAAGTGGATTGAAATATTTTGGTTGTTTCGTTAAGGTCCTCAAAACTATAGGAAACATATTCCAACCTACAGTTCCCAGGTGTGTCATATGTAGCCATTTGCACGTTGGGCAGCCCCTGTCTGGGCCTGGTTATTGAGGTGAGTTTGGCAGAAACTTTGAGGTTCTGGATCTGCTCCATGCCAATGTAGAGTTTCAGCTCCAATGTACTGTGGGAAGGTGGGCAGGCTATGTAACCTGACGTTCATAGGGACAGAGTCTTGCTATGTTGCCAGGCTTATGGAAAGCAGGCGGAAGGCAGGCCAGCACGCAGACTACTTGTTGTGTGGCAAAGTACCCAACTGAATCACAGGGGAAGACAGTTTCCATGTGACTGTGGCTCTCAAAAACCTAGCCACCCTCCTTGGCCTTCTGTCTGAGTGTGTGCTTTGAAAGAACACAACCCAGTGGTGGTCAGCTATGCACTAAATTTTATTAAGGGCTAGCCAGAAACCACATGAAAATGACAGCCAGTCCTCAGATGAGCTCTTGTTCTTGTCCAAGCTGCTGTCCATGACTCACTTTGTGTCCATTTTACAGCTTTGCCCTGGAGAAGCTAATGGTTCCTTTCTCCTGGTTCAGTTTTTGCTATGGCTTTGAGGAATGGTCCCCTGCCCTGGCTGAGGGATGGCAGGAAGAAAATCTAAGCAGTCATTTCTGGACAAAACTCTTAGAAGGGTGGAGACTTATTATATAGGACAGACTAGGATCTAAGTCCACATTGGATTTGAAAGATTCAGTCTTTATTGAATGCCTACTCTGTGCCAGTAATTGTGCTGGTTTTGGGGGTCTGCTGGTCCATACTTTTGATGTACTTGCTGTCTTGCTACCAGAAGGAACAAAGGAAGAAATCATATCTTTAATATCAAAATTGGCCCCAGGTTTTATTTTATTTTATTTATTTTAGAGACAAGGTCTCAAGCTGTGCTCAGGCTAGAGTGCAGAGATGATAGCTCACTGTAACCTCTAATGCCTGGGCTTAGATGATCCTCCTGCCTCAGCCTTCTAAGTAGCTAGGACCACAGGCACACCACTACACCCAGCTAATTTTGTAAAAAAAATTTTTGTAAAGACAAGGTCTTGTTATGTTGCTCAGGCTTGTCTTGAACTCTTGGCTTCAAGTGATTCTCCCACCTTGGCCACCCAAAGAGCTGGGATTACAGTCATGAACCACCATGCCGAGCCCCCAGTTTCCATTTTAAAACAAAGAAAGGAAACGGATTTTAACCACCTATCTGATTAACCTATAAAGAATTACCCAGCAATGGTGTCTGAGAAAGTCTTGGATAGAGACCCCGCTGGGTTCTACATGGTGTTTAGTACTATCCAGATTCTAGGAATATTTGTGGAAGGTCACAAAATGGTTTACTGGAAAGATAATGTTGAATTGTATGTAGTCTCTGGTATTTCCTGGCTCTTTGGCCTTTTCCAAGTCCTTGCTCTTTTTGATTCCTTATTCCCTCATCTATAAAATCCTTTTCCTCACAGTATTTTGGCAAGGAACTGATGCATTTATGGCCATAAAAAGAACTTGCATGGAGGTACTGTGTGCTGAACACCAAGAGCCATGTTTTAATAGTTCAAGAAATGCTCCCTGAACTTAGTAAAATTACATTGCAATGAAGGCAGTGCATTTTGGTCGGTGTGTGTATTTGGTGCATATATGTCAGAAACCGGTGTGTTTAAGAGAGGTGTTGTGATCAAAGAAGCACATTTGGCAACTGAAGGTAACTGCAAGATAACATCCATCCTTTCTTGCTCTTCTCAAACATAATGAAGGGATACTCAGAAACAGTTCTTTACAAACCCTATTTTCTCCACCTATCCGCTTCCCCCTCCCATTGTTGGTTCCTGTCTATCTTTCTCTTTCAAGTGCCTCAGAAAACACTATTCCTTCAGCACTAGCCCTCACATCTCTCCAGTTTCTCCTGCTTCATTCTCACTTTCTCTCCATTCAGCTTTTCAGAGATCTAAACAAAGTCCTCTGGAAAATGCAGCTCCTGCTCAGTCCTCAGACTTCATCGTCAGAATACAGGGAGGGTATAAGGTGGAGATGAAGACACTAGCAGGGCAAATCCAGGACTTGCATCCATAGGGTGAGGAAGGGTGGGAACATTTGTGTATCAATATTTGTCTCATCACATGGTCACCTGTACCTAATGCTGCAGTATGACCTTACAAGATGCTATGGGATTTCATAGTAATGGCCACCAACTCCATCTGGAGAAGTCCTGGGAAACCTCCCACTGGAGGTCTTAGGCTTGGAACTTGGAGTTGAGAGCCAGTGCATTAGCATGACAGCATGAAGCAGTGCACTGTGAATTAGGGAAAAGAAAGACATCCTGGGTGACTGGAATGTCAGAGACTTGGGAAGTAAAAGATAAGTGAGGCTAGACAGGGTTTTGGGGGGCTGAATATGGTATGAGCTAGCTCAACCCAGAAAATCTCTATTCCCTTGTTTCAGATGGCTCCTTAAACCTGCTAGTTGCAAATGATACTTACCTCCTATGACCCTAAGGTGAGGGGTGTGAGATGATGTGGGTCACCCTGGGCAGCCAGGCCTGACCCCACAAAAACTACAGATGTATGCTGGTAGCACCTTCCGTTTTCACAGAAGGTAGTGTTTAATGTTTATTTTCCTGGTTTCACAGTCAGATCACTTTAGGTCACAAGGGACAGAAACCAAACTTAAAGTGACTGATGCAAAAAAGAATATCAGCTCATTTAACTGAGCAGTCAGTGACTGGGGAGGTGGGGTGGGTGTAGCACTGGCTTTAGGCCTGCACACAGGTGGTATGATGATTTCAGTAGAGTTCTCCCCACCCATGAGGTTCTCTCTCCTCTCTCTCCTGCTGTCCCTGGTCTTACCTTCTCTTGGGATAGGCCCCCTTCTTGTGCTTGCAGGAGGGCCCTCAGCAGCCATAAGCTTACATTCTGTTAACATAGTACCCCAGGAAAAGAGAGATTTCCATTTCCAGACACTCCTGCATGCCTCATGAGATTTCCTTGCTCTGAGGTGAGGCACATACCCATCCCTGAACTTTCTAACCATAGGAGGATGGATGGACTATGCTGATCGGCCAATTCTGGCTCAATTTGTACTGCTGTGGGAGCTACCCACAGAGACTGGGAGCAAGAGGCAGGCGGACACCCAGAGGAAAACCTAGGTACTATTACCAGAAGAGTGAATGGATCTTGAAGAGATTTAAACAACAGATGGCCCTAACATACAGCTTCCTTTTCATCTCATATTATCATACGGATGAGCAGTGAGAAAAACGACCCCACTAGAGATCATGAATGTCACAATCATTAGGGCTTTTTATGGAGGGGAGGGGAGAGGTAGAATGACTGCAAGGAAGTAAGTACAGCAGGAAAAGATTTGCAAAGCAGCCCAGCCACTTATTGTGTTTTTTTTTTTTTTTTTTTTTTTTAGTATCTTCTTTGCTGAGGAGTCTTAAGCAAGAAGAGAACTTGATTGCATCTAACTGCTTGTAAAAGTGTTCAAAAGACATTTCATCACACAATTTAGATGGGTAAACACCTGGGAGGTGAACACTATGCATCCAAAGTGACAAACAGGGTGGGAAAGCCTTTCTTCATATTGCAGTTATTTAGGCTTTAGCCATTGCAGCCTGTGTTCATTGCTTAAACTAGAAGGAGTTGTGTTAACTCAGGACAGATGGTGCTTAATACTGACCACACATGAAGACTGGTGGCCCCAGGCTCCAAGGTCAGACAGAAGGCAAGACAGATTTGCTTCCATATGGGATGGGTACCATTAGATGCTAGGATGCTGTAGCTTAGGAGTGAAATTACGGTATTATTTTGGCTACGTGGATATTATTGTTAATCTTGGTAATTTTAACAACCTTGTCATAGCAGGGCTCTCCCATTTACCTAATGCTTTCAGACACCTCTGTTCACTTTATCCTCACAATAGTCGTGTGCAATAAAGTTTGTTTATGTCCATTTCCATAGATACTGAGTGACTGACTCAAGATCTCAAAGCTTTATTGTGTTCGGGCCAACACTTGAGGGTTTGTATCCATGGCTTTGACTCAAAATCCAGGATTGTTTCTACCATTCCGTAATCACTTGCCCAATAGCCCTCCTCAGTTATTAAAGTGATGCATTTCTTTATGTGTCAGGCTCCATAATTAGACTGTCCACATTCAAGGCTTGGCTCACCTTTCTATCCATAGGAGACTTAGTAATCTTCCCCAGCCATCCTTGACCCCATCCTTTTATCTCCAATGCACATACACCCAATGATTCAATGCAGGAGGGAAGAAAATATTAAATATTTTATTCACATTTATTTTTAGATAACTAAACTTCAGTAATCTGTAAATACTTTTATTTTGAAATAATTCTCAGAAAGTTGCAAAGGTAATACTGAGAGCTCCTACATACCCTTCTCCCTGCTTCCCCTAGGGTTAATATATTACAAAATCATTGTACAATATCAAAACTAGGAAATTAACATTAATGCAGTGCTATTAGCAAAACTATAGACCTTATTCAAAATTCAGCAGCTTTTCCATGCATGTTGTTTTTTCCTGATCCTGGATCCTAGCCAGGATCTCACATTGCATTTAGTTGTCCTGTCTCCTCTAGTCTCGTCCTCCAGTCTGCCACAGTTCCTGTCATTGTCTTTCCTAGAGTGTCCTTCCATCTGAGTTTTCTGATATGTTTGCTTGATTAAACTGAGGTGGGCTTTTTTTTTTGTTTGTTTGAGACAGGGTCTGCCTCTGTCACCCAGGCTGGAGTGCAGTGGTGCGATCTTGGCTCACTGTAACCTCCGCCTCCTTGGTTCAAGCGATTCTCCTACCTCAGCCTCCCAAATGGCTGGGATTACATACATGTGTCACCACACATGGCTAATTATTGTATTTCTAGTAGAGATGGGGTTTCACCCTGTTGGCCAGGCTGGTCTCAAACTCCTGACCTCAAATGATCCACCCGCCTCAGCCTCTCAAAGTGCTGGGATTACAGGCATGAGCCACCATGCCTGACCTGAGGTTGGCTTTTTTGACAAGACCACAGAAGCGATGCTGTGCCCTTCTCAGTGCAGCATGTTGGGGGTAGGCGATATGGTGACATTACTGGTTATGCTTACTTTGATCACTCATTTAAGGTACTGTCTACTAGGCTCCTCCACTGCAAAACTCTTTTTCTCTTTGTAATAAGTATCTTGTGGGGAGACACTTTTAAGACTTTGCAAGTATCATGTTTCTCATCATACTTCTGCCCACCCAATTTAGCCTCCATTAATGATTTTTGCTTGCAACACCTATTACTGTGCTGTTTGCTTAATGACCTTGACTATTTTAATACATAAATTCTCTTTAGTGCTTTTACTTAGATGTCATGTTACATGGTCATATGCCAAATATATTTTTCCATTTTCTTTTCCTGTTTCTCTTCACACATGTACACATTTCTTACCCATTTACAATAATAGTTCGTGGACAAGTTTATAAATACGTTGCTCCTTTAAAAAAAAACACACACACAAAAATTTTTCGGGAAGCCTATCACTGACTTATAGAATTGACAGGCGGCTGTTTCCTCAGGCCACTGAGCTCCTGAGTGCTGTGTTTCCATTCTGTTTCATGAGCAGCTTCCTGAGGCGTCTTGCTCAGTGGGCAAATCAGCATGGCGGGGGCCAGCGTCTGGCAGCACCAGTCTCCATGCATCTTGGGAAGCAGATTACGGGAAGTGATGGATGCTGAGATCGGTTTTGACAGATCTCTAATTTTCTCTCTAATTGAAAGCTGTTGTTGGAGGTGGTTCTCAGTGGTGCCTCTTGTGGGAATTGAGTTTCCGTCACCTTCTGAGCCCTTGCAGCTTTCTTCTCCTGCTGGCCTCTGTGGACTCTGGGTACTAAGGGATGAGAAGGATGCCAGGGCAGAGGAGGAGCAGTCCAGCAATAATTGTATTCTAACCTGGGGAGGAAGAACCAAGTGTCTCTTCCGTAGATGGGAGTGGATTATCTGGCATTAAAGTTCACTTGTTAGTGCTAGGTTAGCAGTAAAAAGATGAAGTTTAAAAAAAAATTAAAGATTAAAAGGTGGGAGCAGAACCTATTCTCTTTTTCATAAATGATGGTTGTTTGCTTTCAAAGTGCCTTCCAGATAGGCAAAGAACATGAACAGAAAGAAAATGTAGAGAAGCGGAATCCACATGTAGATAGGGATATGAAAAGTTCAGCTCTTGAGCAGTAAGTGCAGTGCAGATTCAAGAAAGAGTGAGGTGCCGTTTTACCTGTTAAGTCAGCAAAGGCTTTTGCGGGGAGGGAGATTTGTTTGTTTTTTATTTGGTAACCACAATGCCCGGTGCTGATGAGGTACAGGCAGTAGACAGTTTCATACATTTGATGTTGAGTGTATATATTGGTTCAAAATTTCTGGCAAGGCATTATCAAAAACCTGAAAAATATTCATGCCCTTTGACTCCACATTGTCATTTCCAGGAATTCTTGATAAGGAAATAATCCAAAAAGAGGAAAAAGAAAAAAAAGAAAAAAAAACTGTATCACTTAGGTATTTATAGCAATGCTATTTTTTCATAATTATGAATTGGAAATAACAAAAATATTTAGCAGTGAGGTTATGAAATGGTCTAGCAATAGGGGACTGGAGTATTAATCAAAATAATTTAGCGATTAACAATGATGTTTACAAAGAGTTTTATGAAATGGGGAAAGCTTATGATATATTGATAAATGAAAATTGTATATTTGTTCCTATTATTTTAAAAACATTTAAAAAATACAGGAAGAAAATATGCCAAAATTCTAATGATGGTTGTGTCTGGGTGGTGGAAACTCTCCCCACCCCCACCTTTTTTTAAAATTTCTTGCATACTTAGTTTGTTTAACTCTGCTCTATTCAGCAGTTTTTCAAAAATTAATATTGATTAAATGCCAATGATGTATCAGCATTGATTTATTGTAGCTCTATTTGTGTTAGAAGTATTTTAGTTTTTATATGTTCATTGATTGATTACAGCACTGAGAGTTGCTTTCTCATGACTGCTCAGTGGAGTGTCTTTCAGCTGATGAGGACTAACGTGTCCTTGTTTTGAATGAAACTCTGGGTTTCTCTATCGACTTAGCTGGTAGCAACCATCCCCAGCAGCCTGGACAAAAGTGCACCAGCAGGAGATCCACCTGCATGGGTCCCTGTAGGTGGCCTCACTGTCAGGGTGGGGCTCGGGGATCTGATGGCTGCAGGGCTTCAATGACACAATTGCAATGTGAAAGTTTAAGAGGTTTTATTACTTACAGACCCTGGTGGCACACAGCAAGCCTGGAGGCCGCCACACACAGGGAGTTCAGGGAGCCCAGGCAGGGAGACAGAAGACAATGTGGCAACCATCTATACATATTTGGGAATAGATGTGGGTCACTTTAAGTTCACAGGCACATGCCTAAATGGTTCATGTAAGGGAAATTGCAGGGAAAGCTGGAAGCCCAGTCTGCTAGGTGGGCTAAGTTCTTATCTCTGCTAAGTTCTTACCTCTGGCTCCTGGCTTGAGCCATTTGGGTGTGGTATAGAACTGGAAACTGTCAAAAGTGACACTGAGCTCTGTCTCTGGCATGAGAGAGTTAAACTTATATTTAGAATGGATGCCAAGGCAACATAAAATTATAAGCATTCAGCACAGCCCTTCTATGCTTTCCACAGTACGAATATGCTGTCAGTCTGTGACTTCTCCATCCTTCTCCCCTGCCATTACTGCATGGTCTCATGACACTATGGCCCTGTGATATCAGGAAAGGGCCGCAAAAAATGGTGCTAAAGGTGCCGTGAAGATGCCAAGGAAATCTATAAACAATAGATGTAAAAAATGCAAAATTCACAGGAAACTGCTCTTTAGGAAGTGGCCAGGAAAACAGCATGAAAATCAACTGGTGATAGGGCTGTGGTGATAGGGCTGTGGTGCAAGTCACCTAGCATCCTGCGGGCACCACAAACATCACAGCTGGAAGAATTAACTAACCATTGTGTAGAAAAGTAAGTGGAGGGTATGAGAAAATATAGCTAGAGAAATGACATGGCTTTGAGGGCTTAGAATACACAGAGGAGGGTTGCCAGCGTGCTGATGCAGAACTTTATCTCCATAAGTCCTGGGCTATAAGGATCCCGTATAAGTGGCTTAGTTAGCCCTTCTATTTCTAGGAATTCATTTTCCAAACATGGTGAGTATACACACACACACACACACACACACACACACACACACACCCCAAATTTGCTAAAACTGGCTATGCACATGAGTTTTATATTGGGGAGTGAGGTCACATATTTTTAAAACAAGGGAAGAACAGAGGAAGGAAGGATGGAAAAGAAGGAGAGAGAGAGGGCAGGAGACAAGGAGAAAGAGAGAAAGAAGGGGTTGGGGGGAAAGAGAGAGGAAGAGAGGGAAGAAAATGGACAGACAAAAACAAGAAAGTGCTTTTCCAGTGAACTGTCAATGTCACACCCTGGTTTCAGGTGGTTGTTTTGGATCTGCTGGACAAGTATGGTTTGGAAACTGAAAGTTAGGTGAGTTCATGATTTTGTAGATTGTAGATGTCACCTGGCTGGGACCTGGGGAAATCACTGTCACATGAAAAGAGCTTGTTTCTGTAAATGTGCATTTGGGATGTGGGCCTTGTTCTAACCTTGGGTGACCCTCAGCTGCTTTGGCCTCAGTTTTCTCATCTATAATGTAAAGGGTTTGGAAAGTGATCTTCAAGCTTCTTCCAGTGATTTTGTGGCCCAATATGAGTTATCTGGAGATCTTCTCAACTTTGCAAGAGAAGGAAACAAGCCTTATTCTGCCAGTAGCCCTGGAGTTAACATGTTTCTTCTGGTATAAGTAAGACTTCCATGAACTGTGGTTGGGTGCCTGAATAAGCAGAGTCACCTCAAGATGATCTTTTTTTAGATATTTGCAAGAGGTTTTAATAGCTCCACAAATAGTTGGAGGTCAAAATAAGGATATTTACAACATGGACTATGGTAAATTAAATGTCATGCCTTGTCAACATTCATCCTCTCAGAGGTCCTGTGAGGTAGGTATATCATTATACCCATATTATGGAGCTCTAAAGAGGTGAAGAAGTCTTGGAAAGTCACATCACTAGTAAGTGTTAGAGCCAAGAGTAGAGTCCAGCTCTAGTGTACTCTAAGATCTGTGTATTGAATCGTCATCTGTATTCTTTCTCTCTACTGTTTTCCTACCAGAATCAATGGAATTCACAAAATACCTAAGCCTTGGTTAACTCAAACAATGGTACCAAAATGGCGGTTACAGACAACAATACTCCTGCAAATGTGTTTGTTTGACCCATAGAAATTTTCTTAAAGAATGGAGTCAGTTGCTAATGTTTAGAAATTGGCAGTTTCACATTGGGACCACAGCACTGCAAGGCTGGTTGGAGCTCAGTAGCTGTTGCCCCCTTCAGGAACATTTGCCTCTGACTTGCCTCCCTTATTAATGTTAGTTCTCAGTTTGAAAGAAAAATTCAACCTTTTGGATAGTGAGAAAAATGGTACAGTCAGTTCCTGAATGATTACAATGCAACCACAGTGACAATAGAATTGAAGGTGCTACACATGTAAATAACTCCTCCTTTCCCCTATTCCCCCTTTAAAAGTAACTGAATACCATGTCTGAAAATAAAAAATGTGCAAAACTTTATCAGGTACACACTGTGCAAAAGTATTCTCATATTTGCAAAAGGCTTTACCAGAATATCCTTAAAATGATGAGCTCATTTAAGTTATTATTCTTTTATAAAAACTTTGAATTTAGTGCAATTTCTTAGAACCTCTGATATGCAGACTGTGGTCCCCCTGTATTTAAATAGTTTCTATTTCTCAAGGGACCATGACTAGTATGGCAATGCTGGGGAGGGTGTAGTGGTAGCAGTGTATGTAGGTGTTAGAATTGCTTAATATTTTTAGGGCCTGAGAAGCCTCAGTTCAAACCCTGGCTCTTACATGTACTAGCTGTGCATTTTTGGGATACCTGCACAACTTCTCTGGGCCTCAGTTTTTTGTTTTGCTTTTGTTTTTGGTAAAATGGAGTTGTGTGAGTAGGAAAGTATATTTGAGTAGAAAAGTACATATATACATATATGTACTCATTAATATATGTGTTTATATAATGATTATCTGTGTTACTTTAACATGCTGCCTGGCACGTTGAAATAACACACCTTATTATAGCTATTGTTTTTCTCTTTATGGGATTCCCCAAGAAACCCTTTTTGAAATTTCTCTCAATCCTGACCTGACCACCTCCTAATATTTCTTGAAAATCTTTTGAACATTTGAGAAAATAGTGCTCTACGGTAGGTGACTTTTCCCTTCTATTGAAAGTAAGAGCAGGAGTAACTGCCTGTGCTTAGAAAGAAGGAATTACTTGTGAGCAATATCATAGTGATGGCATTTGGAAATAAGGCCAGTGACCCCAGTGAACTGGCTTCGGGCTGAAATCCTGTGCAGAGCCTGGGATAGCAGTAGGCCCAGTTCAGCTCTGGCTGCTCTGAGTGAGAGCCCCTCCCCTCCACCTTCAAAAGGGTTCACTTCCTTCTAAGTCATCATCCTGTTAACTCTGTACATCCCACTTCTGTGCAGGAGATTGGTGTCCAGTGTTGTTACTTGGAAGTAGGAGGTTAAACAGTGGAACCCCGTTCTGTCCCTTCTCTTGTGACTTTCATATCTTTTACTCTGCAATCCTTTGAGTGTTCTCTGTCACTCTTACTATTTCCTTCCTCTTTGTGCCCTGGGCTGCTGGAAAGAAGGCACTCAGCAAGAGAAAGTAGCAGAACGAATTCTCTTTTTGTGCGTCACGATAAGGTCTTGAGGACCTTATTTCTTACCCCACTGTGCCACACACTGGTTATCTTTTTCCAATATCCTTTCTTCCTATCTTGTTTTATGCTGAAATTTAGGAGGGCACAGGATAAAGACTGCATTTCCCAGCCTCCCTTGTAACTAGGCAGGCTTCGTCCGTCAGTTCTCAAGGGTGGATAACTGAAGTTACTGGCTCCTGCACTCAGAAGGAGAAGCAAGTCCCCCCCGCCTCCTTTCTCTCCCTTTTCCCAGCAGCTGGAATGTGGCTATGGTGCTAGGGAGCCACCATTGACCTGTCGATGATGGTAACACTGTACTGGTGTGGTGCACTCGGGATGAAGGAGGCTGGGTTCCTGAAACTGTGCAATTTCCAAATCAGCCCTGGTCTGCATATACTCAGCTGGTACACAGGAAAGAAATTAGCTTTCTCTTCCTTAAGCCACTGTTACTTTTGTCTTTGTGATGACTAAAGATCTTGAAACTTAGACACACACAAAGGTAATGCCAACCCTTTGTGATTAAGGGTTTTATTTGGATCTATAACTCATGTGGCCAGACGTTGCTGCTGATATATCATGGGAGCTTTTGGCCATGTGTGGCTTGATTCCTAAGGCACTGTAAAAAGACAGAATTTGGAATTAGAGAAAATTGGATTCAAGTTTTGGCTCTGCTACTTATGAGCTGTGTGACCTTGAGCAAATTAATGAACATTTCCGAGCCTCAGTTTTCCCATCAGTAAAATGGAATAGTAATGCCTAACTCACAGAGTTGTGAGCATTTTTGTAAAGCACTTAGCCAGTTGCCTAGCATATGTGAATTATCAATAAATGGTTAGATACATGTATCTGATGGGGCTATCCTTAGCGAAGAACGCAGAGGTGGTCTCTGCACGACTGAACAAAAATTTCAGATGGCTGTAGGGTTTTGAGTGTTGGTTGTAATAATGAGTCATCAGGCATTCTTTGATTCTTTGATTGTTGTGATAGACAGAGGCATGAAGCACCCAGCCACAGGTCTGGAGGAACTCTGCAAACGGCTGTCTGTGTTCTTCTTTCTTCTTTCAGCCCATCTTTGCTTCGTGTGGTCAGCACCCCAAAGTCATTCATTAAATTATGAATTCCTTTACATATTCCTCTGGTCATGCCAAAGCTCTTCTGTTGTGCTAGAAGCTAGGGCAGTACTTTTTTAAAAAAACGGAATAACCCCAAACATATTTGAATTCTATCTTATGGATTTCGTTTTATAAAATTATGATTTTCCAAGTCTTATTTATTTGGGTCAGGTAAATATGTTTACTTTCAGAAAGGAGCCTATCTCTCTGACACATCCTTCAATGTGTTATAGGCATATGTCTAGGCATAGCTTAGATAATCTTTCACGTTTGACTTATTGGGATTATAGTTCCATTATTTTCATCAGTATGGAGGTAGTAATAAATACCTATTCATAGGTGACTCTCAGATTATACATCTGTGCCGTGTTTGTAGAAAGCAGGAGAGGCTAGGGATTTGAATATAAATTCTGTAGTTAGGCTATCTGAGGTCACATCTCAGCTCTATACTTAATAGCTTTGTGACAACAGCAAGTTTCTTAACCCTCTGAGTCTCAGTTTCTACATCTGTAAAATGAGGAAAATAATTTAAGTCTCCCTTGAGATTGTTATAAGGATTGTTATAAGGATAAAATAAGTTAGTGTTGTAGCCTCTTACTTTGCAAATATATGCCAACCCCAATTGTAACAAAATGGTATTTGTGTATTAAACATAGAAAAAGTACAGTAAAAACATGGTATTATGATCTCATGAGACCACTACTGAACATGTGAACTGTCATCCGAAATGGCGTTTATGCAGCTCATGACTGTAGTTTGCAACAGATGTTGTACAGCTTGCAAAGCCTAAAACATTTTCTTCCTGGCCCCTTACCAGAAAGGGCTGATTCTGGTTGTTGGTAAATTAAAGGTAGAGTTTGACATGGGAACGTGAGTCTAGTCTTAACTCTGCCACCAAACTCGCTTATTTCCTCAGCCTGTTTACTTTACACTTGGTTTCAGTTTTCTAATCTGTATATGTCATAGGATTACTTTAAGAACCTAAAGAAACTATGGCAAGGCACTGAAAAGAATCTGAGTTTATGATACGTTGCTAAGCGGGGGAAACCTAGCCTATACAACAGTAGGTGCCATTTGAAACCATTCTTTGTTTTAACATGTTTCTGGAAAAATTAATAGAAAAATATATCAACTAAAATCTTAAGACAGGGGATGCAGGGGTAGTGGGATTATGGATGATTTTTCTGTGATTTAGTTCTCTGTCTTTGGTATTTTTTCTGAGTTTTATGCATTGACATATAATTAGAGAAGTTATTTTGGAGTAATAAAAGAAGTTATTTTAGAGTAATAAGAACATGATATAAAGAGAGAAGGAGCAGGAATAACCTAATTTAACAATGTCTTAGGCCTTTTTAGCCCCGGTTCTATGTTGTGCTGAAAAGAAAGAAAAGATTCCATGCCAGAGAGTGTCTCATGCAAACCACATCCCAGTGTTTTAAGTGCCACCTGGCAACAGAGAGACATACTGTTCTTTTCATAATTTTTCAGTCTTGGCACTTGAGCCTGGCATCACCTATGTGGCTTTGGAGATTGTGCTGAGTATTTGTGACTTCCTTAGAACCCCACAGAGCTCTCAGATGTTGTAGGACCTCTGTGCTCAGCAATAAGCAACAGACACACCCATTCCTGCTTGTAAAACTGCTTCCCACCAGTTCCGCTTTTTAAGAATATCCATCTAGGACTTACGAACAGGACTGCCAGGTCCCCACAACCATTGGCTTTGAACATTGGATGTCCATCCATAGGGGTGTTGCATAGAGAGCTGAAAGTAGAGGTGGAATGGGCTGGTCTAACCGAGACTTCCCCACTGGTAGGCATGCCTGATCTTGGAGAGAAGGAATTCCAGTTATGGGAGACACCTCACTCAGTCTTGGACTTATCACTCCCATGCAGGCAGCCTGCTCAGTCTGTCAGGAGCCACCCTTTGTATGAGTGTGTTGTTTTGGAGCCTCCAAGATGAATGTGGTTTATACAATTCCTCCTTTGTTCTCCAGGGTCTGGGCAGACCAAATGTTCTCCAGAAGGCATCTCAGCAGGTGTCCTTGGATGTGTGTGCTTTATTTAGGCTTCCTCAAGCTATAGAACTTAATGGACAGCCTAGCTAGAAAATGCAGCAGCCAAAAAAGAAAATTCAAGAACAGTGAGTGTTGTTCAACTCCATTAGAGGGAAACTCATTCGCCATCATGTATCCTCAGTTCACACTGTGTTTTTGATCCCAGGATAAAAGACAGTCAGAGGCAATATAACTCAGTGATTAAGCACTCAGGCCAGAGTCAAGTGTACCAGCCTTTTAGTCCTGGTGCTGTCACAAACTGGCTGAATGCCCCTGGGCATGGTCCTTGGCGTTGGTACGCTTTTATTTCCTCATTGGTAACAGGAAGATTTTTAAAAGTACCTACTTCATGACACTGGGACAATAATGAGGTGTTGTGATGTGATGCTTGGCATAGTATGTGGCACACGGTAATCAGGAGTTCAGTGTTGGTCTATTAGGACATCTTTGGCACATTTAGCCCTTAGAACAGTTGCAGAGGTTGCATGTATCAGTCATCTGTCTGAACATTGTATGCTTTCTAAGTTTAAAAAACTGTCATGCCCAAAGTTGAACTTGGGTACACCTTACAGTTTTTTTTCTTTCTGTTTACCAGTAAAATCTTTCTCAAACCCAAAGTTCCTGCTATTCTCCTATTTTATCAATAGGACAATAATAATAATACCAACAGCAGCAGCAAATACTTAAAATCATGCATTGTACTAAGTATTTTACTCATTTCATGATCACATTAACCCTATGAAGTTCAAACTTTTATCCCCATTTGGTAGATTAAGAAAAGGAGGTAAAACGAGTTTAGTTAACTTGCCGAAGGTTATACAGCTAATAAATTATGGAGTCAGAATTGAAACCCAGACTGTCTGGTTCTGGACCCCTGACTCTTAACCACTAGGTGAAGAATTTCCCAAGTAGCAATCTTTTTATCCTTTCCACAGTTGAATCTAGCCTGCCCCTTTAAGAAGACAGAGACAGTAATAGTTGAGCATATTCAAAGCAAGGTTTCACTCTGGCCTTGGAAGGAAATGAATCATGCTTATTCCTTGAATGCTTTTTTTTTTTTTTTTTTTTTAAGGCAGAGTTTCACTCTTGTTGCCCAGGCTGGAGTGCAATGGTGCAATCTCGGCTCACCACAACCTCCACCTCCCGGATTCAAGCAATTCTCCTGCCTCAGCCTCCCAAGTAGCTGGGATTACAGGCATGCACCACCACGCCTGCCTAATTTTGTATATTTAGTAGAGACGGGGTTTCTCCGTGTTGGTCAGGCTGGTCTTGAACTCCTGACCTCAGGTGATCTGCCCACCTTAGCCTCCCAAAGTGCTGGGATTACAGGCATGAGCCACCATGCCCAGCTTTTTTTTTTTTTTTCCTTTTCTTTTCCTTTTTTTTTTTTTTTTTTTTTTAAGTTTCACTAGCTTTGTGAAATGCCAAACAAAATGAATCAGATAGATCCTTTGGTAGGAAAGTAAACTCTCTCTACGTAGCTCAAGAGAAAAATTAATTGAGTTATTGAGAATAAATATCTTTCTGTACCTAAATCTTTGTGCTTCTATTTCTTGGTCTATCAATGATGAAGGCTTTCAATGGAGAATTTCCTAAGGCAAGGTTCCTCAATCTCAGCACTTTTGACCTTTTTGACTGGAGAATTCCTTGTTGTGGGGCCCCTCCTGTACATTGCAGGATGTTTAGAGCATCCCTGGCTTCTAACCTCTAGGTGCCAGTAGCACCACCCACTTTCCTCATGCAACACCCAAACATATCTTCAGATGTCCCTAAATGTCTCCTGGGGTGCAAAATTGCCCCTGGTTGAGAACCACCATATTAACGTCCCACTAGTTCTCTTTTGGAACTTGGGTCCTGACGCTTCCATAGCAGGCCATTGTGACCTTGGGCATCTCATAACCCCTCTCAGCTTTGGTTTCCTCATCTGCATTCAGAAGGGCATGCTAGTCCCTTCCTGTAGGATGAGTGAGAGAACGAAATGAGAAAGCCTAATTAAATTACGGTGGATGTTACATATAAGTATAGATATTTTACAGTTCATTTCCTTCCAGCTCCAAAATTCAACAATTCTAATCATAATTATAGTTCTTAGTTTCACTCCAGATGCTAACATATGTATGTGATAAATCAATTTATGTTTCTATAGAAGACAACTCCTGGGAATGAAATTGCGAGTAATTTTTCTCCTTTTTCTTTTTTTTTTTTTTTTTTTTGCTGAATTTATATATTCCTTTCTTTTTCTTCTAACAATTACAGAAAAGTCCTTCATATTATTTAGTATGAAGGATTGCTTCAAAGATCAAGGCCAACTCCTTTGAATATCCACTAGCAGTCGAGGAGGAAATGAGTTTAAATAAGCTCCTGGGATTTAAGTTAGATATAAGAAGGAACTTTCACACAAAGCTATCAAACAGTGAGAGTTCATTGCCAGGGCAGATGAGAGAATCGCCTTTCTTGGAGACTGGTAAAACCTAGAAAGCCGTTCATCTGGAACGGTCTGGAGTAAGACTTCTAAATTTGGGAAGCATTCTAAACCTTGCCCTTTTACCCTTGAATAATCTGTGAAGCTCCAATCCCTCTCAGCTTCTAAGAAAGATTCTGGAACAATTTGATGAGTGTGTTTTGTTCTTCCTTGGTGGTTTTACCCCTCTTCCCCCTCCCCGTCGTCACATGCTAAAAGCAGAATCTGAGAAACAGTTGGCTGAATTTTAGCACCTAAGACCTCGACAAAGGCAAAAACAAAAGCAAGAAATAATGATTCCTTAGTTGTCACCAATTAAATGTATTTTGAATGTAATTTTTTAATTACTGGAGACCTGGCCAGGCAGAGATTCATGGTTCTTCAACAGCAGAGCACACCTGAATCACCCCTGCAGCTTCTTAAAAAAAGATGAGTACTTGTGCCCTAACTCTGGATTTCGAATTCAGGAAGCCTGAGGAGGTGCCAGGTAACTGTGCCAAACACACACACACACACACGCACACACACACACACACACATACAGTTCTCATCTCAGACCTGACACTTCAAAGCATGGACTTTGAAGTATCTCTCTCCATCTGTGAAATGATGATAATGATAGTACCAACCACACAGAGCTGTTGAGATGGTGGCATAATTCAAACCTTGTGCTTAGCACAGAGCCCAGCGTAGATGCGGCTTCAGTTTCCATTAGCTGATGTTGCCATTTTCATCGTCGCCACCTCTGTCCTAGAAACCTTGGGCTGTTCTTGACTCCTTGTTTTGTCTATTTCTTCCTAATTATCCAATCTACTGGCCAAATCCAGATGATTTCAAATTTTCTTCAGTTTTTCTATAGCCTACCCCTCCTTTTTTGTATTCTCACCTCTCTGGCTCATGCCACTATCCATCTTGCCTAGACAACAATCAGCCTCTTCACTGATCTTGTTGCTTCTCCCCTTCCTGACTTTTCTCCGAGGTGCAGCCAGAGTGATTTTTTTTTATTGTGTTTTATTTTTTTGAGACAGAGTCTCACTCTGTTTCCCAGGCTGGAGTGCAGTGGCATGATCTCGGCTCACTGCAACCTCCGCCTCCCGGGTTTAAGTGATTCTTCTGCCTCAGCCTCCAAAGTAGCTGGGACTACAGGCACGCACCACCACGCCCGGCTAATTTTTGTATTTTTAGTAGAGACGGGGTTTTTGCCATATTGGCCAGGCTAGTCTTGAAATCCTGACCTCGTGATCCACCAGCCTCGGCCTGCCAAAGTGCTGGGATTACAGGCGTGAGCCACCGCGCCCAGCCCAGAGTGATCTTTCAAATGTACATTGGGTGCTACTCCCTGGCTTAAAATGCTTTATTGCATTTAGGGTAAAACGAACTTCTTCCCACGGTGGCCCTGCCTGCTGTGATCCTATAGGCGTCACCTCATGCCACTTTCTTCCCTGCTCCCTGTGTTTGAGCCACAGTGATCTCTGGGCATATTGGGCTGTACTTCAATTAGGCTGGGTTCTTTTCTGCCTCAAGACCTTTGCACAGTGCTCCCTCTGTATATCCCCAGCTCTTTATGTTGGCAACTTCTTCTTACTTCAGGTCTCAAGCATTAGAGAGGCCTTACCTGACCACAACCATCCAAGTCTGTATATTACTTCTAATCGATATCTTATTCTTTCATAGCACAATGCGCTTTGTGATTATTTTGTTTGTTGGCTTACTTGTGTTTTGTCTCACTCTCTTGCCATAATGTAAAAAACATGCAGGCAGCGACCATCTTTGTTTTATTCACCAACCTGTCTCCAGCAGCTAGTTCAAGTGCCTAACACCATAGCTTATGCTTAGGAAATATTTATGGGATGAGAATGAATGAATGACAAATGAATGGGTGACTGAGTTTATGTTTTTTATTATCCATTCATTTATCCGCAGACATTTGTTGAATAGCTCCTATAGACAGGACATAAGCTGAGAACCCAAAGAGGAGAAGGGATGATGTTATTTAGGATGCATGTGAGTGTTTTAATTTTCCCAGAGCACTTGGACTGATTTTACTTTTTGGACACAGCAAGTTGTGTAATTGTATAATTTTTCCTTTTCCACATTGGCTGCTACAAACTTAGAACCAAATTTGTGGCCCATACGTCTTCTTGGTATGCAATTTAGCCTCATTCTTGGACCCATTTCATGTTCCCGTCCTCGTTTTTCTTTTCCTTTTGTTCCTATTTTTAATTTATGCCATCTTGTATTTTTTATATCCTTATAAGCTGCCTTAAATTCTCCCTGAAACAAGACAAAGTATCAATCAATCAATATATTAAAATGTGAAGAGAAGGGCTTTATGAGAGGTATAAATAAAGTGCTTCTTGCATGAAAGAGGAAGATATTTCCCACAGCTTCTGTAACCCTAGGGAGCAGGGAGGAGAGGTGAGAGCCTTCTCCAGGGGAGACCCAAACACTTAGTAGGCACAGGAAATATGAATTCAATTGAGAATTTAATTCGAGTAACTGGTTATTTTGCCTGTTTTGACTGCACACTGGAGCTCTAGACTTCATGCTGTTTTTTCCCATTATCGTCTTTCTTTAGAAGTACCATATAATTTTCAAAATAATCAGGAGTCATCCACTCTACTTTCTCGGAAGGGCTCACACAAGCTTTCACATAACTCTGTATCTTACTGAATTCTCAGCTGACCAAGGCTGTGATTGATGTGTGCCAGAGTTTGCTGGTTCTCCTCTTCTGTCTGTTGTTGCATTTGTTTAAGGGGCATTCTGATTCAGAAGTGGATAGTGAGGAGAATCCAACACCTTTTCTGGATTTGGAGGGCTTTGTAGACAAAATGCCTGTTACCATGGTGAGCTCACCCTTCTCATGGCTCTAAATCCTCCATGTGCCCCCAACTCCCAGATTTGTACCTCCCTGAACTCAGACTTGCATAGTCAGTGGCTGCCTCATTGTCTCCTCTTCGTTGGCTACCAGACATCTCAAGCTTAACAGGGCCAAAGTTGGACTCCTGGTCTTCTCCCCAAATCCCATCCCAACCATAGAAATTGATGACAATTCCATTTATCTCATTTTTCTCAGGCCAAAAACTTTGGGGTCACTTTTGACTCTTCTCTTGCTCTTGCACCTCACACTCAGTTCACCAGGAAGTGCTGTTGGCTCTACCCTTAAAATATATACAGACTCTGACCATCTCCCACCACTTCCATTGCTACCACCCTGATTGTGGTCACTGTCATCTCTTGCCTGGATTCCAGCAACAGCATTCCTTCTATCCCAGCCCCCAGAGGGGTCCTTGGAAAGCATGTCAGGTCTCTAATCAAAACCCTCCAGTGGCTCCCCCGTCTCCCTCAGTCATCATGTGATCAACAGCTCCTTTCTTCACCCCCAGTTTCTTTCATTTCTCATCTAGTACTGTACTCTCTCAGGCCCACTGTGCTCCAGCCACACCGGGCTGTTCGTAGTTCCTGGAGCATGCCCCTGCCACAGGACCTTTGCACCAGCTGTTCCTTTTGCCTAGAATGCCTTCACTTCCTTCAAGTCGTTCCCTGGTCTACTTTGACAATCTATTTAAAATTTAACACTCTTTCCCCGGTGTGCTCAATTCCCCCAGTGTACTGCTTTTCTTTATGCAGAGTACTTACTACATTCTAATATATTTAGCATTTACTTATTTTTTGTTTGTCTGCCCCTGCTAAATATAGTCACTCCCTCCCTCACGAAATGCAAGGTCAGGAATCTTTTTGTGTTAACTGATGTATCCCAAGGACCTAGAACAGAGCCTGGCAGATAGTGGGTTCTCAGTAATCCTTACTGAATTAATGAGTGAAGCATCATGTCTTCTCAAGTGAGAGTGATTTTAATCTCTTATTCTCATTTAACCTGGTGCACTATCCTGCTTTAGGAGGCACTCTATAAGGTTTTAATTACATGATGAGGCTGGGGCAAATTCCTCCTAAATAAATTGTGACTTAACAGCACCTTCATGTGAACCTCGCATAATTCTTTAGTAATTTCTCTTCTTGAGCCTCCTGGATCCATCTGGAAATCATTCCAACAAACATCCATCCTATATAATAGATCACTATTTTCCTTTTTAATATGATTCTGGCTCCCCAGAGCCTGCAGTCAGCGTCAAGTTGGATTTCTTATCTCTGTTGCTTCATTAAGAGTGTACATATTTGGTTGCCAATGCTACGGTCCTCCACAGTGCAGTTTGTTGCAACAAAAGAAAGTGTTTGCCAAATGATTTGTCAGCATATGTTATAAAGCCACACAGGCACTCTTTATATAACTGGAAAATACTGATCCCAATTAGTGACAGATGAAAGACCAAGAGGGAAAGGCTGTGTTGCTTTATTCAAAGGAACTTAAGGGGTTCATGCAAAGGTGTAGGGGTGGGGTGGAGAGGAAGAGGGAAAGAGAGGCAGAGAATAGAAAAGGAGCAGATTGTGGGTGATGGAATAACATTTTGGAACCAAGGAAACGGGGATTTAGCATCATAGGTGCCAGTTATCTGTCTTCTTGACTCCTAGCATTCTTCAAGGTAATAACCTTTCCAGGCCAACTGGTCTTATGCATTAGCTCTTTGGAAGACAAACATTCTTGGGCTTTCTGAAATGCCAGTGATTGGAGCTGACCTCCCCAGGAGCAGGAGCTCAGCCTTTGTGTCATGCTGAGCCCCCAGGTGGGTTGGTGAGCTGTGATGCATGCACAGTTGGGGAAGGAGGCCCTAACTCCTGAGCTTGGCAGCCATTTGTGAACTCAGCAGCTTGTAATCCTTCCTGCCTTTGGAAGTGACTCACCTACACATCGGGAGAGCATGTTAGGCGAGCCTGGCCTCTTCTCCGAGAATAAATATTTGACCTGTTGATGTTCTCCAGGCGTCTTCCTAATTAGGAAACTCAGACAGATCTCTAAGAACAAAACCAAACATGGCTTCCCATTGCAGGGCAAAGCCCCTTTCACTTGTGTTAAATACCAAAGCCTGCAGCATACAGATTGTTGGTGTCTCAAAGGCATCTTTTAGGCTCATCTCCTGTGAAAAAATGTAACAGTGGCATTTTCATTTGCTTCCACTGGGAAAAGAGAACTTCCCGTATCAAGACCAAATGTTTATCGGGTAAAAAGTTTCCTTTGTTTACCATTCTTTGGACAATGTCTGCCTGTAGTTGTAGATGCTTGCAGGACAGACAAATATATCTTTTCAGGTGGTGAGGTAGCTGACCTCTAAATTAATTGACCCATGAGGGATGATGCTTTTTTCTAACACTTTGCATGCCTGGGGGTGCTGTAAAAATAGCCTCTTGTTCACGCTGAAGCTCCCTGGAAGGTTTTTAAATTGAGTGAACTGAAGAATTTACAATAGTTAGGTCATGGAGGGGGTTTTTTAATTGTATGATGTAGCTGAGAAGATATCTGTAAGAGGAACTCAGACATCTGAATCACAGACTAAATGGGACACTCAATGTGCTCATCTTGTCATGTGTGGTTTGGGGTTCAGACTCCTCTACTTCAAGTTACTGTTCTTTAGCCAGCAGTTTCCTCTGGATGAAAACCAGCCTTCCCCCCACTCTCCCTGTCATGTCAACAGGAAGATATTTTACATTAAGAAAAGATTCCTGGGAAATGAAGAAAGAGAGCTGGGAGTTGGGCTGAAAAACTGCAAACGGTTCTTGAATCAAGTGATTTTTGTCTTTCTGTCTGGTTGGCAAGGTGACTTCACCCACATCCCACTCACACATTCATCCGAGAGTAAGTCCAAGCTAAGGATACAAAAGGCAGTCTGTGGCAACACGTTCCATAGAACAGCTACGATGAACATTAAACATGTTTAATTATCAGCCCAGATGTATATCCTGTGTGTTGGATAGCGCAAATCTAGCAGAGGAGGGATGAGAAACAGGCTCTTCTCCATGGTTAATAATGTCATATCTATCTTTGGGTAGCATCTGATTACAACCGTGTCTATTATTTAAAAGGTTCTTTAAAAAAACATGACCACAGGGGAAAATGGAGTGGCTGTTCTCTTCCTGCCGTCTGCAGATTATGTTTTAATCATGCCGCATCTAAAGATGCAGCGTTTTCTCATGAAATTTGTCAAAACTAATAAGGCGATTTTCTAACCTATGGTAACCCCACTTAAGTAATTTATGTAATTACTTAGGACAACCCAGGCCTGCTCTAGGTTTTTAGGCCATGTTATTCTTTTTCTTTATTCCCTTCAAGACCTACTTGGGATGAACCAATACCCCTAGGTTAAGCACTTCCACTCGAATCTTGTAAATGTATGTGCAGCTGCATTTTCAAGGGATGAAAACATTGCTGTTTAGACGTTAGGTTCATTTATATAGAAGGAGATTTTAATGAGAACAGCTTAGAGGGCATGATACTTTTAGGGTCTGGGGAGAGAGTTAAATGAGAGAGAAGCAAGACCTCCTTGAAGCTGCCATAGTCCTAGAAATCTAGACTACTAAGCTGTGAAGGTATTTAGCCAAGCCTGGGGTGGTGGAGGGGCAGGGGGGCAGAGGGTTGTTGGGGGAGCTTGCAGGGAAGAAAGCATTCTTGTCAGACTGTACTCTGTGGAAGCCTGGGGCCCTACATGTTCCCTGAATGGGTAATGACTCATGGTGGCATACCAAAACTCAAAGCAAGGGTCAGCAAACTGTAGCCCGTTTTTGTAAATAAAGTTTCATTGGAACACAGCCATGTGATTTGTTTCATTATCATATGTGGCAGCTATTGCGTTACAGTGGCAGGACTGAGTAGTTGTAACAGAGACCATATGACCTCCAGAGTTAAAAAGATTTACTATCTGACCCTGAAAAGAAAGAGTTTGCTAACCCTTGAACTAAAAGGCTGGATTTTCAACTTATAGGCCACAATTTCCCAAGGGCATCCATTGATGGGCATCAGTGTAATGAATCTCCTGAAGTTATATGCAGAATATTTTATATGTGCACATGCCCACATAGGATTTTCTGGCGAGAGAGTGCATGGATTATAATAGGTTTTCCAACGTGTCTATGATCCTAAGATGAAGATCCTTAACTTGAAAGGATATGCAAATTTTACCCCAGTTTACACTCTTGACTTCTGCTTTCCCTTGTATTCTTTTTTTATCCTAAACTCTTTAGGATCCTGCTAAGTAATTGGTCTGAAAAATAAATTATATCTGAAGTCTAACAGGAAAGTATTTTATTCCATAAGAACAGTTTTATCTTAACCAGGGCCTTTCATGCTAGAACCTTAAGGTGTATGTTATAGGGACAGCATGAGAAACTAGATCACGGATGGGGTGGGAGAGGGGGCTGCATGGCCAGGAAACTGCTGGCTGGAGGGGTGTGGAAGTTTGCATCCTGCCTAAGGAGACAGTAAGGGCAGTTATCTTCCTGGACAAATAAGGACATAAAACCATAACAGTAGCTTCTTTTTAACAATGTGTAAGGCAATATGCTGAGCATGTTATATGAAATATCTGACTTCATGCTCAACATCCCAGCAAATGGATGTCTGTAATATTAGAACAGTGGCCAGCACAAAGTATGCACAATGTAATTGTTAGTGATTATCCTTTATCATCCTCAGCCTCACCATTCCCATTTATCATTTGAGGAAATTGAGGCTCAGACTTGTTCAAGATTTCCCAGCACCTAAATAACAAAGGAGGAACTGGAAGTTGGGTCTGTCAGTTTCAGAGAAACTGGAAGCCAAGTCTGTTCAATTCCAAAGTTTTCACCTTTTAAAAAACCCTATTCTGACCAACTCCACATACCCCAGTATGTGAGTCCTCTTTCAAAAGGCACCCAGAAAGGCTCCTGTGATAGTGGTGTTAAGAGACACATCTTCTCCCACATTTCCACCTTATCTCACTTCCTTGAGAACCTTACCTTGAGTATCTTGGTTCCAAACCAGTGGGTCTCAAGCCTCGCTGTCCATCAATGTCACCTCGGACAGATTCTCAGTTACCATGCCAGGACCTTCTGCATCAAAACCTCTGGGGGCGGGCCCTGGAAATCTGTGTATTTCATAAACCTCAGTGGGTAGTTATGTTCTGGCCAGCCAAGCATTGGTCCATCAGCTGCCACTTGGACATCCCTATTCTAGATGCCACCTAGACTCTGGCCATGTAAGGCCATGGGGGTGAGGGTGGGAGTGTGTAACTGCTGCTAAGAGCTGACTGCTTGAACCAAGGTGACTCACCCCCCTTTTGGAAACAGGCAAGATGTTCCCTCTTTGCAGTTGGGTCCTCCTGTCCAAACAGAGCCAGCAGTCTGTGGGTGGTCCCAGGCATGCAGGAGGGCTCCCTTCTGGCAGAGCCAAGAAAGAACAGGCTGAGATGCAGTTGGTTCTTAGGAAAGGAATAGAGAAAGGTGGGGGTGGTTGGCCCAGAAACAGCAGGATTAGGAAGTCATTCGGAACTCCAACTGGAGCTGGAGGAGGAAGAATTTTTGTTTTTTCCTTTAGGCCTCATTTTAAGGTCTTTACTACATCTTCATTTAATTCATAAGAGCCATGGAAGTTTAGAACTGTCCTGAAAAAAAAAAAAAAAGAGAGAAAGTAAAGAAACGCACATTATAACAAATTATAGCCCTGTAGTTTAAATCCTCGCAGGTCTAAATTACGTACTGACTGAAAAAATGAGAGGAGAAGTCCACGGGGTTGGAAATGGCTGTGGAACACAGCAGGCGAGCTTGCCAGATTCTCCATGAGAAATCTGCACCCCTCTCAAAACAATTAGAGCAAGTTGCTCTGTGTGTGCGTGTTTGTGTATGTACGTATTTGCTAGTCTGCACTGGTCTTTTGCGGGGGTCGGAGCAATTAACCTTGTTTTTCCTTTTAGCTAGAGGTCTGGAAAGAACTTGCAGCATTTAAAATTTGGAAAGTACACAGGGAACAGACGTATTTATGTTAAACTCGATATTTGAGAGTCTTCTTTCCTCCGAAGCAACATGAGTAACTACCAGTGGGAACTGACTACTTTGAGTCATGCATGTAGATTTCTGTCTGGCTTTTCCTGGTGAGCTGATGTCCTTGGAATCTCAGGGGTATATGAAAATGTCATTCCTAGCGTTTTGCTAAAGCGCTCTTCCCCTGCGTTAACTCATGCAGTGGGGGATGTCATCAGTGAAGTGTAAATTGCCCATAATATCTCGGCTAATTAAATTATTAGACAAGTAAGATCCTTTCACAGTCTAACTTCTCTAAATTATTTGCTGCTCAAACCCATCCAGATAGAAAGTTTGGATTGGGATGCAATCTCATGTTCTATTAGTATATGGATTTAAGAAGAGATGGCGGATGGAGTCAGCCTAATTAAAATGAAAATCTCATTAGGTGAGGAGAAAGAGAGAAATTCAGTGTCACACTTGTACTACATTAACAATCACTTCTCTCCCAACCATCTTCCTTTGGCTGAATTGTTCTTATTTAGAGACCAAGACACAAGCTCAGTTGGCTTGCTGGCTTCTCTGCCCCCTTGGGGAAGGGGGACCAAACTAGAAGCTTGACTCTTCCATAGAGAGTATTAGAAAATTCCAGGGAGAACTGGCTTCAGAGCTGGTGGCTGTGTTAATTATAGCCCAGGGCCTGGAGGGACCTCATTGCCTGGCCACTCATCATCATATTCATTTTTCCTCAAGAATAAAAATATTTCTGTTTTTAACAGCAGGCAGGTACAGAAGTGGGGCTGGGCCAGGCTTAAGGGGAGCGACTGAGCTCCAGCCTCTGACCTGAATCATTAGAACTGTCTTTAGGATGGGTAAATAATGGAAGTGGCCCTAGGCCCTTATTTTTATCCAACAGCTTTATTGAGATATTATATATTTCACGTACCATACAGCTCACCCATATAAAGTATACAACTCAACGTTTTTTGGTGTATTCCCGTGGTTGTTCAACTGTCACCATTAACTCCAGAACATTTTTATCACCCAGTGACTAGCATTCACAGCCAGGCACAGTGGCTTATGCCTGTGATCGCAGCACTTTGGGAGGCCGAGGTGGGAGGATCACCCAAGGTCAGGAGTTTGAGACCAGCCTGACTAATGGTGAAACCCCCTCTCTACTAAAAATACAAAAATTAGCCAGGTGTGGTGGCAGGTGCCTGTAATCCCAGCTACTCAGGAGGCTGAGGCAGGAGAATTGCTTGAATCTGGGAGCCAGAGGTTGCCGTGAGCCAAGATGGCACCACTGCACTCCAGCCTGGGTGACAGAGCAAGACTCCAACTCAAAGAAAAAAAAAAAGATTAGCATTCACTTTTCCCTCCACCTCTCCGTCCCTGAGCCCTAGGCAGTCCCCAATCTACTTTCTTTCTCTATGGATTTGCCTATTCTGGACATTTTGTATAAATTGAATCATACAATATTCAGTCTTTTGTGACTGGCTTCTTTCATTTAGCATAGTTTTCAAGGTTCAACCAAGTTGGAGCCTGTATCAATATGTCATTCCTTTTTATTGCTGAATAATATTTCATTGGATGGATATACCACACTTTGTTTATTCAAGTGTTGGTGGGCATTTGGGTTGTTTCTGCTTTTCAGCTATGATGAATAATGCTGCCATAAATATTCATATATAGGTTTTTGCATAAACATATGTTTTCTTTTCTCTTGGATATATTTCCTGGAGTAAAATTCCTGGGTCATATAGTAACTCCATTTATAACATCCTGGGGTCAAACTGTTCCAAAGTGGCTGTACCATTTTACATTCCCATCTGCAATGTGTGAAGGTTGCCAGTTCTCTGTATCGTCACTAATCCTTGTTATGGTCTGTCTTTTGATTATAACCATCCTAATGGTTGTGAAGTCACATCTCACTGTGGTTTTGATTTGTATTTCCCTGATGGCTAATGATATTGAGCATCTTTTTATGTACTTATTGGCCATTATATATCTTATTTTTCTGAGAAATGTCTGTTCAGATTCTTTGTCCATTTTTGAGTCATTTATCTTTTTATTGTTTTAAAGTTTTTTTGTATATTCTACATTCAAATCCTATATGAGATATATGCTTTGCAAATATTTTATCCCCTTCTATGGATTATCTTCTCACTTTCTTGATGGTATCCTTTGAAGGACAGATGTTTTTAATCATTATGAAGCCCAAGTGATCTATATTTTTTTGTCACTTGTGATTTAGGGTCATATCTAAGGAACCATTGGCTATCCCAAGGTTATATAGATTTACTCCTTTATTTTCTTCTAGAAATTTTACAGTTTTAGCTCTTATATTTAGGTCTGTAATCCATTTTGAGTTAATTTTTATGTATGGTGTGAGAAAGGGGTTCAACTTCTTTATTTTGCATGTGGATGTCCAGTTGTCTCAAAACCATTTATTGAAAAGATTATTATTTCTGCCATTTAATTATCTAGATACTTTTTCCAAAAATCAATGGACAACAGATACATGGGTTCATTTCTGGTCTCTCATTTATATTCCATTGATCCGTATGTCTGTCCTTATTTCAGTGCCACACTGTCTGTATTATTATAGGTTTGTAGTAAGTTTTGAAATAGAGAAATGTGACTCTTCCTGTCTTGCTCTTCTATTTCAAGATTGTTTTGGCTACTCTGGGTCCCTTGAATGTCCATATGAATTTTGTCAATTTCGGCCAAAAAGAAATCGATTTGTATTTTCACCCATGCTCCAAATTTAAGATGATCCCAAATTTGTTTTCTGTAGGTGGGAACTCGGGTAGGTGGTTCAGAGAGAGCCTAAAGAAAATGGGACATGAAAGATGAGCAGCTGCCTTTTCTTGCTAAGGTTAATGCTTGCACATGCACACACATGTGTGCATACATATGCACACATACCTCTCAGCCTCCTTCATGCAGGTAGGTCCAAATTTTCCTTTACCTTCACTGTCACCTGAATGAGACTATGAGCACACAACCTGCTATTGTGCGTGTGTTGGGAGTAATATCATTGTTCCCATTTTACAGACCATATGAGTCTTAAGTGAGATGACGTAAATAGTTTATTACACTGTCTGGCATACAGTGAGCACTTGATACTTGTTTGCTGTTGCTGTTGTTATTGTTTTCATGAGTGGTATCAGTCTCAAGGAAGCAGCAAGTCCTTATACAAAATAGGGACTTCAGTAGATAGTCTTTCTTTATATGACATAGGAAATCCTTCTCTTTGCCTGCTCTTGAATTTCCTCTTAAGCTCAGACATTAAGAAATCTAGAGCAAACATCTCAAATTTTAGAGTATAAGAATAACTTGGGGAACTTATTAAAATGAAGATGCCGGAGTGGGGCATGAGATCCTATATCTCTAACAAGCTGCTGGGTGATGCCAGTCTGAGCAGTAAGGTGGCAGATGTCCTGGCGGCCCACCAAGGTAAGATGTGTTCCAGGTGGTCTCTGCCACTGGGGCAGAATGGAGACCAGGAGGAAAGACTTGAGTCAAGTGAAGGTGAGAAAGCAACACCTTGAGACTTGGATTATCCAGTTTGTTGTGACTGAGATAGTTTTCCTTTTGCCATCCTGCATTTTTTGATAAGCATTGCCTGAGCCAAGGGTCTCCAAACTCTTTAAATTGCACTCTCTCTCTCTCAGTAGAAAATATTTGAACATAGGCTACCAATCCATGTATATTTACTTATCCATAAATTATATACACATATTCCTATTATTAGCTAAAATAAGCAGTACTTGCTTTGCATGGCAGTATGGAACCATAAAAATAACATTGCAAGCCAAAACTTTGCAAAAAATCTTAATAAGCAGTAGGAAAAAATTAAATTTTTACTGTGACCTTTAAAATTTTTTTTAAACCATTAAAACTTTATTACTGTTGGTTATACATGCATAGGGAAATAAGAAAAATAGTAAAATGAATATTTAGTATACTGCAATTTAAAATTAGTAACACTGAAAATCAAAATGTTTTATTTCTTTGTAAAAAAATGTATCAAGAGTGGTTGAATAGTGCTTATCTTTCTCTTTGTCATATTATCTGTGATACAGAGCAGGCATGTTTTCTATAACTTAGCAAATTGTCATACTTCTTTTTAAGTTGGGATTAGCTTCCAACATTTTATGTTTTGTAGTTTGAATATCTTGACGTTTCTCTGAGAGTTTACCAGAGGGAATGACACTGACCAAAAACTCTACGTTAAAGAAACTCCCAGAGAAATTTCAAGATATTGAAATGTGACTTCTTGTCACAATCACTTTCCTATTTACATCGGTAAGTTTGCCTTATTACATTCTTCTGGCTGCATAGCCAAACCCTGTTGACTAGTAATGTAATGTAGATATAACATCTATTATGTTCTATTTAAATAGAATAGTTATTAAATAGTCTTAAGAATAGTTATGTTCTATTTAGAAGATAAATAGAATTCCATAATTCTATTTTCTATTTGAATCTCACTCTCAGCATGATCACTTTTTGGTTTTTGCCTGCACTTTAAATTTTGGTGGCCAATTCACTTACTTTTAAAAAATGTCACATAGGTATATATCACTGGGAGGCAAGGAGGCAGCACAGCTACATGCTTTGCTGTCAGAGAGTGAACCAAATAACAGATATGCAGTGACCAATCATTGACAGACTTTGAAAAAAGGAAATGTGACTGCTCACTGATCACAATACACATTTGTTATTTTTATTTTTATTTTTTTGCGATAGAGTCTTGCTCTTTCCCAGGCTGGAGTGCAGTTGCACGATCTTGGCTCACTGCAAACTCCGCCTCCTGGGCTCAAGCAATTCTCCTGCCTCAGCCTCCTGAGTAGCTGGGATTACAGGCACCCACCACCACACCCAGCTAATTTTTGTATTTTTAGTAGAGATGAGGTTTCACCATGTTGGCCAGGCTGGTCTTGAACTCCTGACCTCATGATTCGCTCACCTTGGCCTCCCAAAGTGCTGGGATTATAGGCATGAGCCACCACACCCGGCGCCATTTGTTATTTACATAGCGATTTGTGGACTGAAGCAGTAAAGCTTGTACTTCATGCAAATTGCTCACTGTTAAAATACCATGGAAACTGAAATTGGAATCATGCTGAGGGACTGGTGTTATTTAACTAAACTAGGGTAACTAATATTTGTACATATAGGAACTGTGCTCATTGAGGACTGTCTCTATTCCAAAGCATGACATAATACTAAGTCAAGGTTCATAGTCAATCATAGTATGTAAAATATATACTTTAAGAGCCATCTTGAAATTTTTGAGTTTTTTTTCTTTTTACCAAATTATGGTTACTATTTCTTGGTATTGTTTTTACTTCATAATGTGTCATTCAAAGAGCTTATATTAGGAGTAAAAAATGCATCAACTCAACCCCTCTCTCGTTTTCTTGTGCTTGCATTATTACAATTATACCCTATCTAAAGATTTTTTTGTAACAATCTGTTTAGGTCATTTGCAAGGGTTAGTTCAGTAATATCAGATAGCTACAAATGCATAAATTCAGTTAACTTGGCAAACTCAACAATATGTCACAGGGCACTAAAATCTAATCCTCAGTGTCCCCACTGTCGCCTATCCCACAATGTGTCCCTCCCACCCTTTTTTTTCAAGGCATGCCACATGACTGTCTGACAGCAAAATCAAGTGAAGACCTCAGTGTCAAGCCATGTATTAAATCTGTAAAGTCTAATCCCTTAAGTTTTAGGTAAAAATTAATTTAAAGATAAACTTTAATGTTATCACTTAGTCCTCCATCCTAAACATTTGAGTTATACTTGAGTTGTGCTCTAGCTAATGGAAGGATCCTTTGCTAGAAGGAGGAATGGCTGTGTGCCTAATGCTGGCATGATGATTGGCACTTGAAGGTCTTTGAAGGTTCACAATTCTTGCATAACAGATTCACCTGGGGAACTTTTTAAACGTACTGATACTGAAACTCCCCAGACCCTTTAAATAAAAATCTCTGGGCATGGGGCCCAATAATGTATTTGTATTTTTAAAGCCCATAGTTGGTTCTAATGACAGATAGGGTTGGGAACTACAGCCCCATGGGGAAGAAGGTCAGTCTCTGGCAAAATCTTCCCTGTACTGCCAGTATTGAAGGACCCTAGTTAATAGATATTGGGGCATCCTCCTCTAACAAGCAGGTTTTGTACTGCCTTCTTATTGATATATATTTGTCAGAGAGAGTGGTTCTTGCAGGCACTTAAACGCTAGTAGAAGAAAGTTAGCTAAATGTGCAGTCATTTCTGGTGGCTCTGCCCTTCAAGGATGGCTTTGATTATAGTAAAACCATGCAAATGCTGGAATGGGCCTTGTCCTCTTTACAGTGTTGAGCTTTAGTTTTTTTATCTGAAGTTTGTTCTATAATTAAAATCTAAAGCACAAGGCAATCCCGGTGAGTAAGAGTTGCTACAGTGAGCATACAACAAAAGATAGTGTTATCCATCAAGAAGTTCTGAAGCAAAATGAAGTACAGTCAATTCCCCCAAAATGGGGGCCAGGGATACCCAAGAAAGGGAGAGTTGCTTTCTGTAAATAAACATTTGAAGAGTTTGATGGAGTTGTCTAAGGCCTCAAAAGTGCTGCAAAGCTAGGCTCTTGGTTCCCAATTCCCTGCCTATGCTCCTGGACATGTTGAATGGAAAATATGGCCTGAGACCCACCTGCATCTGAATAACCAGGGAGTTTGTACAGACTTAGACTCTGGGCTCTGCCCTAAGCACGTTGAATCAGAACGGGGTGCTAGGGAGGTTGGGAGTTCATTTTTAGCAAGCTTCCCAGGTATATGCTCATTAAAGCAAGCTAGAGTTGGACAATTATGGTCCTGGCTTAGCTGCCACTATGCATTATCATTCCACCCCTGCATACATCTCCCCAGTCAAGTTCTAGAATTTGAAGAATGAATAGGAAGGGTTTCTGACATTCTTGTAAGATTGAAAACTGGACTTATATTTTGAATACTGGACCAAAAGAATTATGTCTCTTTGGCAAGAGGAATACTTTCTTTTTCTAATTTTATTATTACTTTTAGATATAAGGTTTTGTTATGTTGCCCAGGCTGGACTTGAATTCCTGAGCTCAAGTCGTCCTCCCACCTCAGCCTCTCAAGTAGTTGGGATTATAGGCTTGTGCCACCATGCCCAGCAAGAGAAATATTTTTGTAAGAAATATTTATAGAAAGAACTAAGTTTTTCATAATGCGTACAAGTAAGTTGGAAAGTTACTAAAACTGTAATGGACACTTAGATTCACAGCCATGACAATCAACCAACCAAGCTTTGCATGACTTAGAGGGAAATGGGGGAGCTTTGGATTCAGTCAAATCTTGCCTCTGCTACTTATTAGTTGTGAAAAATTGGACAAGTTATTTAAACTCTCTGAGTCTTGGTTTCCTCATCCGAAAATGGGGATAGTTATATCCGTCTTGAGGGACTACTATGAAGATTAGGTTGGAAAATGAATGCAAAGATCTCAGTAAAAGGGATGCTATTTCTATTCTGGAACTGAAATTCTTCTTTTATATTTATTGAGCAGTCAGATAATATTTTAAATGTATTGTCTGAGTTGACTAAAGAAAACCTTAGGTGAACTCTTGTGTAGAGGGACAAAGATTTTTACAAACTGACAACACCCACAAAGCCTACTCTGACATTATTATGTGTTTACAATGTGGTAAGAGGTACAAAGAAACTAAGATGACGTCTTTTTACACAAGTGGCTCATAAGTCCAGCTGGGGAGAAGACCGTGATAATAACAGCCTTTCTTTAGTTTGTCTTTAGAATTGTCACTTTCTAGTTTCCAATGTGGTATGATATGTTATCCTCCTGGCAGCCTGAGGAGAGTAGACGGGGCAGCTGTGATTCTCATTATCATCTCCATTCCATAGGTAAAGAGACTGCGACACCGAGGGCTTCTACCTTGAGCAGTGCAACTGATACCCAAATCTTAAATTTTTCCCGTCCTCCCTTTATCCACCCCAAAACATTCAGAGAACACAAAGCCATGTTGCTAATGGCCAGGTGCACACCTTGCATTTTGATGGATTGCGTCTCTTACACCCAGTAGCCTGGCATGCTTTGTTTCCAGGTGCACAGTTCGACCTGTGCTGATTTCTAAAATGGTCCATAATGTTGTAGAGGGCTCTGGAATTTACTTATTGACATTCTTTTTTAAAAAGAACTCTCTCTGCCTTGGCGTTTTCATTCCATTCCATGTCAAGTTTGTAAAAGCACATACCACTGGCTACAACTCATCTCCTTAGTGCTGACTTGAAAATAATTAAAGCACATGTAAAATCAGTGTATCTGTCTTCCAAGTATTTAAAAAAAAAAGGGTGGGGGGAGGTGTTTTCTTGAAATTGAATTAGCTGCTGGAATCAAGAATGCAGTAATTATTTTAAGAAATTCACATAGACTTTTTTGAATCCGTTTAAATAGGCCTACGGCTGCTTACCCGCCTCAGACTAGAATGCTGTGGCTTTAATTAGGGAATATTTGGTAAGTTACAGACCTGGTCAGCAACACCATCATCACCATCACCATCATCATCCTCTTCTTTTTCATTATTATTATCACATATAGCTCCTTTACATCATGACCGTTCTTCAAGGACACAAACGTTTTTCTTTAATAAGCACCAAACTTGTTTTTTCTCTTCCTCCCAACTACCTTTCCATTTTTGTTGCTCTGGGATTTGGCAACCCAGTTTAATTTATGATGAGAAGACACTCTGGAAAATTGAAATGAGATAACATGACTTGATTGGGGGAAGAAAATAACTTCATCTTAACTCTTGAAGCAGAAGACATCAGGTTCTCTAATTCCTTCCTTTCGTCCTTGAAAATAGAACATCAGCCACAGAGCGCACCTGTGCTGAGTTCGAAAATGAATCTGTGGCAGCCGTTGCCAGAGTAGCAATTAGACAATTAAAGCTAAATTTCACCTGCAGAGGCAGACTGCAAAATACCAGCGGTTTGACCTTCCGCACTTGGGGATGAGGTAAATAATCGACGGGCGGTGGAATGATGTCACAGAATTGGTCTTAGCGGGTAAATCAGGCAGCAGTGTTGTTCTGACCTCCACAGCCTGGGGCACTTTGGCTGTGGTGCATAATTCAACTCCTATTTGTCTACTTTTCTTCAGTGACAGAGGCATGTTACACTTTCCCTTCCTCCTCCTAGAGCTGCAAATAACCAAGGAAGTCACCGAGCCTATTACTCTGTCGTTTGTTTTTTAGAGAGCTTACCATAGCTGGAAAGGTCCCCTTGATTTGTTTAGTGATTTTTTTTGTCTTCTCCATGCTCCTCCACTCCCTCACCCAAATGTAACCTCCACAAAAAGAGACGTTCTCATCTGACTTGGTCTCATTCTGTATGCCCAGCTCCCAGTATGTCCCCCTGGCATGTAGCAAGTGCTCAATAAACATTTGTTGCATAAATGTGTTAAAAATACTTTATACACACAAAGCAGAAATCACCAACCAACAGCCTAGAGGCCAAATTTGGCTTGCTAACTTCTTTTCTGTTTGTCTGTGTGGTTTCTTTTTTTTTTTTTTTTTTTGGCTTGCTTAGTATTTTTAAACATATTGAATTAGTGGCCAGCATTTAAATATAGTGAGCCCTCATACAAAAGACCACATTTCTGGCTACTCTTGTAATTCAGTCAGAAGATCTAGAACACTGGACCAGCCTTAGAAGAGGAAGAATAGCCTAGAATGGTGATTCTCAGAGTGTCCCTGGATCACCTGGGAACTTTTTAAAGATGCATTTTCTCTGTCCTTCCTCCTCTAGTGACTGAATTGGCCCTGACCATTTTTATTTTAACAAGCCCTTCCACACTAAAATTTTATTTTAACAACCAGTTCAGAATCACTTGAAGTGATTCTGATGCACCCCAAACCTTGAGAACCGCTCATCGCCCTTAGTGGATAAAGAAGGCTGATCGGCTTTGGAAATAGAATGTCAGGCTTTCAATTCTGGTTTTGCCGCTTCCTAGCTCTGTGGGGTTAGACAAACTACTTAATCTCATTGTGACTCTGTGTGCTCATTTATAACCTGGGGATGATAATAGGACCTTCCTGCTAGGGTTATGAGGATTAAATGAGTTCATATGTGTAAAGTACTTAGACCCTTAGAGTGATAACATAACAAAGGTTACTTGCTGTTAACGTCAGCTGAGGCTTAGCAAGCAGGTGCCTGCTTAAGATGGAACCTTTGCTGGATTGCTACTTTATTAGGACACCATCCAGCACGCTTTCCTTTTTCATGTGACCTGCCTTGTCCCTGTGGGCTTTCAGGTTGTCATGCCCGATGATGTGAGATGGCATGCCCAGTTGTCAGCAATGATTCCCGTACCCACCCATTGTAGAGTACTAACATATATTGTGTACCTACTGTGTACCAAGCACTACACGAGGCCCTTAGCATACTTTCATACTTTATTCATTTCTACTCCCCAACAGCTCAACAAGGTTAATATTGTTATTCTCACTTCACAGATGAAGAACTGAAGACTCAGAGAGGTTAAATAATTTGTTTAAACACACACAGCTGGTAAGTGGCAGAGCAAGCATCAAACCCAGGTATCAAACTCTGTTTTGTTTTCTTTTCATCCGTGTTTCCAAAATATGGAACACATGCCACAGTAGCTTCCAGATGATTTTATATGGCATCGAGATGGTTTTAGGTGGTGAAGAAGGTGGTTTTAGTTGGTATAAAAATTCTGCATTAAATTAAACAAAGTACACAGAAAAAAGTTAATATACTTTAAGTTCTCCCACAAACTTGAGGGGAAAGTCTGAGTTGGTGCTGATGAGTTTTTTTTTTTCCTTTTACATAAATTCCAGTGCAATAATAATATTTAAGATTATGCATTTTAGTTACATTAATTGAAGGTGTCTTTTTAAGAGACTGTATAAACAAACTAGGAAAAGAAATTCTATATTTAAATTGGCACTTAGGAGCATCTAGAAAGGTTTTCCTTTATTTTGAAACATAATTGAATTAAATGCCAAATATTTTTATTTAATCATTTCTAATGGAACTTGTATTAAAATAGTTTGTCAACAGTAACCAGCACAGGATATGGCATAAAGTAAGTGGTCAGTAGAGGTTTTCCTGAACTAAAGTGATTCGTATACTCTCGAGCCTTTTCAAATGACACATATCTTTTAGTTTGATCTTGATTTAGAATTACAAGATTGTTAACAACTCTCTATTACCTGTAATCTCCTTAAAAAAAAAAAAAAAGAGAACCAAAGGCCCAAAGCCTTTGATAAACAGGGGTGTCTAGAAAAATTGAATAAGTTGTCAAAATTTAATTTTTACAAGTTATATTTATGGCAAGTAAAAATGGTTTTCATATATAATAATTTATTACATAAAACTTTCTATTCAAATAGTTTTCTTAATAAAACCAAAGCCAGTTAAAACTATGCTCAATAAATAATATTAAGGGTGGTCTGCAGATACGGCATATGTCGCGAAGATGGGATGGCAATGCCAGATGTGTGGAAACTGCTGCTGTTGTCATAAGAAGGAAGGATAGCAATGGCTGGCATTCCACCCAGAGAGAGTCCTGTAGTCCTCTGCATAAACCTCAGAGGGAGCTGTCCTCAACAGCTTGCCATTAATGTGACAGCCACTTCCTGGTAAAAAGTCAAGTCCTGACAGAGGAAGGTTAGAGAAGGTGTGAGTCTATCAACTGAAGACAGTGAGCTAAATCAGCATTTTAGACATTGGAGCTCAGATCCTACTCTTCAGGGGCAGAAACCATGGCCTTTTGGTTCAGTGACTCTCTGTAGAAAAGCAGTACCCACAAGTAGATGTTTAAATTGACAAATGGATCCTGATGGGGAAGCAGTGCTGGGGGAAAGGGGCAGATGGTGTAGAGTATCAGTCTGTGGTCTCACTTCTTCTTATAACTTTACATCTGCTGCCCCAACTCTTTGAAAAAGAAAAGCGCATCCTCAGGAATTGTCTCCCAGAAAATGAGCCACTTGCCTTTTAGTTGAGGTCTTTGGGGTGGATCAAGGGAGGCCTGAATTGGCTTCCTGGGTCTCTCAATTACCAGCATTTTGACCTTGAGCAAGTCACTTAATCTCTTGTTATCTGTAAAATGGGAAGGGTATATTAGATGTGAATTAGGCTGATGTAAGAAAGCAAAAGATGTTACACAGAACCTGGTGTACAGTGGGTATGACTATTGTTGAAGATGGAGGTAAAGTTGGGGAAAGGAATGCAAACATTGTGTTCTTCCTACCTAAAACTCTGAAATCCTGCACGTTGTCTTGGGATAACCATTTGATTGCGTATTAGTGGAGGTTGTTCAGAGAAACAAGACCAATAGGATATGTATACACACATAAATGTGTAGAGAAAGATATTTATTTTAAGGAATTGGCTCATGTGATTATGGAGGCTGGCAAGTCCGAAATCTGCAGAATTAGCTAGCAGGCTGGAGAACCAGGGAAGAGTTGTAGTTTGAGACAAAGTGGTCTGCTGGCAGAATTCCCTCTTCTTAGGAGGAGGTCAGTCTTTCTCTTTTTAAGGTCTTCAATGGATTGGATGAGGCCGATACACATTATGGAAAATAGTATGCTTTACTCAAAGTCCATCGATATAAATGTTAACTCATCAAAAAAAAAATACCTTCACAGAGCCATGTAGCATAATATTTGACCAAATATCTGGGTACCGTGGTCTAGGCAAGTTGACACATAAAATTAACCATCACAGACTGTGTTGCTGTCACTGGGTGACCATTAAGGGAAGCACTGGGGGAACTCTACTGATTGCCTTCCATGTTAAGCAGAATTCTTTATATTGCGAGGGGCAGAACACTAATACAAACTGGTTTAAGTTGGGGGGAAGGACAGAGGAGGCACAAGAGGAGTTACGAACAAAGTAGCTCAAACTGTCAGGGATTCTAGCTTCTAGACCCAGAGTCCCATATGTTACCATGGGATAAAACCTCCTCTCTTATCTGCATTATCAGGCAAGTACTTTTTTGTGCTAGCTAGATTGCTGACAGCTGCTCTTGGCTTAAAATCTTCATAGATTCTTCTTCTTCTTTGAACTTCCAACGGAAATCCTGAGCCTGAATCTCACTGGCCCAGTTGGGTCATGTGCTCACCCCTGAACTAATCAAGATGTGAAAGAAAATGAACGCACTGATTGGCTGAGACCAGGGTCACGGGACCTCCCTTGGCGCTGAGCTTCAGCCCCACCCAAGCCAAGTGGACTGACGCAGAGAAAGAGCATTTTCCCTTGGAAAATCAGACAGCTATTTCCAGGAATAGGACAGGATGCTGGACAGGCTAAATCATCATGTGACTGCTCCTGCCTCCTGTACATGTCCCTTTTCTCCTCCCTGCCTGTTCCATTCCCCTCCTTTTTCTCTTTTTTCCTCCTTTCTCCTCAGCAGCACATAAACCACTTTCTATCCCTTAAAAACCTGGCTTCTTCTTTCCTCATCTGAAACTCCCAATTCGTCTAAGAAAGCAGATGCTTCAGAGGCAAGCTGCCTCTGAGAGCAGTTTCGAGCCTGATTCTGTACGTGTGATCATTGCCCAGGGACAATTTGGTCCTGGCTGATCAGTCAGTGCCTTGCGCTTACGTTCCCAGTGTGGGAGGAAGGAACACAGAGTGACTTGATACTAACTGACGCTGGAAGGAAGAAGAGTGATGCTTCTTGTCTCCTTTCTTTGTCTATCTACTAGGCCAGAGGTCTAGAGTAGAAAGTTTAGAAGGGAAAATGGAGACTTATCTCTGAGTTGCAGCAAACAGAAAGAAATCTCATGCTAGAAAGATTAAAAAGTAGGGGGAAAAGCTTCCTGCAAACACTTTAGACATAATTGTATACGTGTGCACGCACACACACACATTCACTTGGCCCTGGAACAACACAGGTTTGAACTTTGCAGGTTATAGGAAGATTTTCTTCTGCCTTCTCCATCCCTCAGACAAGAATAACCCATCCTCTTCCTCCTCCTCCTCAGACTACTTAACTGTGAAGACAAGGAGAATGAAGACCTTTAGGATGATCCACTTCCACTTAATGAATAGTAAATATATGTTCTCTCCGTTATGATTTTCTAATATCAATTTTTCTCTAGCTTTCTTTATTGTAAGAATATAGTTTATAATACATATAACTATAAAATGTGTGGTAATCGACTGTTTCTGTTATCTATAAACTTTCCAGTCAACAATAGGCTATTGGTAGTTAAATTTTTGAGGAGTCAAAAGTTATAGGCAGTTTTTTTTACTGTCCAGGGGTCAGCACCCCTAACCCCTGCGATGTTCAAGGGTCAACTGTATATATTTTTTAAGGCGCTTTATTTAGATAAAATTCACTTATACAATTTACACATTTAAAGTATACAGTTCTGTTTTTTAAGCATCTTCACAGGGTTGTAAATAGCATCACTACAAATCTAATTTTAGAATATTTTCATCACCCGAAAAAGAAACTTCATACCTATTAGCAGTCACTCTCTTCCTCTTCCAAGCTCTTGACAAGTACTAATTTACTTTCCATCTTCATAGATTTGTGTGTTATGGACATTTCATGTAAGTGGAATTATACAATCTGTAGTCTTTTATGATTTGCTTCTTGCACTTAGCATAATGTTTTCAAGATTCATCCATGTTGTAGTATTGTATTAGTCCATTTTCATGCTGCTGATAAAGACATACCCCAGACTGAGCAATTTACAAAAGAAAGAGGTTTAATTGGACTTACAGTTCCAAGTGGCTAGGGAAGCCTCACAATCACGGTGAGAGACAAGGAAGAACAAGTCACATCTTATGTGGACGGTGGCAGGCAAAAAATGAGAGAGCTTGTGCAGGGAAACTCTGCCTTATAAAGCCATCAGATCTCGTGAGACATTTTCACTATCACAAGAAGAGTGCAGGAAATACCCGACCCCATAATTTAATCACTTCCCACTGGGTCCCTCCCACAATACATGGGAATTCAAGATGAAATTTGGGTAGGGACACAGCCAAACCATATCAAGTGTGTATCAATATGTCATTCATTTTTACTACCTAAGCCAAATAATCTTCCGTTGGATGGTTATGCCACAGCCAATAGACATTTGTATTGCTTCCACTCTTTTACTATTAGGAAGAAATGCCACTGTGACCATGGATGTACAAGTTTTTGTGTGTACATCTATTTTCACTTCTCTTGGGTATTTTTTTAGGAGTGGAATTGCTGGGTTGTATGGTAACTTTATGCTTAACGTTTGAGAAACTGCCCAACTGTTTTCCAAAGCAGCTACACCGTTTCACATTCCCATTATGTATGAATGAGGGTTCCATTTTCTCCATATCCCCATCAGTCCTAGTTATTATCTTTTTAATTATAGCCATTCTAGTGTATGGAAAGTGGTCTCTCTTGTGGTTTCCATTGGCATTCCCCTAGTGGCTATAATGATATTGAACGTTTATTAATGTGTTTATTGGCCTTTTGTATATCTTCTTTGGAGAAATGTCTTTTGCCAATTTTAAAAAAATAGCGTTGCTTGTCTTTTTATTATTGAGTTTTACATGTTCTCCGTATATTCTGGATACAAACATTTTTGACATAGGTACTTGGAATTTTATTAGGCCTTGACAGCTTCTGGGTTAATGAGAATATCCTTATTGAAGTCTGAGGGAAGACCAAAGGATAGGCTAAGCTACAAATTGACCATATGGACAGCAACTTGGTTGTGTCATTTAAAGATTTCTCTGAACTTGATTCTTTATTTTTCTGCAACTTTTAATTGTGAAAAAGTGTCAAAATTACTTAAATGAAACAACAGCACAAGAATACCCTTATACCCTTCCCCTTCATTCACTGATCATTAACATTTTGCTCTATTTGCTTTCTTGTTCTCTCTCTGTCCGTGTGTGTATACTCTTTTTCAGAGCTCAATCATTTATAAGTAATTTGCAGACATTTTGATTCATTAGCCTGAAGAATTTTAGGATGTATAAGCTATGAACCAGGATATTCTCCTATGTAACAACAATACCATTTTCACACCCAAGAAATATTACATTAATTCAATAATATCTAATATAGAGTCTATATTCAAATCTCCCCAGTAGTCCTCCAAATGTCCTTTCATGCCTTAAAAAAAAAAACCTCAGGATTCAATCAAGGTTTACATATTACGTTTAGTAGTCACGTTCTAATCTCTTATAAAGTAGAAAAATTTTCACTGTTTCTTTGTCTTTTGTGACATTGACACTTTTTAAAGAGTCCCGGCTAGTTACCTTATAGAATGATTTGCATTCTGGATTTGTCTGTTTCTTTATGACTCGAATCAGGATAAACATTTTTAGGCAAGAATGTTGCATGGGTGATGCTGTGTACTTCCCTTACATTGTCACTGGAAGTACATAATGTCTATTTGTCCTCTAATTGGTAATGCTTAGTTTGAACACTTGATTAAGGGGATGTCTGCCAGATCTCTCCATTGCAGAGGTAACTTTTATCAACTATAGTTAACAAGTAATCTGTGTGAAAAAAATATCTTGTTCTCTAAAAACTTTCCACCCAATTTTTGTAGGATCCGTTGGTAATTCTTGCTTAAATAAATTATTACAATGGGACTTGCAAAATGGTAATTTTCCAAAAATAATGAATACAAATTCATTCTATATTTCTTAACTGATATTTTTATGTCAAAAGGAGGGTCACCATTTATTTTCTCATATTTTTTGCCTCCCTATTTTTTTGCCTTTTTCTTCTTTTTTCTAATTATTATGCCTGTGGACTCAATAATTATTTTAGTCACTGTTGTTTCCTAATTTAAAAAAAAGGCAAGTTATTCACTCAGCGGGCCTTTTCTGAGTACCTTCTATGCACTAGGCATTTTGGTTTAAAAAATTAAATTACATTATCTTTAAGGTTTCTTTCAGGCCTAAGTTATTTTGTGATGCTATAACCAGTAATTCACATCATGGTATCTACCTTTTTCCATTTCATCTCTTTCTTCATATTGTGTGTTTAATTCCATTCAGAATTTTCTCTTAGCATTTTGTCAAATATTTTCATAGAGTTGTATGTGTTTTTTATTCAGGGATGCAAAAACAAGCAAAGAATTTTAGAATAATCCATATGTCTTAGTGTTCAAGGCCTACAGGAAGTCTAACTTTGTGAAGACCTCATGAAGTTTCCAATGTTATGCAAACTGGTGGTAGCTTACCTAATAGCAGCCAAGTCTCCTTGATAAAGTAAATTGCTTCTTAAGATCACAGGCATTATGTTAGATACTCTTTTAACTTGCATTATCTGGATAGTTGGCCACTCACCTGCCTCCCAAAATAAAAATAACACAATACTACAGGTGATTCTGTCTACCATTCTATGTGTAAGGTTTGTCTCTCGTTGGATGTGAGACAAAAGATGTGCATCTAGTCTTATGCAACCCACTTGCTTCTCAAAGTGATTTCATGTGTTTTCGATTCTGTCTGTCCTATGTAAGTAACAATAATGTAAAATTACACTCTGCATATGTACTCCTATATACATTTTATATTTTAGTCTATGTAATACTGTTATAATAATATATCCCTGTATGGAATCATCAATTTTATTGTACCCTATTAGAGATTCCAGAGATGGTGTAAGTTAATTTTAAGTCTACATTATTTTTGCTTTATATTCTGACTTCAGAACCTAATCCTTGACTAAGATATCTCTATTATGCTACACTTGCAAATCCATATCTATATAGTTCTGACATACATCTCTCTTTCTTTCAAACTGTTCCTTTCTTGTATGCTGATAAAAACCCACAAGCTTTGTTAATTAATCCCACTAGAGTCCTAGTCTATCAGTTACATCTGTGCCCTTCTGCTTCCCTCTCATCTCCACTCTTCCCCAGGAACTAGCAGACAGAATGAGAGTTATTAACCCTCAGATAGCCTAAGTGCCAATTTTCCTGCTGTCTTGAAAATAGCTCCTCGCCTGCCATAAATAATAGTGCACACCTGGTAAATACAGTCATGCTCATTTTATTCCTTTTGTGAACTGATATGCTGTCCTTGGAAAGGCTAGATTTAGAGCTTATATCATTTTGGATTCTTTGATTGCAAGCTACAAAACTGATTCTGCTAACTTCAGTAAAGAGGAAAGATATAGATTGCCTCACAGTTTCAAAGACAAAGCAGAAAAAGCAGACTTCAGAAGAACAGGGCCTGAGGATCAAGGAAGTACGAACTAATATTTGTTGGTGCAACTTCTTCTACCTGTGCCTCTGCCTAAAATTCTTAATCACACAAGAAAGAACTAAATGGGCTTCACTGGGACCATGTGCCTGGTAGCAAGGAAGGATGGAGGTCGACTGACATTCGCACCAAAACTGGGGAAGGAGCATGTTCCCAAGGGAAACTTTGGCTGCTCTTTCCAGAGAGGGAAAGGAGGTTGGACCGGCATAAGTAGTATTGCTCTTCACTTAGCACCACCTTGCATGTTTGTAAATTATTGTTTGTGATGCTCAATAATTTGGATAGCAAGGCAATTCTGCCATTTTCCCTCTACAGCTGCCCATCTTACAACAAGCCTCGTCTGGTAAACCATTTACCTACCTCCTTCCATTCACACTCCTGCACCCTGATTCGTCCCTTAGAAGAAACCCTGGTAGTCAATTATAGCTCTATAGGCCAGAAAAAAAAAAGTGTAAGGTAAGAGAAACACAAAGAACAAAGGAAAGGAAAATGACTGAGAATGGGTTAAAATGATTAATTTTCCTCTGGAAACTTTCACTTGTCAAATATTCATTCCTGAAGACCCACACCTTTCTCATTAGAAATTCACCAGCTTGGTCACTGCTGCCTAAAGCTGTGGCTATGTAAATGTCAGCTCTCTCACTGTCAAGTTGGTGGAATTTGCTGATGACACAAATCTGTGTTGGTTTGGGAGCAGGCAGGAATCTGAAAAGCTCCAGATGCATCACAGCAAACTGTGTGAGTCACTCAGACGGGTCAATGGAGAGTATGCTTGTTGGTGGCAGTGGGTAGGGAAAGAGGAATTAGTATATTTAGCACCAGAAGGAAAGAAGTCAAACTTGAGGGCAGCAGTGTTATTAAATGGCCTTCTACGAAATCATCTCAAGTTTTTTCTTGGATCTGTGTACTAAATTTGACACTTCCTATGTCAGAAAGAAAGAGAGAGAAAAAAGGAAAAAATAGAGCTGTGCATCTGTGAGCAAGGCTCTGAGTGAAAGTCCCACGCCCAGAAACTATTTTTATTGATAGAAATGTTGATAATAATAATGGTTAACCATTTATTGATTACTTGCTAGGTACTGGGCACTGTTATACAGCATATTACATATATCATTACTTTGCTCAGTAATTACATGAGGAGCAAGCTAATTGTCCAAAGTGCCACAGCTAGTTAAGTGGTAAGGAAAATGTAATAATAAAGACCTTAACACTTCTGCCACATCAGTAGCAGGTGCCTGATTTCTTAATGCCTCCTACTACATTAGTGGGATTCATTCTATTGGAACCTGGGAAGCCTGTGATGAAGACCCCCATATCAAAGCCCTACACCTAAGATTTAAGTATCTTTTAATATTTTCTTTTAACAAGTGTTCAGTTTGTTCACATTGAACAAACAGCTCATTTAAAGTGAGCCATTCCTCCATGCTGGAGAGATACTCTAATAGCCAGAGGGGGTCCCATTAGAAAAACCAGCATTTTTTTGAGGCAGGGTCTTGCTTTGTTGCCCAGGCTGGAGTGCAGTGGCACAGTCACGAATCACTGCAGCCTCAACCTCTCATGCTCAAGCAATTCTCCCGACTCAGCTCCCTAAGTAGCTAGGACAACAGGTGTGCACCACCGTACCCGGCTAATTTTTAATTTTTTTTTTTTTTTTGTAGAGACGGGGGTCTTACTGTATTGTTCAGACTGGTCTCAAGCCCCTAGACCCAAGCAATCCTCCTACCTTGGCCTCCCAAAGTGCTGAGATTAGAGGTGTGAGCCACCACACCTACACAAAACCAACTTTTTAATTCCAACTTTTATACCCACTGGCCAGAAGCTTTAAGATGTTTTTCCTACTTGGGGGCTTCTTTGAGCCTCTCACACCCTTATTTAACCTTTTGTAGGATGTGCATGGAATACTATGCAGCCATAAAAAGGAATGAGATCATGTCCTTTGCAGAAACATGGGTAGAGTTGGAAGCCATTATTCTCACCAATCTAACACCTGAACAGAAAAACAAACACCTCCTGTTCTCACTTATAAGTAGGAGCTGAATGATGAGAATACATGGACATATCGGAGGGAACAACACACACTGGGGCCAGTTGGGGAGGTGCTGGGGAAGGTAGAGTATCAGGATAATAGCTAATGGATGCTGGGCTTAATACCTAGGTGATTGGATAATCTGTGCAGCAAACCACCATGGCACATGTTTACCTGTGTAACAAACCTTGACATTTTGCACATATACCCCTGGACTTAAAAGGTCAAGAAAAAAAATTGTAGGGTGTGACAGATTATCTGTGTTGGTTCTCCCCTCCCCATTTATAACTGTAACTTGAGTTGGGTTTTATGTATTCTTTTAAGAGCAGGGCTAGGAAAAATAGGAGGTTATAATAAGAGGAGGAGGGATCTGGCATTTAATAGCAAGCATGCACTATTAAGCAACTAGGAAAACAAAACTGACAATTTTGGAGCACCTGCTTGATTCCAGAACATATTACCGTATTTAATTCTCACCAAAACCCATGAGTTCTGTGTGAATGCCCTATTTTATTTTACCACCCAATAAAGTAAGTATGGAAAGTTCTAGTGGTTTGCCCAAAGATACGTAGCTTACAGATGCTAAAGCCAGAATTTAAAACAGGTCTTACTGACTCCAAAATCCTTTCTGCTTTTGTTTTATCTTTCTGTCATCCTGTGGGTGTCACCTTTAAAATACATTCAGAATGTGACCACTTTAAGTTAGCCCTTCTGTTACCCACCTGATCTGAGTCACCATCGTTTCTTGTCTGAATTATTCCCACAACCCCATAACTGCTCTCTCAGCTTGCCTGTCTACAGTCTCATGTGAGCATGGTAGCCAGAGTGATGCTCCCAATTGTAATTCAGAATACAGTCACACAGAGGCTCCCAGTTTTCTCAGATTTAAAGCTGAAGTTCCTTACTTTGTCCTGCAAGGCCCTAGTAGGGCCTGTGTGATTCAGAACCCCAATGGATTCACAACCTCAGCAACATTGTCTCCTAGTGGCCACTGCCTCACTCACTCTGCCGCAGACGCCTGGCCTCCTTGCTGTTCCTCAAGCATGGTAGCTGAGTTCCCGCCTCAGGACTTTGCTCTCGCAGCTCCCTCTCCCTGGAATGCCCTTCTCCCAGACACCCATGTCACATATTTGCTTGTGTCCTTCAAGCCATTGCTCTCATGTCACTTTGAGAGTAGCCCTGCTTTTAAGTAAACACATAAAACCCAACTCAATGAGGTTGGTTGTGTCCAAACTATTTAAACTTGTAGCTATACAATAAATAGGCCTAGGCTAAGTGTGATACGGTAGGCAGAATGTTAAATGGTTTCCGTGACCTTCATTCCTGGTGTTAGTCCCATGATTGTGTTATGTTATGTGGCAAAAAGCACAAGGGAGATCTTCCAGGTTTGGCCTGATCCAATCATGAAAGCAAAGAGTAACCAGCAAAGAGATTTCTCTGCTTGGCAGGACATGGGGAAGTCAGAAAGTGACAAAGCACAGGAAGAAGTTGACATGCTCTTGCTGGCTTTGTAAATGGAGGGGCCACACACAGCAACCTGAGAGTGGCCTGTAGGGGCTGAGAGTGATCCCTGACTGACAATCAGCAAGAAAATGGGGACTTACTCCTGCAACTCCAAAGAAGTCAGTTCTGCCAACAGCCTCAAAACTTGGAAGCAGACTCTTCCCCAGAGCCTCTAGATAAGAAGCCAGTCTGCCAGTGCTTGGTTTGTCCTGTGAGACACTAAGCAGAGAGTCCAGCCAAGCCCCTTGGACTTCTGACCCACAGAACTTTGAGGCAATAAATGGGTATTGCCTTAAGCAACTAAATTTGTGATAATGTGTTATATAGCAATTAAAATCTAATAGAGATGGCAATTGTAATTCATCTCCCACGGCAGATTTGATCATTCTGGAGTGCCTACCCATAGAGCTGTGTTGAGAAGGATTCTGACTGCATGCAGGCTCTGTGATGGTTCAGCCACATCTGGAGCAACTTCATGTTTGCCACAACATATGCATGTTATTGTTAGTCTGGGCTGTTTCTACTGAGCTGGGATTGTGAGGTTAGGTGGAGTTAGATTAAGTTGTTAGGCTGGGGTCAGAAACGGACCATAGGATCATCAAAGAAAACCAGTCAGCAATATAAGCATAAATCAGGCCATGAAATTTTGCTTGTTTTGATCACTGCTTTATCATCAATGCCTAGAACAGTTCCTGGCATATAGTAGGTACAATGGTACAATAGAAGTTCTTGCTTTGAAGACCTAGATAACAAGGGATTGGAGTTAGAAGATGACCTAGCAGTTAATTGAGTGTGCTTTTGTACTACAGGACCCTGTGGTCAAATTCCATTTCAACCACGTAACAGTTTCCTCATCTCAGATAGAGACAAGAATGGTTTCTTTGCAGTGTGGTTGTGAGAATTAATTAAGGTACCATGCATGAGATGCCAAGCCCAGTGCCTGGCATGTGGTCAGCAATTCACCCAGTGTTAGCTGTTTTAAGGTGGTTATATCAGTCAGGGTTCTTAGCTGCAAGCAACAGTACAGTCACGAAGTCAGACTGATTTAAGCAGTAAGATAATTATTCAAAGGATATCGTGAAGCTCAGTGAATCTCTAGGAAGGCTGGGGAACCAGGCTCTGAGTGAAGACTGATATAAAAAAATCACTCTACTGAGTCAGACAGCCAGAATCATGCCCAAGAATGGGTCCACATGGACGCAGCTCCACTTTGCAATGGTGGAGGCTTCAGCTCACATACCTTGGTGTGCTGACCCGGACTCCGCCCTTTTGATCCTGGGAGCCCATGTGATGGTCAGTTAAAAGACCCACAGCATCACCCCCATCCCTGATCTCTTGTACTATTAGACCCAGATTCTAGACTCTGCAGATTCATGTGATTGTTCCTGCCAGTGCCCTAGCTACCAGGAGAGTTGGTAAGTGAGGTTTTGAGTTTTCACTTTCTCTGGTGTGAAACAGGCTCTGTTTTCCCCTCATAAAGCAGAATTCTTTAAACAAAAGGAGTTCAGATGCCAGACAGCACCCAACTCCTCCATGCCAAAAGAAAATCACCTACATTCATCAGTAGGTTGCTAATCCAGGGTCAGAAATACTCCCTTTTTAGAGGGCAGAGGAAGTTCTAGGGTTCAGTCTCAGGACTATTCTAGATAGGAGGGTCTTAAATACTCCGATATATGGGAGAGTGTCTTGTCTTCTATCTGATTCTGCTTTCAACTTGACTCCTTCTGATTGATCCTGCACAGGGGTCATGCATAATTAAAAGGTCACTTTAGCTTCAGAATGCAGTTAGTCCAGGGAGGTACCTGTAGGCTTGAGCTTTCTTTGAATCTGATAAGAGAACTCTTTGGCCTCATGCTCGTAGTAGGATCTGCAGAGGCCTGTGAAGTGTCCAATGATGAGTCATTCCATGGTTATACAGTCAAGCCCTGACTGTTGTTCTTTATCATGATTTTTATGCCTGAGAATACCTTCTAAAAATATCACATGATAATAGGTAACATATACGCCTGTAATCCCGACACTTTGAGAGGCCAAGGAGGGTAGATCGCTTGAGCCCAGGAGTTTGAGACCAGCCTGGGCAATATGGTGAAACCCCATTTTTACAAAAAATACAAAAATTAGCTGGGCATGGTAGCACACACTTGCAATCCCAGAGACTTGGGAGGCGGAGGTTGCAGTGAGCCAAAATTGCAGCACCGCCCTCCACCCTGGGCACCAGAGTGAGACTCTGTCTCAATAAAAAAAGAAAAGAAAAGAAAGAAAAGAAAATGATAATAGGTAACATTTATCTAATGCTTATTGTTTAGGGAAAAACTCTCTTAAACCAAGTTTTCCTCTACTCTCATACCACCACCACAAAAATCATCAACCCAGAAGACTTCTGTGACCAAATATGGGGCTGGTTTTCCCTAGACACCAAGCAGCAGACACCAGCTAGGTGTCCTTCCAGTTAATTCTGACACTGTCCACCTAGAGATAGTGTTGAGTCCCACAGGTTGGGGCTCAGTCCCCAAGACTGCCCCTCACTCCTAGACACCAGTTGCAAGCCTGGGCCTCTGGAACCTCTGACTGCCGGGCTTCAAGTTGGGGTTCTCACGACCCCCTCTTTGGGTTCATTTAATTTGCTGGAGCAGCTCACAGAACTTCAGGAAACAGTTATGTTTACCAGTTTATTATAAAGGATAAAACAAAGAATACAGATGGAGAGATGTATGGGGCGAGGTAAGGGGGAAGGGGTGTGGAGTTTCCATGCCCTCTCTGGGCACGCCACCCTTCAGGAACCTCCATGTGTTCAGCTATCCAGAAGCTCTCCAAACCCTGTCTTCTTGGGTTTTGATAGAGGCTTCATTACATAGGCATGATTGACAAGTGTGTAGAGATGTGATTGGTCAAAAAGCACATGATCTAAACCCAGCAAGGCCTGTTTGCTCAGACTTGTCTTGGCCACCTCTCTGTGTAGCATTCCTTCTTCTAGGGTATGGGGCAGGATGCTCTCTGGATTGTGAGTCTTTTCACTCACAATCAGAGTCCGGCCTTGGATAGGTGAAACGAGGACAAGAAAAGGCGAGAGAGAGAGATTCTGGTTCCTGAGGCCTGCTTCTGAGGCTTAAAGTGCTCCAACATTAAAACAAAAGACCAACAAGAGTCATGGGAGCTATAAGCTAGAAGCCATGGATGAAAACCAATATATATACATTGGTTTTATATAATATATATATTATATATATATATATATATATAATATATATATTATATATATATATATAATATATTTTTTTGTTTTGGAAAACATGTATGTTAACAAGTAATGAGTTTCTTATGTTTATATATTAAATAAATATATATATATATTTTTGAGATGGAGTCTCACTCTGTCACCCAGGCTGGAATACAGTGGTGTGATCTCAGCTCACTGCAACCTCCACCTCCCTGATTCAAGCGATTCTCCTGTTTCAGCCTTCTGAGTAGCTGGGACTAAGGTGTGTGCCACCATGCCTGGCTAATTTTTGTATTTTTTAGTAGAAATGGGGTTTCACCATATTGGCCTGGCTGGTCTCGAACTCCTGACCTTGTGATCCATCTACCTTGGCCTCCCAAAGTGCTGGGATTATAGGCCTGAGCCACCGCACCCAACCTAAATAAATATTTTTAAAATTAGAGTTTGAATAAAAGATTCAAAGGAAAATGAACATATGTTCTCAGTTCAAAAAGGCCTGGAGAAATATATATTTTATATATTTTAAAATATATATATTTTAAAATTTATATATAATATATATTTTATATATTTTAAAATATATATATTTTAAAATTTATATATAATATATATTTTATATATTTTAAAATTTATATATTATATATTTTATATATATAATATATTTTTAATATATTTTATATATTTTATATATTATATATTTTATATATTATATATATTATATATATTTTATATATATTATATTATATATATATTTTATATATATTATATTATATATATTTTATATATATTATATATATTTTATATATAATATATATAATATATTTTATATATATTATATTATATATTATATATATAATATATACTTATTTTATATATATTGTATGTATTTATAAAATATATTTTTTACATATTATATAAAATCATAATCACATACTTATTTTGTGGTCACAAGCTGAAAGTTATGTTTTAGCCCATCTCATTTAATCCTTAACTCTGTGAGGCTTGGTAAAATTTTCCCATTTTATAAATCAGGAAACTGAGGTTTAGGGAACAGGTCAACCAGGTTGTAGATGGTAGAACTTGAACTCAAACCAAAGCCTGTCTGATACCAAAGCTTGTGGTCTTAACCACAAATTTATATAAAACTGATAGACTGTGAGAAGTTAAATCATTAAGCGTGATGAAATGTCAATGTTGGATAAAAGTTCAGCATAAAGACTATAAAACATCCACAGAGATCCTTTTAGATTTGGGATGGGAATCCTGCAGTATTTGGATCTCCAGGTCCTCAAGGTTTTGCCTACAGATGAAGTTTCTTTAAAATAGTAGTAGCAGTATGAGAGAACATGTAATTTTTTTTCTGTAATCAAGATAATGAACTGAGATGCCGATATTTATTTCCATTAGCACAGTGATTACATATAATTAAAACTAAAGCATTATCAGAAAAGGTCAGATAACAAAAACTATAAGAAAGAAAAGATGAATTATCTTTTCACAGAAGAGACTTGGTACAGGCCCACTAAGTAGAAATGCCTGTATCTGTATTTCTTCTGATGCCAATCCTTAACATTTTGTTCTACTGTTTCCTTTTCCATTGCACTTCCTTTGTCACATACTGTCTACTTTTTTATTATTTACTGCCATCCCCTCCTTTTAAAATGTGAGCTTTCTCAGGGCAGAGGCCTTTGACTGATTGTACAATAGATCTCAAATGCCAAGAAAATCGTGCTGCACAGTAGGTATTCGATGAATATGTGTGAATTACTTGATGAATGTAATAAACAGTAGAAGTAGAATAAGGTGAGGGGAAATTCTCTATTCAATGGCATATATTTGCATGATTGTTTCTGTTATCTATTGTTGTGAAGCAAACCTCCTCAAAATGTAATAGCTTAGAACAACAACTGACCCATTGTTTACTCTCAGAAATTGGGGCAAGGCTCAGCTCCATGTGCTGTTGGTTGGGGAAGCTCCTCTGGTTCTGGAGAATCCAAGGTGCCTGAGTACTTTGACTGGGTTCCTGGTGCTGACTGGTGGCTGAGGTACTTTGGTTTTTCTCCACGTGGCCTCTCATCCTGTGAGGGCCTTTATCTGCATGTGGACTATCTCTCCAGCCAGCTAGGCTGGGCTTTTTTACATGGTGTATGGGTTCCCAGGGTGCAAGTAGAAGCTCCAAACCCTCTTAAGACCTCAACTCCCACATCCCAGAATGTCACTTTCAACACATTCTGTGGGTCAAAGCCAGTCCCAGAGCCAACCCAGATCTGAGGGCAGGGGAGATGGACTCTGCCTCTTAGTGGAAGGTTCAGCAACGTCACATTGCAGAAAGTGCCCCAGTGCAAGGGAAAAGGCAGAGGGGACTGTTGCTTTTCTTTTTCAGTTTACTTTTTCATTTTGGTAAAATGTGTGTAAAAAAAATTTACCATTGTACCATTTTTTGTTTGTTCATTTGTTTTGAGATAGGGTCTTGCTTTGTCGCCCAGACTGAAGTGCAGTGGCATGTTCACAGCTCACTGCAGCCTCGACCTCCCAGGCTCAGGTGATCTTCCAACCTCAGCCTCCCAAGTAGCTGGGACAATAGGCATGCACCACCATGCCCAGCTAATTTTAAAAATTATTTGTAGAGATGTAGTCTCCCTATGTTGCCCAGGCTGGTCTCAAACTCCTGGCCTCAAGGGATCCTCTCCCCTAAGTCGCTGATATGGTTTGGCTGTGTCCCCAACCCAAAATCTCATCTTGAGTTGAATTAATCCCCATGCATCAAGGGCAGAACCAGGTGGAGATAACTGAATCATGGAGGTGGTTTCCCTCATGCTGTTCTTGTGATAGTGAGTGAGTTCTTATGAGATCTGATGGTTTTTTGTAAGGGGCTTCCCTCTTCGATGGGCACTCATTCTCTCTCCTGCTGCTAAGTTTTCTGAAGCCTCTTCATTCATGTGGAACTGTGAGTCAATTAAACCTCTTTTCTTTATAAATTACCCAGTCTTGGGTATTTCTTCATAGCAGTGTGAGAACAGACTAGTACAGCCTCCCAAACTGGTGGGATTACAGGTGTGAGCCACCACACCCAGCCTAACAATTTTTAAGTGTACAGTTTGGTGGCATTAAGTGTATTTACATCATTGTACAACCATCACCACCCATCTCCAGACCTCGTTTCTTCTTCTGAAATTGAAACTCGATCCTTATTGAACAAGATCTCCCCATTCTCTTCCCCCATACACCTAGTCCCTGGCAACCATCATTCTACTTTCTGTCTCTATGAATTTGACTGCTATCAGTATAACCTATCTAGGCACCTTATCAAAGTGGAATCATGCAGTGTTGGTCTTTTTGTGACTGGATTATTTCACTTAGCATGTTTCCAAGTTTTATCCATGTTGTGGCATATGTTAGAATTTCCTTCCTTTTTAAGACTGAGTAATATTCCATTGTACGTATGTATAGATTACATTTTGTGTATCCATTCATCTGCCTGTGTACTCTTAGACAACTTTGTCCTTTGGCTATTATGAATAATGCTGCTATGATTGTGGGTATTCAAATAGCTCTTCATGTTCCTGCTTTCAACTCGATTGAGTATACCCAGAAGTGGAATTGCTGGATTACATGGTAATTCTATGTTTAATATTTTAAGGAACTGCCATACTGTTTTCCACAGCAGCTGCACCATTTTATAGAGAGGGAGCTCTTTTTAACAATCCATAATACTACAATATAGCCTGTGTTTACCACTTTTATGGGATTTTTTTTTCTTCCAAAACATATTCTAATGCACATTTTCTTTCTTTCCTTTCTTTTGAAAGGTTTCTTCCTGTTTCCATGTGCGTTTATTGTCCTGGAGAATTTAATTTGTGTCAGGTTTTTCATCATTGCTAGGGAAACTCCTCCCTATAGTGCAGAGAAAGTCAGTTACAAATTCAGCTAAATGGCAAGGGTCAGTAACCCGAGGTCTCTGCTCTGTGCCTCACTTCAACTCTGCTGCTCACACAGATTTCTAGGCTAGGGTGGCATCATTTTCCCTGAAAAGCTTTGGAGCATTGCCTCAGAAGACGGCTCTGAAATACCTTCAACTTCTCAGCATTTTGCCAGCCCTCTATGACTAATCTGAAAATGAATCTTTTGAGAGAAAGGAGGAGGAAAAAAGCAAAAAGCCACCCTCCCAAGACAAACAATGAGAAATTGTTAAAAATAATAGATGCTTTATTGTTTCTCTTTCTAAAGGCCATATTTTTGGCTGGCTTTAGCTATTATTTATTCCCATGGGGCACATTTCATTTTTCTCTGAAAGATTGTATAGTAAGGGGAAACAGCTTATAATTTGGGCTACAAATTGTGTGTGACATTTCCGTATCTTATTTGGTGCTTTTCTCTATTGTTATCTAAGAAGAGCGTTTTCTTTCACAGGCATTGTTTGAAGCAGGTAATGCCCCTCCCAAACAAGCATGCCCTTCCTGCTATAAAGAGATATAATATGGCTCATTTCTGTGTTTTTTTTTAAAGAATGGATTACTGGCCTTACCTCTCACATTTACAGTACTGTTTTGTACCCCACAGCATAACAGGAATAGTTATATGCTTCATGTCCCTATAGCCTCCAATATTGAGAGGAGATCTATAAAGGTGAGTATATTGGGATTTCTCCAGGCCTTTTTGAACTGAGAACATATGTCCATTTTCCTTTGAATCTTTTATTCAAACTCTAATTTTAAAAATATTTATTTAGGTTGGGTGCGGTGGCTCAGGCCTGTAATCCCAGCACTTTGGGAGGCCAAGGTAGACGGATCACGAGGTCAGGAGTTCGAGACCAGCCAGGCCAATATGGTGAAACCCCATTTCTACTAAAAAATACAAAAATTAGCCAGGCATGGTGGCACACACCTTAGTCCCAGCTACTCAGAAGGCTGAAACAGGAGAATCGCTTGAATCAGGGAGGTGGAGGTTGCAGTGAGCTGAGATCACACCACTGTATTCCAGCCTGGGTGACAGAGTGAGACTCCATCTCAAAAATATATGTATATATTTATTTAATATACAAACATAAGAAACTCATTACTTGTTAACATACGTGTTTTCCAAAACAAAAAAAAAATAGTGTGAACAATGACATTGTTTCTTTCTTTCTTTTCTTTCTTTCTTTCTTTCTTTTTTTCTTTCCTTCTTTTTTCTTTCTTTTTTATTTTCTTTCTTTCCTTCCTTTTTTTTTGAGATGGAGTCTCGCTCTGTCGCCCAGGCTAGAGTGCAATGGAGCAGTCTCAGCTCACTGCAACCTCTGCCTCCTGAGTAGCTGGGATTACAGGCACGCACCACCATGCCCAGCTAATTTTTGTATTTTTCTAGAGATGCGGTTTCACCATGTTGGCCAGGCTGGTCTCAAACTCCTGACCTCAAGTGATCCACCCACCTCGGCCTCCCAAAGTGCTGGGATTACAGACTGTTTCAAATACTGATGTCTAGCTTAATAAAAGACAGGCTAATCATATCTGCTTCTGCATTAAATTTGTTCTGATATCGCAAGTTTTAGCCTCTAGAAAACTCCACTGAACATTTATTAGAGAATGAGTGAAAATGGGCCAGGCATGGTGGCTCATGCCTGTAATCCCAGCACTTTGGGAGGCTGAGGTGGGGCGATCGGGAGGTCAAGAGATTGAGACCATCCTGGCCAACATGGTGAAACCCCGTCTCTACTAAAAATACAAAAATTAGCTGGGAGTGGTGGCGTGCGCCTGTAGTCCCAGCTACTTGGGAGGCTGAGGCAGGAGCATCGCTTGAACCCGGGAGGTGCAGGTTGCGGTAAGCTCAGATTGCGCCACTGTACTCCAGCCTAGGCAACAAGAGTGAATTTGGTCTCAAAAAAAAAAAAAAAAAAAAGAATGAGTGAAAATGACAAATACCATCTTGGTTTTATCATAAAAATATTTTTTACTTCATGCACCCCCTGGAGGGATTTTGGGGGTTCCTGGCAGGCTCCAGACCATACTTTGAGGGCCACTGTCTACTCTGTCCTGCTTTTCTAGTAAGAAGTTTATGATCTAGTTAGAGCAGAGAAGGGAAGGGGTATGAGGAGCTATTTTTAAGCCACCAAGTGAAATACGGAAATGGCTGGTACAGTCAAATTTCACCTACTGTTTTTAATTTAGTTTACCTAATTGGCCCAAGGGATAAATATTTTTATATCCATTTTATAGTTAAGAACAATGAGACTAAAAGGTTAAGCCTTGCTCAAAGACACCCAGTAGAGCTAAGATTTGAACCCATATCATCTGAGTCCACAGTTGCCTGCTCATCCCGCCATTTCCTAGTAAGTAGTTGGTGTACTACATCGTTATGTAGACCACTATGAGAGTGGGCCCTGTATTAATTGGGACTTTGGGTTGTAAGTGACAGCACTCCAATGTAAGCTTGTTTAAACCAAAGAAAAGGACATTTGCCAGCAAAAGCAAATGGTAGATTAGCTTCAGGCACAACTAGATCTATGGGCTCAACTAACTAATTCAGAGCTCAGATTTTCTCTCTTTATCCCTTGAGCTTGACTTCCCTTTCAGTTGGCATTATTCTCAGGCAGGATTTGATGCTAGCAATTCTAGGCTTTATCTAACCAGTTTGGGAACACCTGTGTCTGAGTTTGTTCTGCTACAACAAAATACCTGAGACTGGGTACTTTATAAAGAACAGAAATGTATATCTCACAGTCTGGGGCTGTGAGTTCAAGATCAAGGTGCCGGCAGGTTTAGTGTCTGGTGAAGGCTACTCTCTGCTTTCAAGATGGGATCATGTTGCTGCATCCTCCAGAGGGGAGGAAAGCTGTGTCCTCACATGATGGGATACAGAAGGACAAGAGAACTGAATGCTGTGTGAAGCTTCATTTAAAAAGGGTTTCATCTGATTCCTGAGAGAGGAGCCCTCCTGACCTAATTACCTCTTAAGCCCCCACCTCTTAATCTTATCACATTGGACATTAAGTTTGAACACCTGAATTTTGGAGTCATACCATAGCAGGCTGTAAAAAGAGAATCTGATGTTTCCAAATAGTCCTGGGGAAGACTCTCATTGGGCCACTTGGGGTGCAAGTCTGTCTTGGACCAGTTCCTGGACCAAAGAGGTAGATGGCTGCAACTAGCCAGATTTAGGGCCGGGGGCCAATTCTTGGAGCCTGAGGGAGTAGTAGGATCAAAGCCATCTACTCCTATGTTAGACACAATTATCTCATTTAAAAGTGGTAATGGGGGTAGTTCCCAGATGAAAACTAGGATGCTCATCACAGAAAAATAGAGCAGGGGATTTTCAGCAGGCAAAACCCCATAAATGTCCACAGTGGGTCTTATTTTTCTCATGCCTATTCTTTAAGCTCACAAAACGGAATTCGTTGTTGTTTTTTTGTCTTCTCATTTCTCATTCTACAGGGTTATTATATAGAATGCTGTGGTCATATCAGAATGTTCTTTGTTCCTCTGCTGTAAAGAAATTTACAGTTCTTTTTTTTTTTTTTTTTGAGACAGAGTTTTACTCTTGTTGTCCAGGCTGGACTGCAGCAGTGCAATCTTGGCTCACTGCAACCTCTGCCTCCCGGGTTCAAGTGATTCTCTTGCCTCTGCCTCCAGAGTAGCTGGGGTTACAGATGCCTGCCACCATGCCCAGCTAATTTTTTCTATTTTTTTAGTAGAGATGGGGTTTCATCATGTTGGCTAGGCTGGTCTCGAACTCCCAACCTCAGATGATCCACCCATCTCGGCCTCCCAAAGTGCTGGGATTACAGGTGTGAGCCACCATGCCGGGCCTATAGTATTCTTTTGAAGACAAATCAGACATGCACACAAAATGCTCTAAAAATAAGTACCAAGTGATTAGCATATGGAAATGAAATCATAGCTCAGGTTAAATGTCTGTGAGCCAAGGGATTGCGTAGAGAGTCACAACAGACAGAAATTAAGAACAGAGAAGCATCTCTATGTATAAATTACATGGTAACAGATACACTTTGGTCTGTCTTTTGCAAAATAGCATTCTGAAGTCTCTTTTACTCTTCCTGGGAGATAATGTGTTGAAGTTGATAGAATATGATTTGGCAGTCAGAAACTCAACAAAAGTGATCACTTCCTTTCTCTCACATCACCTAGTGCTGGTGTTGACTTTCTAGACAGAGTTTTCAGGTCCAAAGAGAACGTGAGAAGCAAGCCATTCCTGTTCTTTCCCTTTTTCTGCCCTCACACATGGAGTCTGTACCTATCTCAGCAACTGGTGTCCAGGTATCTATTCAGACATTGCCCGTTGATGAATAGGAAAAGGGAATAACTTGTGGTAGTGTTTGTTTTCACTGGAAAGAGGTATAATCCTGAAGAGTATATAGTTGATTGTGGCTGGAATCAGAGAACTCAGCAATGCTTACGCTGATAAACTGCCACAGGCTGAAATTTGTGATTAGATGCAGGTAAATTGCAAGAAAAGCAATATTAAAAGAAAACTCTTATTAATCCAAGATGCTATTTAACAATGTAGTATTTCTTTTTAAAGGCTATTTTAAAAATATTTCAAACATTTCATATGTTGTGACCTAGAAGTATTATTAACTGGTGGGATTCATTTGCTTTAAGGAGGGTAGGAAAAATATATAGCTTGTATTTATTGAAACCTGTTCAGCTGTTAACTGAGCTTCAGGAATTCAGATATCGTTACATTTACTTCAAGACTCAAAAACAGCTCATTCTGAATTAGTCTTTACTTAAAGATTTTGCTTTGAAATTTTCAGGGGTTGTTTTCTCCAAAGCTCGCTTTTCCAACCCAAACATGCACAGATCGAAATTTCTTGCTTAACAATTGTAATACTTGCTCCAGTGCAAACAAGAGAGGAAATTGGCATTTCTACAACCATTTGGAAGCTTTTATCTCCAGGTTTTTGGTCTGGTGCTTAACAACTGTGCCACATGCATTGGCCTGAGCTCCACTTTCACTCTGAGTCTTGAATGAGGTCAGCAAAAATAACTGAGTTAGATTTTTCATTCACAACTTGCCTCCTGATGGCACATGGTAGGAGCTTTTCTCTCCCAGCTTCTATCACCCACTGCCTCCCACTCCACCACCACCAATTTTAATAGAGTAAAAGTCTCCACACTGTAGCTGGTAGAACTCCACCTGATAAAATGGAGACCCATTTTCTAAATGCTTAGAAAGTGCTTTCAATGTCATTATATTAGTCAGCTTGGGCTGCCATAAGAAAATACTACAGAATTGGCGACTTCAACAACAGAGGTTTATTTTTTCACAGCTCTGAAGGCCAGAAGTCCAAGATCAAGGGGCCAGCAGCGGTGGTTTCCAGTGAGGGCTCTTTTCCTGGTTTGCAGTCACCTTCTTGCTGGGTCCTCCTCTGCCCATGCACACACACAGAGGGGGATCTTGGTTGTCTCCTTTTTATAAAGACACTAGTCCTATTGGATTAAGGCCTGACCCCTATGACCTCACTTAACCTTTACTACCTTCTTATAGGCCCTATCTCTAAATACAATTACATTAGGGGTTAGGGCTTCAACATATGAATTTGAAGGCAACACAGTTTAGTCCACAACAATTAGATATGTTTTTTCTTTCAATAAGGCTAAGATAAAAGTCTTTTCTGTGCTTCCAATACATGTGGTGTTCTTGTCTACCACGATCTCTGCTAGGAGAACTCAGCAAGCATGCTGTGGGTGGAAAAAGGATACAGTAAACTATTTCAGCTGGTGAGAATGACATGCAAGATTAAAAACATAAAAAAAAATGGAATATCATCTCTTCTTGTTCTCCTTCCCTGTAAATGTAGCCTGTTGTATTTGTAACTGCCTGTTTATTTCACAGCCCTCTTCTGATAGATGCCTATTATTAAAGTAGATTGGGCCCTGAAGTGGTAATAGCAGAGGCGACTTCCCAGGGTGAGGAGGTTTTCTTAGTGTGGAGATTAGCCTTGTGTTCAGCAATCTAGTCCTTATCTAGAAACTGGGAAGGAAAGGCCACAAGTAGGACTCTAGCTTGCTTCCAGCATTATTTTTACCATTGAGTTAAATGTGTCAAGGCATTTTCCTAGATAATTAATTGGCTTTGGCCTCTAATTCTATATATTCCTGTATATGCCTACTTGTTTATGCATTTGTAATAGAATGGTGTTAGGGACCTGCCGGAAGTTATCTCCTGTAGTTCTAGAATTTGGGCCAGGTCCCACAGTAGGAACAGGGGGCATGAGTATCCCATTCCAACTTCAGAATTTGGGACCATCCAGGGCTTACCAAAGTGTTCTATTTCAGGAGAATGGACCCTGCCATCCTCACCCCCAACCTAAGTTGATATAAGAGCCAAACTGGGGAAAGAGAAAGGTAGTCTTTTTAGAGAGAAGAGTATTTATCAAAAGCTCTTATCTCCCTTCCCCTCCCATAAGAGAGGTGAGTGGGATGCCCACTTGCTGTGAGCTGACCGAAGCCAATCTGATCCCATCCCTCTTAGATTCTTTTGGAAGCTGCTGAAGAAGTTAGAGTTGGTGAGTGTTCGCTGTTCTTCTTTAACCTTGCTCCAATTTTAATGAAAGCAGGCCTCAGACCAAATTCTCCCACACATACAGACATTTACTAAATGAATATTCATTAGCAGAGCAGGCTCAAAACAGCTCATAAGCCCACTCTGCAAGCCTGATGCCATCCCAGCTCACTGTCCCGTAGAGTAGTGATGCTCATCCCTGGCTGCACGCTGGAATCGTCAGGGGAGCTTTAAAAAGACACCGATACCGGTCCCACTTTGAGAGATTCCCACGTCACCTGTCTGGGTGAGGCCTGGCTGTTCATCTAAAAGCTCTGCATGCCATGCTCATATTCAGCCAAGGTTGAGAACTAGTGTTTCAGAGGCTGCAACCACACCCTGTAGGAAGGGTTCATTTAAGGCCAACCCAGCAACATCTCAGTCCTCTACTCAGGACTCTTCAGTCGGAGAACCTCCTGAACCAACTGGTTTTAGCTGGACATAGTGTTGGGGATTAAGTCATGGGTGTCATAATAAGGGGTGCAAGGTACTGGCTCATGTAGATTCTTATTTCCAGTTCATGCAAGGGTGGGAGGTGTCTCCAAACTATTTGAGCCCTTCACACATCCTAAATACCTTGCAATTCACCAGAGAGACCGTATCCCTAACATCCATCATGCTAATTAAGAAGTCAGTTTCACCAATAAGAACCTGTTTTAGCTTCCCTGATGCTAATTAAGAACAGCTGGTCATTGATGAAGCTAGGCTAAGGGAAGTGTGCATATGGTGGCTGTCCCTGGATTGTAGCCCTTACCAGTGGGATGCTAACTGACCTTGCCAGGTCTGTGTAACATGTTAGCTGACAACCCCTAAAATCAAGGCTAACCTAACTGACATATACATGATATCATAATGATTATGCAGATATATTTTTTAAGTAAATTACAGTGATAATAACACTGTATCTTCCCAGAGCCGAAGGAGGAGTGTTGTTTGTAATGAGGGTTCTTGGTAAAGTCTGCACATGTCCCAACTGTCAATCATTCCTCTCCACCCCCAGTCAAGTCAGGGCCTGAGGATTTCAACCTGATGGAACTATAGTTCCATGCAAAAAGATGTGGCAAAACAGCAGATGATAGCTGAACAGTGGATGGCCAGGCACAAATGGGGCCAAGGTGCCCTCTGGTTCTGGAGAGTATAGACATTGCCCCCTTCTGCCTACAGGCACTGGAGTTGGAAAACAGAGCATGTAGATGCGGTAGAGGCCATAGACTTGTTGGGGAATGCTGCATAGGGCAGGATGCACATGCATTAGAGGAACGGCCCGTGACCACCAGCTGGGCGTCAGCCGGGAAATGTGGCTGACATCTCTCAAGAGGACCACCAATGACTAGGGCAGCTGGGTGCCATCTATTCACACCAAATGCACAAAAAAGAATCATGTTAGGTATCCCTGTTTTAAGTGTAATTCGAATGTGGGTTAGCTTTTTCTATAATAATACAGCATAACAATCCACTCCTAAGTGACCTGTAATGGTGATCCTTTCTTCCTTTTCATGTCAGCTTCTCTAGGATGGATTGGCCGAGGGGCTCTGTCTTAAGGTGTGAATTGAGCTATTTTTGTTCATGTGGGTTGGCCTCTCATCTGCTCCTTTGTGTTTAATCTGGTACCCAGGCTGCAAGAACAGCAACTACCTGGGGAAATTTTTCCTCACGTCAGGGAATGAAGTAACAGAGAGCAACGTGCAATGCTGATGTGTGCTCTAGGACTCGGCTTCTATCAGGGCTACTAACATCCTGTTAGCCAAAATGAGTCACATGTCCAAGCCCAACATCAGTGAGGGAGAGGGTAATCTTCCTAAGGAGGTATCTTGCAGAGAGTGAACATTCTTTTTTTTTTAGACAGAATCTCGCTCTGTCACCCAGGCTGGAGTGCAGTGGTGTGATCTCCGCTCACTGCAACCTCTACCTCCTGGGTTCAAGTGATTCTCGGTCCTCAGCCTCCTGAGTAGCTGGGATTACAGGTGTGTGCCACCACACCCAGCTAATTTTTGTGTTTTTAGTAAAGATGGGGTTTTACCATGTTGGCTAGGCTGGTCTTGAACTCCTGGTCTCAAGTGATCCGACCATCTTGGCCTCCCAAACTGCTGGGATTACAGGCATGAGCCAACATGCCTGGCCGAGAATGTATATTGTTGATCAATCATCTAATCTGCCACAAAGGCCAAAAAAGAGGCACATCTTATCTTTCCTATCATCTTCCTTGTCCCTAGGATCAGAGCAGGAAGCAGGAATTTCAGGGGTATTCATGAAGGAAGACCAGATTCTACTCCAAGCTTTTGGGCCACTCATAATGGTGGGATGGAGGAAAGAACGTTGATCAAAGTACAAAATAGAAGTTTTACAAAGATCAGGGCTTAGCTTTGAAAAACCAGAATGAGCTACTTCCAATAGTTGGAAGTTACTGAAAAATTATAGACTTGAATTAAGATGTTTGTTGAGACAGCTGTCCACCCAACAGGACAGGGGAGTTTGACACAGCACAGTTGAATGCTGAGATTGGTGAAAATGATGTCATTCCATATTTATACCTCCATGTACCCAAGACCCCTTGGTAACCTGTTACATAGGTTTGCTTTGATGTCATTGAGGGAAATGTTTTTGTAGATCTTTGTCTGGTGGGTAGTTGTAAGTACATTTCACGTGAGTTGTGCCTGAGGAAATTCACTGAGTTGGCAAAACAAAAAGGATCAAAACTGGATGTCTCTATGAAGTCTTTCCCTTACTCTACTGTAAGAGGTAGCTTCTCCTCTTTGTGATTCTAGTTGCCAATCTGTTCATGATAGATAACGCTGCCTTTTCATAGAGTAATATTCCTCAAAGTATGTTTCACAGGCCTCCAGTTTTGAATCATGTTAAAAAAGGCTCTCTGGCAGAGAGGATTCTATGGTGAAATGAATTTGGGAAAGAAATATAATAGTTATCTTCACTGCAGGTCTTCTCAGAGCCTTTAATATGCTAATGCTCATTGTAGATATCTAACAAGGGAAATAGTTTGTACTGATTTTTAAAATATAATTTTTACTAGAAACATTTTTTTTTCTTCAAGGAATACCAAATCTGCAAATGATGATGCAGCACATGCTGCCCTAGGGAATATATGGGATAAATTGTATTAAATTACTTTGGGTTTTGGGCAAAAGTGCTAAATAAGTTCATGGGTATTTTTTCATTTTTACTGAAGACTTCTCTTTAATAAGATCTGTTTAAAACAGATCACCTCCACTAAAATCTACATCAACTGTGAGCCTGGCAATAAAATCAGTTTCCAACCGGAAAATCTGCCAGTGGTAGGATCTGGGAGAAAATGTTGAAAGAAATAAAATCAATGAAACAGTTAACACATATCATGGTTGATTTTTCTCATTTCCAGGCTAAAGAATCATAGTTTTTTCCTACTGTGTAGCTAAGTTTTGTTTCAGACTAACCATCTCTGTTGAGAAATTTGATGGAATTGTTTGATTCTTGGCTCCATTAACACAGTTTTCCTCTCTTCTCAGCTGCAACTCCATTGCCAATCCCTCAGTGACATTTCTGGGCATATTCATTTTCTCTCACTCCATTTTTCTTTGCCCACAGCCCCAATCAATCAACAGCCCTGGAAAAGTCCTGCCATCTGTTTTATGCTATTGATCCTGTGTTGCCATGTTTTCTAAGGGAAGACTCTCAGCCATGTGGACGACATTCCTACACATATGTGGTTTCCTATTTTAGCTGGTCCTCTCTTCTACTTGTCAGCTTTGCCATGCCGAGTCTTCAAATGGGTCCTTCTTTCCCACTCCATTCCTTCCCTCAGCATAAAAAATTAGAGGTACTCATGGGTGATATCCTCAGCTTCATTCTCTTTCAATTCTAGACATACCTGCTTCATCGTTTCCCCCCCTTGCTTCTTTCTCATAAGGGCAGAGAAAGCCTGAAAACAACCCCCCATAATAAAAAAAATAGCTAATTGATTTAATATCCACAACTCCTTAAAGTAGGTACTATCATTATGTCTACTTTACAGATGAGGAAACTGAGGCACAAAGTAGTTAAATAATTTGCAAAGGTCACACAGTTAACCACACAGTGGTTAAATAATTTACAAAGGTCACACAGCCGGGATTTAATCCAGTAGTCTGGCTGCAGGATCCAGGCAATGTTTGTTTTTTTTTTTTCCCTCATTTCTACCAGCTTTTTTTTTTTTTTTTCAAACAGCTTTGTTGAGCTTTGATTCACATGGCATAAAATTCTCCCTTTTAAAATGTACAATTTAGTGGATTCTAGTATATTCACAGAGTTGTGCAACCAACACCAGTATCCAATTCCAAAATATTTTCATCACCTCAGAAGAAACTTTGTGTCTAATAACAGTCATTCCCCCATTGTCCCATGCTAACCACTAACCCACTTCCTGACTCTGGATTTGCCTATTCTGGGCATTTCATATAAATGGAATGATACAACATGTGTCTCTTTGTGGCTGCCTTCTTTTCCTTAACATAATGTTTTAGAGGATCATCCATGTTGTAGCAGGTATCAGTATTTCATTTCTTTTTATTGCTGAAAAATATTCTCTTGTATGGATATACAACATTTTGTTTATCCATTTATCAGCTGATGGACATTAGGATTGCTTTTACCTTTTGGCTGTTGTAAAGATGCTGCTGTTAATATCATGTCCAAGTTTTTGTGTATATGTATATTTTCATTTCTCTTGGGTATATGCTTAGGAATGAAATTGCTGGGTCACATGGTAACTACAGATTTAACATTTTGAGGACCTGTCAAATGGTTTCCAAAGCAGTTGTACCATTTTACAATTCCACCAAGAATGTCTGAGGGTTCACATTTTTCCATATCCTTAACAACACTTGTCTTTTCATTATTGCATGCCAGTATGTATAAAGTGGTATCTCATGGTTTTTATTTATGCTTCCTTAATGACTAATGATGTTTTACATCTTTTCATATGTTTATTGGCCAATTGTATATCTCGTTTGCAGAAATACTCATTAAAATCTTTGCCTTTTTTTGTTTTTTTGAGATGGAGTCCCGCTCTGTCTGTCGCCCAGGCTAGAGTGCAGTGGCGCAATCTTGGTTCACTGCAACCTCTGCCTCCTGGGTTCAAGAGATTCTCCTGCCTCAGCCTCCTGAGTAGGTGGGACTACAGGCACATGCCACCACCCCTGGCTAATTTTTTATATATTTAGTAGACACAGGGTTTCACCATGTTAGCCAGGATGGTCTCGATCTCCTGACCTCATGATCTGCCCACGTTGGCCTCCCAAAGTGTGGGATTAAAGGTGTGAGCCACCACGCCTGGCCGTCTGTTGCCATTTTTAATTGGATTATTTTTCTTTTTGTTGTTTAGTTGTAAGAGTTCTTTTTATATTCTAGATACAAGTCTCTTATCGAATATATGATTTACCAATATTTTTCTCCTCTTCTTTGGTTGTTTTTTTTACTTTCTTGAAACACAAAAGTTTTTTAACTTTGATGAAGTCCAATTTGTCTATTTTTTCTTTTGTTTATGATTTTGATTTTATATCTAAGAAACTGTTGTCTAATGTGAGGTCATGAAGACTCACTCCTATGTTTTCTTCTAAGAGTTTTATAGTTTCAGCTCTTACATTTAGGTCTCTAATTCATTTTGAGTTAATTTTTTATGTAGTATAAGGAAAGAACTCAATTTCATTCTTTTGCATGTGAATTTCAGTACATCTTATAGGGCATATCTGCTAGCAATAAATTATCTCAATATTGGTTTATCTGGGGATGTCCTAATTTCTTCTTTGTTTGTAAGGATAGTTTTGCTGGATTCTTGGTTGACAGTCTATTCCTTCAGCACTTTGAAAATGCCATCCCACTACTTTCTGGCCTTCATGATATAAGATAAGAAATAAACTCTTCATATTATAGAGGATCCCTTGCACATGATGAGTCACTTTTTTCTTGCTGCTTTCACATTTCCGTCCTTGTCTTTGCCTTTTGACAGTTTATGGTGTGCCTAGAAGTAGATATTTTTTAATCTATTCCATTTGGGTTTTGTTGAGCTACTTGGATGTGTAGATTAATTAATATTCCTCATTAAATTTGGGAAGTTCTTGGCCATTACTTCTTCATGTATTCTTTCTGCTCCTTTCTTTCTCACCTCTCCTTCTGGGATTCCCCTTATGTATGTGCTGATATACTGAATAGTGTCCTGCATGTCTCTGAGGCTTTGTTCATTTTTCTATATTTTTTTCTTCTTCTTGTTCCTCAGACTAGATCATCTCAATTGGTCTGTCTCCGGCTTGCCAGCTCAAATTTGTTCTTCAACCCTCTGGTATCATTTTTCTTTCTGTTATTATGCTTTCAGCTTAAGAGTTTTAATTTATTTGGGGTTTTTTGCTTGTTTGTTTTGTTTTTTACACTTTTTATCTTTTCATTTATATTCTGCATCTATTTCATTGTTCATGAAAACAATGAGTTCATGAGAACTTTCCTTTAGTTCTTTAGATGTCGTTTTCTTTAGTTCTTTGAACATATTTATAGTAGTTGATTTACAGTCTTTGTCCTGTACATGTGGCCAACAATCATATGAAAAAAAAAACACAAACATCACTTATCATTAGAGAAATGCAAATCAAAACCACGGTGAGATACCCTCTAACACCAGTCAGAATGGCTAATACTGAAAGGTCAAAAAATAATGTATGCTGGCAAGGTTCTTGTGAAAAAGAAACACTTACACACTGTTGGTGGGAGTGTAAATTAGTTCAACCATTTGGAAGACAATGTAGCAATTCCTCAAAAACCTAAAGACAGACATATCATTGGACCCAGGAATCCCATTACTGGGTATATATTCAAAGGAATATAAATCATTCTATCATAAAGACACATGCATATGTATGTTCATTGCAGCACTATTCATAATAGCAAAGGCATGGAACCAACCTAAATGCCCATCAGTGATAGACTAGATAAAGAAAATGTGGTACATATATACTATGGAATACTGAGCAGCCATTAAAAAGGAATGAGATCATGTACTTTGCAGGGATGTGGATGGAGCTGGAGGCCATTATCCTCAGCAAACTAGCGTAGGAACAGAAAACCAAATACCACATGTTCCCATTTATCAGTGGAAACTAAATGATGAGAACACATGGACACATATAAGGGAATGACACACACTGGGGCCTACCTGAGGGTAAAGGGTGGGAGGAGGGAGAGGATAAGGAAGAATAACTAATGGATACTAGGCTTAGTACCTGGGTGACAAAATAATCTGTACAGCAAACCTCCATAACACAAATTTACCAATGTAACAAACCTACACATGTAGCCCTGAATTTAAAAGTTAAAAAAATTAAAATAAAGACTTGGTCTTATAAATCCAACATTTGTGCTTCCTCAGGTATGCTTTATGTTGAATGCTTTTTTTCCTTGTGTATTGGCCATACTTTTCTATTTGTTTTCCTGTCTCATTATTTGGAATGAAATCTAGATGTTGGAAAAAGTATAATATTACAGCCCTGGAAACCATATCTACTCCGCACCCAAGGGTTTGTTATGCTTTTGTTGTCTGTTTGTTTAGTGACTTTCTTGGATGAATTCTATTATGTGTGTATTCTTTGTCATATATGTCCATTGAGGTCTCTGATCATTTGCCTTAGTGGTCAGCTAATAATTGGACAGATATAGTCTTAAATATATAAGACAAGTGAGTCTTCCTTTTGCCAGTGGGCTGTGTGTGTGTGTATGTGTGTGTGTGTGTTGGTGTACATCTTCAGTACTCAGCTCAGGCAGTTTACACTCTGCATTGGCTTTCACTTCCTGCTTGTGCAGGTCAGATAGAAGTGAGTGATTTGAACCTTAAGTCTTTCGACAGGCATGTGCACAGTCTTTTGCATACTCTTGACTTTCTAAGTCCCCAGGAGTATATTGGAACTTTACAAAGCTCTCTATACTCATCTCATTCTCTAGACTTTTAAGTTCTTTTTTTTTTTTTAATTTGGCCAGCCTGGTGTTTTCCCCCAAATGGTATTGTTGCCTCAGGTACCTGCAATGATAAACAACTGCCGCTAATTGTTTTCAACAAACACCTGGGAATAGAGCTGTTCCTCCTGAGCTGCTCTGATTCAGGTCAACTGAAGTAAGCCCTGCTCATGGGGCAGTTCCAGGGAACTGCCAAACTAGTCTAATAGTGACAATTATCTGGGGATGGGACTCTCTGGGTGCTCTAAGCCCATTCTGTCCCCTTCCAGGGGTTGCTAGACTACTGTTTTTTTTCCTTTTCTTTTCCATTCCTTGTTTTTACAGCTACCATTCTTGCCAGACTGCTGGTTTTCAGGGCTGTTGCAGAGCTGAGGAGAGGAGGATGAAAATAGTGCAAGTTAAAATGCCACAAAGCTTGCTATTCTTGCTGAGATTCAGCTGTTTTTCTCAAATAAATGATCCTCTGCTTGTTGCAAGCCTTTAATTTCCCAAGTTCTGAAAAAGTTAATTTTGACAATTTTGCCAGTGTTCCTGTTGCTTTTATAGGGGAATGCATTTTGGGAGGTATTCACTCTGTCATTCTGGAATTGCTTCCTCAGGCAATCCAATTTTAAGTTATGAGCACAGATTTTAGTAAATCCTTAATAAGTACTCTGAAGACCTAGTTTTGAATGAAGGCAGAAGGCTATAGGATTGTAAGTAATTTGTGTAAAAGAACTCAAGAAATGTTTTAATATTTTCCCTAATGGTTCAAGATCATCAAGAGGACATTTATAGCCAGTATGTGCTTACCACTTCAAGTAACATTTTTCTGTGAGTTAATTTTTCATGAATGTATAGTGTTCCTTTTGTCTGGAAAAATCTTGATTTATTGTTGATGAACATTAAGGTTATTTTCCCCCCAAGCTTTCACTGCTTCCAATAGTGGTCCAGGACTTATTACTGGACACAGTTCTCTGTGTATATAAGCCAATTGGGCCATTAAATCTATTGAAGTATACTTACTAGCTCAAAAGGTATATGTTGATAGCTAGCATAGTGTATTTATCTTTTAATCTTGAGAGCTTATATATTCTTTCTCATACTAGTGTTGGAAGTATTTTTCTTTATGGTTCATTCTTTGTCCTTCTTTATTTTAAAAGGGCCTAAATATGTATAGAGTGTCTGAATATTTGGGAAACAAGATAAACTAATTTTAAAACTGTGTGTTAATTATATTTTAAAATATGTTTTTCTGTACCTTCCTGACATCTTTTTAGATGAAGTAACCCTAAATTGAAAGCAGTGAGGCCAATTGTTGATCTGAAAAGAGGATGATGAATATGCTATCCCCCCACCACCCTGCTGAAGTGTGTAAACTTTTTGGATAGCCTGTGGACTAGAAAGCAGTTTTATGTCATTTGACACATAACATCTATACCAGGTATCAACTTGAATGGCAAAGCCTTTCTTTGCATTTGAAAGCCTAGTTTTTCAGCTGCTCCTTTTGAAAATTTTTCTCTTTCCAATGAGTTGTAGCAGGATGACTCACCTTTCTGGGTTTGCTAGCCAAAGGACTTGGCATCCTAAACTATAGCATGCATGCTCCTTAGTTGGGTAAGATCAGAGCGTGATGGAAGTCATGCTGTACAAGGAGAATCTGAGTGCTCGTAGTGCTTTTTTAAAAAGAAGTGTTTTGAGGCCGGGCATGGTGGCTCATGCCTGTAATCCCACCACTTTGGGAGGCTGAGGCGGGTGGATCACGAGGTCAGGAGATAGAGACCATCCTGGCTAAGACGGTGAAACCCTGTCTCTACTGAAAATGCAAAAAATTAGCCGGGCCTGGTGGCAGGTGCCTGTAGTCCCAGCTACTCAGGAGGCTGAAGCAGGAGAATGGTGTATTCCTGGGAGGAGGAGCGTGCAGTGAGCCTAGATCAGGCCACTGCACTCCAGCCTGGGCAACAGAGTGAGACTCCATCTCAAAAACAAACAAACAAAAAAGAAGTATTTGGAGTTGTGATCTACTCTTTCTCATTACATAAAGGGAGAATAAAAATGACCTCTTGTCAGCAACCTTAATCCCCGTTACCCTAATGTTTATCTCGCCATCTTTTGATATTTTATTACTTATCCTACCTTCTGAGGAGTAAAGTAGTAAAATGTGTTTTAGAAGGACCCCGTTGAGGTATTAATTGCCTCATTAGGAGAAAGCTGGTTCTTATACCAGTAACTTCTGGCACCAGGATTCACGAAATAAAAGTGTCCATTTGCTAATTTCCAGTTCAGCTATAGGCTAAATCCCATTACAACAAATCCTAACACAATAGAATCTTTACATGACAACAGGGTTTCCAAATCTCAGCCAAACAATGGTCTGCTCATTGCAGGCAACAATATCTTATGCCTAGATATGCATCAGAAGTTTTTCATAATGGAATTTGACCTGCAGTTATATTTGGAATCAGAAATTATGCTTTGAGAATGGTGATTCTGCACATGAATGCAAGGAGTAAAAGGACTTGAGTTTCTCTGAAATATGCTTTCAGTGAACCGGAGGAGCCCTATAATAACATGGTGAATCCTTGTAAGTATATAAGAGATTAGTAAAAGCCACTCATCAAAATGTGATCAATGGCTCAGGCTCCTATAATAAATGGTAGCTGCCAATCTCTTCTCCTGGCACCAAAGTTGCATTTTGGAAATATCTGTTGAATGAAGAAGAGACTAAAAACAACTTTGACTTGCGTTTCCATAGTTTCTGAATGGAAAAGTTCCACAGAATAGATTTGACTTTCCAAGGAGGCTGGATTTTAATCAGCATTGCAAACAAGCCCAATCTTTTATTAGTCTACTGTCAAAGGTTCTGAGAGTCCCTTATCACCCTCCACTCTGCTCCAGAGGTGCACAGCTGATGGAGCAGGACTATTGTCATGAACTCAGGAGTTGGTTCTATGGAACTTGATCAAGGGACCATTTGTAAAGCTGCTTTCAGCCCTATAAGGACCTTAGGGATGACATGGGAGTCTGTAGAATGTGAAAATGGATCTCCTCCCACAGGACTTGGAAGAAATCAGTTGTGTCTGCTGTTATCACCTGTGCTGAGATCAGAAAAAAATGAACCCATTACCTTACCCATCATGTGTAAATAAAAATATTACTAGTAATAATAACAATAATAATAGCAGCAAATTCTTATATAGCACTTTTCATGTCCCAAGCATGGAATGAAGACTTTATACATTTTCAGGTACTTTATAGACCGGGATGCCATGAGAGTAGTTACTGTTTTTCTCATTTTACAAGTGAGGAAACTGAGGGACAGGGAGGGTAAGTGTTCTATCCAAGGTCTCGCAGCTATTAAGTACCAGAGCTGGAATTGAACCCAAGCAGTTTGATTCCAGAATTCATATACTGAGCCATTTTCCTTCAGGGCACCTCATTGGCAAAACCTCTATATTGTGAGAGGGTGTCTCTCGGTTAAGTTACTGATTATGCATGTGTAGTCAATAAATATTCATTGAGTACTCACCAGGGCCCAGGCACTGAAATTACAGTAGTGAAGAAAAGTAGACAGGGTGGCTTCCCTCTTTTATGATAAATGGTCATGTTGAGGAAGGCTAGGAAAGAATGAAACTTGGTTCCACGGGGACCTTGAACAAAGGAACCTGCTTTAGACCAGGAAGAAGCAACACCTGTGCTGAGGTCCATAGGCAGGACAGGGAAATGGAGGGAAAATGGCTTTCCACAGATGTGGAACGGCATATGCAAAGGCCAAAGGGCAGTGGCATCTGGACCTTTCAAGGAACTGTAGCACAGGTAGTGAGAGGATGAGGCTGCAGAGATTGGCAGACCATTGAGGGCTCCATAGGTCATGTCGAGAAGTCTTGTCTGACGAGCAGTGGAAAACCAGTGGAAAGCCTTAAGGAGGATAGTAGAATGAATAGATTGGGCTTTGAAAACTCTCTTGTATCTCAGCAGAATGGATGGGTCACCAGGGAGGGTACCGGGAAATCAGTTAGGAGGCTCCTCTGCTAGACCAGACGAAAGACGAAGGCGGCTGGCACTAGAACGGTGGCAGTGATGATGCACAGGATAGAGCTGAGAGCTATTCTGGGGATAAAGTACGAAGGAGTACTGTGTGCCATCTCCTTTGTTAGGTGGTAAAGAAACAATGACATAGACAGTTATCCTGTCCTCAAAGGTTTTATAGCAGTGATTCCAACCAGGGGCAATTTTGCCTCCACCGTGCCCACCCCCTACCCCACACCGGGGACATTTGGCAAATGTCTGGAGATACATTTGCTTGTTACAACTAGAGGGTGGTGGGGTGGACAGAGGGTTTCTGCTGGCATCTACTGGGTAGAGGCCAGGGAGGCTGCTAAACATCCTGTAACGCATAAGAGAGCCCCCTTCAACAAAGCATGTCCTGGCCCCAAAGGTTCATAGTGCACAGGCGGAGGTGCCATAGTTTATCCATTGGATAGCAAGGCAGAGGAGTAGACAGTGCAGTGTAGAGGGCATGCTGAGGTCAAGTGGCTTCTGGGAGCACGGGGCACTTAACCCTGCCTGGGTTGGGGCAGAAGGGGAGACTGGAGGCTTCTGCTCTTAGCATAGGTTTGAGAGGGCACTGCAAAACTACTGAACAATACTTGAGTTCTGTTTAATGCAGATTAAGTTAGGTTCTGAGGTCTAAGGGTTCAAATCCATGCACTGTCTCCACTAGCTCTGTGATCTTTGATCTCACTGTGCCTCGGTTTCTTCCTCTCTATATTGGTTCTCCTTCATAACACATGTAGAAATGTGGGGAGATGAACGTAGATACTCCTCATGAAGGCTTGAGCACATGGCACCTTGCATATGGTAATCACTCAATGAATGCCCATGATAAACACCATTTTCCTCAGTTGCCTGGTTTACCTCATTTTTATTTTCTCCAAATTCTCCTGAATAAGTGGAGGACATGAAACTGCTTGGCTACAGCACCTTCACAAAACCAGTTCTTAAACCTCTTTTGCCGAGTTCCCTGCCAACTGCGAGAAGCCCCTTTCCTGCTCATACCAGGAAAAGTGAAAGAGAAGAAAAAGTGCAATTCCTGTTGATTTAATTCCTGTATTCAGATTTTTTATGGGAACATCTGATGGAAAAGTTGAGACTTTGCAATGGGATGCATGGCCTTTACTCAGAGTTGAGCAATAAATGTGCTCCCTAATGCGAGAGTGGGCTAATCTGTGGAGCAAAATAGTCCAGTTACAGAATGGCTGTCCAGCATATTTAATCATCGTGTAGGAATTGGCTCAGAAGTTCTTGAGAATTTGAGGCATCCCAGTCTGTTAATGTGCTAAAGCCAGTTGCATTTATGCAATCGTGTTTACTGAAAAACAAGGCCAATTCTTTATAACTCCCCAAAGATCTTACTGCATTTAAATCTTTTACATTTGATTTATTTATACAAAAGGGATTTTTCTTTTCTTTTTTTTGGGGGGGTGGGGGGTGAATTTCCACTGTCCCCTTCAATATTGGGCCCACCATTTGAAAATGATGTTAAGACTGAGACGTAATCTTCTGACCTCAAGAAAAAAAAAATGTTGGACGAGGTTGGCAAACGGTATTACTGTGAATCTGCTGCTTGCTACCAGTGAAAGAGGAGTTGGCTGGGCTTGCCTTCCAAGGTGGAGAAGGTATTCAGTTTTCTTCTAGCAAATCAGAAAACATATCCATCTCAGTGGTGTAGCTACTGTACACTAGATCATGGGTTGGCAAACTGTGGCCCATGGGCCAAATCTGGCCCTCAGCCTATTATTGTAAAAATGAGTCTCTGAAACACAGCCATGCTTAGTCATTTGTGTGTCATCCATGCCTGCTTCCGTGGCAAAGTTGAGTGGTTGCAACAGAGACCACACGGCCCTAAAAGCCCAACATGCTTTTCCTTTTTGGCCTTGCAGAAAAAGTTTGCCAATCCCTGCTCCAGAAGACTGCTTCTCATACTCTAACGTGCCCAAGAATCACCTGCAGACCCTCATTCAGTAGGGCTGAGGATCTGCATTTCTAAATGCTCCCAGGCAGTGCCAATTCTGATGGTTCCCTGGACCACACTTTGAGTAGCAAGATTCTAGAAATTCACTAGGTCGATGGGATATTTTTCTTACAGGAGGCAAATGGGTGGTGGTTGAGAGCACTGGGTTCAAGTCCCATTCCTGTCATCGTGGCAGGTTACCTAACGTCCCTAAGCTTTGCATTGCTGCTGTATAAAACAAAGAGGTGCTGTCTACAAAGTGCTTAGCACAGGGCGTGGCCTGCAGCATGGATTTCGTACTTGTTGGCAGCTGATAGACTGGGCCTACCCTGAGACATGTTACATTACCACATATTAATCAGCCCCAATCCCTACTGTGGCCTTCACACCAGCCCTTGGAGGCTACCTTACAAGCAGAGGTTTTTATGAGTTTTCTGAGCCCCTGGAGGGCAGTTTTTCTTTAAAGGAAAGATTATTTACAGGTGGCTTTGGTTTTAAAAATTAACATTCAATTAATTAACCAATTCTTCCTAAAGTTCAACATTCAGTCTTACTATTCTATCACATTTATAAATCTTCAGTCTGCGTTTACAAACATAAGTAACTCTTTATATTTTGAGATGCATTCATAAACACAAAGCAATTGGTTTCTTTTTAAATCATCTGGCTTGGCTTCTTCCTTCCCCAAGGAAAACATCTTTTCCTGTCTCTTTTAATAATTATTATAATTCTCATAAATCAAACTTATAAATGTGGTGAACATTGACCTAAATATCCTAAAACTATATGTAAATTTCATGAGATTTTTTTTAGTTTCAAATAAGCCTGTACTCCTTACTCAAGTAAACTGGAATAACAAGATGTTTTAAATTGAAATAACAAAAACAACCGGTAATTTGGATGGGCCAAATTCTCTTAAATGTTAAAGTGATTAAGTGCAAAATATTTATAGATTTCATAACACAAACAATATAAAGTTTTGTAATAGGCTTCCCTTAGACATGTCTGTACCTCATTGTAAATCTTTCTGAGGTCAAAAGGTGCTTATTCACTAAGGAAACACTTGTCTTCTAAGGATACCTCGTCAGCTGGTTGAGATTGCACGATGATTGAAAACTTCAGGTGCAACGCAAACTGGATTCTTGTCCTTAATGCTGTTGGGATACCCTGAGTCCTATTTATATTTACTATGTCGTTGACTTCATAAATTAATAAAGTGAGTGGTCAGATAGATAGCCTGTGACCCTTAGATTTAAGCTAGATGTTATAGAAGTCTGGAGCACTCCAGGCTACTCTGTATTTCCTGCATGGGGTTTGCATTTCTTTGTCTCTTAAAGTATCTAAATGTCATGCCAGCTAACTTTAATGACCTTTGAGATTGTTGGAAAATGGCACCTTTTCAAAAACTTTCTCTCTTAGGGCCACACATTTTCTAGATATTATTTCTAGATATTAAAGTGAGAGCCTGTTTAACTTTGGATATCTTGACTCACATGTTGTCACAGCTTCTAAGATTTTTTCTGCCAGTGGGGTTGATTCCCAGTGGGGTTGTTAAACTCCTGTGGTGTTGAAGGCTATCACAACAGTTCAATATTATTCATGTGGTGTCTTTGTCTAACCTAATTATATAGTGGAAAAGTATTCTAGTTACAGTTGTTTGAAACTGTCTAGATTGTGCTATCTAATTCTTTCATTTTAAAGAAGACAAAAGACAGATGTTCACTGTTCAAGTTCAAAGTCAGGCGGAAAAGACCTAAGATATGCCCAGGTTTGTGTTAGATGAAGTGGTTGAGTCTTGGCTTGGGAGACCAATGCTATCCACAACCTCCTCTTTTCATATCCTAATTTTCTATAGACAGTTGTCATAATTTCTATGACAGCAATGATGCAAGACAGTTATTTAAATTTTTGCCTATGTTTTATTATTTGGAAATGTGAGCGTGTCTTAGATTATATTGCCATAATTCATTTGAAAGATATTTGTGTAAAAGATACTATTACTCCAGTTTTGGCCATTTGAAAAATGCTTGGATTGGGTACCTGATTTAGATGTTACCACTGAAAACTGCTTTTCTGGAATTGAGTTGAACTTCAGGTGCACACTGTAACATTTATTCGTTTCTGTTACAAAAATGTACTTCACTGATATATAATCTTATGAGCTAAGGCTTTCCAAGGAAAGAGTACTTTGTATCTTGCCATTATATTTACCTAAGGAGGGCACATCTCTGCAACCAAAAGCAAACCCAATTTTGTGTGGAATTCACACTTAAGTATCTCTTGCCTAACAAAGCTTTCTCTGTTGGGTATGGATTTATTTTTTAGTTAAGAGTAAAAGAAAGTTTTTAGGCATTTATGTTTGGTGGTTCCAGAAGTTGAACCTGTCAATGTTGTTATGGGTAACAAATACAACCCTATTTCCTTGAAAGAATAAAGAAATGAAGCCATTACCTTCTGTTCATGGTTACGATTAAAACTGCTGTGGTGTGGTCAATCTCTTTATCTTTTTTTGCAACATGTTTATCCACAATTGACAATTTTAAACAATGAAAGATTCTTTCAAACGATATAGGCACAGTTGTGTTGCACGTGTTGTAAATTTTTGTAGAATGCCAAGACACTTGACTTTCTCCCTTTCTCAGGAATCCATCTACCTTGCATTTGAATTTCACACTACCCTACCTGAGTTCTTGCTTGGGCCTCAGTGTTGTTCTTGTTCTTGTTTTTATTGAAGCACTTGAGAATGAAATCAACCTTTAAAATTTTCATTAAGGTTCTAGATATAGTCATTGCTCCTCAGAGTATTTGAATGTTCTATAGTTCTGGGAGCTTTAAAAAATGATTGAAGTGCAGTTGAACAAAAATAAAGAGAGATGATTTAGTAAATCTTAAAAAGAGGTCAACCTTATCATTTTGACTTGAGTTCCAAATTCAAGCTCCCAAGTTAGCATTTGGTACTTAAAAGCACAATGGTGATAATTAGGATCTGACTCTAGTTCTTACAGACTAGTAACGACTTTCTGTTTAGCTAGAATCTTTTAGAATCCTCTCTGATCTACTTGCTCCTATCTGTCTTCTATGCCATGTCATCAATGCCATCATTATAGGTAATAATAGTAAATCTGTATTTCTCTGAGTAAGTTCCCATTCTGAGTGCAACTTTCCTAAGAACAGTGTCAGGGAGGGAAGACTTTCCCTCTACCCTCTGAGGGTTCAATAATTGAGTTTATGAAATAAACTGACAATAGGCAGATTAACAAGAATAAAGATATGCATGTGCATGAGGGCACCACGTGAAAGAAAAGTGAATATCCCAAACCCAGTGATATTTGAAAGCTTATATACCCTTTCCTTAGGGAAGAGGATAGGTGGTGGTGGGCGACGTAGGAGAGAGTAAGTGATTCTTGGGAAAGATGAGTAGGCCTTCCGAAGAACAGGCTGTGACAAAAATCTGTCTGGGTGTGGTATCACCTGGAGGTCTCTTCTCCTGTAAGCCAAAGTTCCCTGGTTGGTGAGATTCCCTGGGAGAGGATTTATGACAATTGACTCCCTTTTGCAGTATCTGTCTTCAGACAACTAAAGAGGAGCCCAGAGAAAGCCCCTTCTTATATCCACTGTCTCCCAAGTGCCCTCAGTTTGAAATCATCAGCATACCAAAGTGACATATTTGCGGTAGTATCTCCTGAACTCCTTCAGCAGTAACTGTTTCCTAGCTTAGTTTTATCCACTAATTTCATCTCTGTTCATTCAATGAATCAATAAATATTTGAGTACCTTCTATGTTCCAGGTGCTGGGCTGGATCTGGGGTTGAAGTGATGGATAAGTGTGGGCACTGCTACCATGTGGTTTTATATTCTGGAAGGGAAGACCAACATGGAACAGATAACCATGGGATCATTTAGCCACAGCTGTGATGAGCAAATACCATATGGTGCTTAGTACAATGACATTCACTTGCAGACCGTATGATTAAGAATTATGGGTAACCATCGGAGAGGAACTTCTGAGATCCACTTAGTTCAATTTAGACTTCCCTGCATTGTTGGCTAATGGGTTTTTAGAGCAGTTTCCTAGGTGTTTGTCACTTATGCCAAGGTTCAGTCCTGGAAAGTTTTTAAAAGTTAAGACTTAAACACTATCAGCCAACAAACACAAATACGATGAGTTATCCTAATATTCCCAAACTCTGTTTGAGTCAAGGGGATATGAATTCTCCTTGTTTGTTCTTATTCTCACAAAATTAATATGTCTGTGTGTGGCATGATCATGTGTATATGTTAATATGCATATGCCCTAAACTCCATTTTTTGGCTCGGGTTTAAGCATTTATTCCTTGTCAATAATTTATTTATTTTTTTTTAAATTTTACTCTCTCTCATATCACTGACTCTTAGAAAATGCTGTTTTGGTCTAACAATTCAGCAATGACAGGTAAAGATAGGTTCAAGCCCTAGAAAGGCTCATAAATATGGCCCCAGTAAAGAAAAGTAATGATGAACAAGATGTATGGTGGCAGGCACAAACACAGGAAACTGATCTGATTTTCTTTTTTACAAGCCCTAATTCTGGTCCTACCACTGTAATAATAGATCTTGCTCGTCATAGGAAATGACAGACACATCAGGCATCAGAAGCATCATAGAATAAGTGGTTTCTGGTATACTTTTCATCAATTGATACTAAAAATTTTACCAGTCTGTTTCACTTTGTCTGTTAATATGTGGATAGCAGGGATGTCTCATGAGGGCGTCTGGCAATTGCAGAAGTCTGAACCATGAAGCGGAACATTTCTATCTGGTCCAAATGAAGAGACATCATTCAAATACAAAAATAGCCAAGTGCCAGCACACAGATTAATATTCCGCCATGAAAAGATGTGCACTCTGTCTGCCAGCGCCTACTCACACATTTGCTGACAAACATGTTCTCCCCAGGTGGAGTCCCTCCCCCACCTCTGGCCAAGACTCGTGTTTGAGAAGTGTTTCCAGATGCCTTCAGTTCCTGACATCTTAAAGAATGAGAGTGGGCTCTTAGGATCCGGCTGTGCAATCTCACTGTCCACACAGGTCCTTCCATAAATGCTGTTATCCCCTTAATGGGGTATCCTGAAATGGCACCTTGGAGCAGTTCAGGCATTTGCCAAGCCAAATGAATTTGGCAACAGAGAGCTGTGCTGTTTCCATACAAAGCTATAGGTACGTTCTTAGTATAAATTAATGGTGCCAATTCCTGCCAGGTGAGCAGACTACTTCTGGAAGCATGTTGGGTGGTTTGGTGCGTTGTTAAGTTTCAGGCTGCTAGAACCTGAGTTACAAATGCAGATACCTAAGGGGGTGGAAGGCATGTAGAGTGAAGTCAGTGGAGGTAAGAGCTCCCATGAAAGTAGAAGGAACTGGAGAAACCAAAGATCACAGGTCTCCTCCCCTGTTTCTGGCTTACCACCGCCTTGTGAAAATTTAGGGCCCAGTTGGTCTGATCTTAAATTTCTCAAAAGAAACAGGAAATTCTGCTTTTTACATAAAATGTCCTAATTTTAAAAAGTCAGCAGCTAATAGAGATGTTTTGGAGCACTACATGGGCCAAACACAACACATCTGTTGGCCAGAGGGCTGTTTTGTGCTACAGCCTCGCTGCTTCAAGTGTGGTCCTCAGCCTCAGCATCACCTGGTTACTAGTTGAAAATGCAGAATCTCAGGTCTCACCCAGGACCTACTGGGTCAGAATCTGCATTTTAACCAGATCCCAGGGAGTTCCTATGCACATTAAAATTTGGCAATTACTGTGCTAGAGGTCTTATGTAGGTACTTGCTCACTCAACATAAGAAGCAGCTTTATTTTTTTTTTATCATTGGCTGGAAATATTTTTAATGGAATTCCATTTTAAAGTCCAAAAGAACTTCAGGCTTAAAGTATTAGCTTAGATGTACCTTATATGGGGAGACCTCCTCCCTAAAACCAGGTTGTGTGTTCTTCCTCTGTGACTCAGTACCACCAGGTTCTTATTCATATTCGTCTGTTGACTTGAGGACCCTATGAAGGCAAAGCCCATGTCTTATTCTTTTAGTATTTCCAGCACTGCCTGGCATATAGGAGTGTTCAATGAATGAATGAATTCTGAGAAATCCCATAGTTGCAATTATTAAACATTTCATGTTAACTTGAAGCGTCTAATTAGACTTGTTAGGAGGAAAATTCCTTCTGTAGCTCCACTGCAGCTGTACCATCTTCTTATCTTCTTGTTCATTCCTTTGGGGTATATCTTCTGTTCCACTGCATGTCCCCCTCACTCTTATATTCCTAAGACTTGTCCCATGACCTGGCATATAGTAGACGCTCAGTAAGATCCATTTGATGTTGAATGGATGAACTAGTAAAAACAAAGAGCTCAGTGATGGCTTCTGTGTTAAATTAGTGCTTCTCTCATCATGATCCTTTAATTACTTATCCAAGTTAGAGACTCCTGGCTTAATCACGGACTTAGAAAAAAACTATGGTGTATATCATATATATATACATATATTCTAACAGAGTGCTCACTAGCTCTACCCTAAATTTTAATGGGGCTCTGGTGCCCTTAAAGTTGGAGTATGTATTCCGTTACGGAAAGATTGGGTTGCATCACTTTCATGTGTATCTTATTCAAACAGAACGATCAGGAGACCTCTCTTTCTTAAGAGTATTTACAAAATCTGAATTGAATCTTCACCATCCCCACTGATCGCATTCTTTATCTACAGATTCTTTAAAATAGCATGTTATTTAAGAAGAAGGAAAATGGAGCCAAGCAGATACAAAGATAACATTTCCTATGTTAGTGTTGACTTTTTATATATTCCCTAGAAAGGCTATGACATGGCTTGGCTGTGTCCCCACCCAAATCTCATCTTGAATTGTAGCTCCCATAATTCCCACATGTTGTGGGAGGGACCTGGGGCGAGATAATTGAGTCATGGGGGTGGTTTCCTGCATATTGTTCTCATGGTAGTGAATAAGTCTCACGAGATCTGATGGTTTTATAAGGGGTTTCCTCTTTCACTTGGCTCTCATTCTCTTTTGCCTGCTGCCATGCAAGACATGGCTTTTGCCTTCTGCCATGATTGTGAGGCCTCCCCAGCCAGGTGGAACTGTGAGTCCATTAAACCTCTTTTTCTTTATAAATTACCCAGTCTCAATTATGTCCATCAGCAGTGTAAAAATGGACTAATATGGGCTATTTGTCAGTGGGGTAAAACCTTTTGATCCAAATAAAAATAAGTTGGATTTTTTAAAAATTACAATGCGATATGTTGGGATGCTGTCATTTGATAGAAGTTGACATCTCATAGTTCTTATCTACATGCAATATATACTGACACTGTTGTCTTCTAAGATAATTTATTGCAGTCAGCTACACTCTCTTGTCCTGAAGGGGGATAGTCTACCGTTTTTGTATTTGTGCATGTGCTGGGTTTTCTGTTGTCGTTGTTTGTTTGTGATTTCAATGACTTGTTTTGGACCTCCAGGGCTGCCTTCTAGCATGGCCATTCTGAGAATCAGACTTCAGTTTTCAAAGGCATAGTAATGACTTTCGGTTAAGAATTTTATTTTAGACCAAATAGAGCAGAAGACTGGCTTTTGGTTTGTGTTGTGAAAGCTAACCTTTCTGTTGATTGTATAAAGTGAAAGAATAATTGTTACTTTTGAGAATTAAAATACAGTTAATAAAGATACTTGATTATAATGAACTAAGGCTTTTATAAAATTTCTTTGAATGACAAGGTTGTTAAATATGCTCTTGAGTTTGTAGCCAACTGTTTTTTTTTTCTTCTTATTTTCAATGTTAAAGAACAGTAACTTGGTAGGCCTTTAATAAGTGTTTGCATGATTAGAGGAAAAGTATAAAAAGATACACATTAAATTATTAATAGTTTGTTACATTAGCAAGGTGAAGTTGAAGGATAAGAGAAGGAGAGGGAATCATTATTACTTTATATAATTTAGATTTTGAATTTAAAAAGCTTGTATTGTTTTGTAATTCAGTTTACTGAAATAAAATGTATGAAGAATTCAGGAAATGTGTGACCTAAAAAACTTAAAAATGTAAATGAATAAAGTCTGATTGAACCTTACTCACTTTACGTTTTTGAAGTTAATTCTGAATGTCATATGTATCAGTGAGAATCTTTTAATGAAATTTGGTGTGTGGATGGGTGGGCACACTTTTGGTCTACTGTGTTCAAGGTCCAAAATGTATTCCTGTGAGATTTCCTTAGGACACAATAGGATTTTGTGGTCTTGATTATTGACATAACTACTGACATTGATAAATTTTTTATAACTATGGTATAAAATAAATATTTCTATGGGAGAAAAATGAATATGTTAACAGTCAGTGTTGTATAGTTTAGGAGCCAGACTGACTGGGTTCAAATTCTGGCTCTGTCACTTTCTAGTTGTGTGTGACCTTGGTCAGAGTTACCAGATCTGTGTGCTTTAATTCCTTCATCTATGAAATAAATAATAGTACTGCCCCCCCCAAAGGTTTGTTGTAGAGAGATGAATTACTTTGTTTAAAGCCCTTTGAGGAATGCCTTATATGACATAAATACTGTTATGAGTTAGCTTATGCTGCATAACAAAACATCCCAACATTTAGTAGCTTAAAAAAACACACATCTGTTATTTCTCATGATTTTGGGTTGGCTGGGCAGTTCTTCTCATCTGGGCTGCCTTGACTGGGGCTGGATAGTCCAGCGTGGCTTCGCTTACATGATTAGTATAATGGCAGTTGGGCTAATAGCAACTGAGCTTGTTCTGAAGTCTGTGGTCATAGGGTTCTCAATAGCAGCAAAATTCCATTGGTTGAAGCAAGTTACATAGCCAAACCCAGAGTCAGTACGGGAGGGGACTACTCAAAGCACACGTGCAGGTGAGGGACTTAGTCAGACAATTTTTGCAGATAATCTACTTCAAACACTTTAGAAGCATTAGTTGCTATTATTATTATTATTATTACTATTACTATTATTATCATCTTTCCAAACATAAAGCTACTGAAATTAACTGCTCTTGACTAAGTCTTTAGTCATTAGCATTTGCTGTTTCCAAATATTATGGGAGCCTCAAAAATTAATACTTGCAACAAGAGAGTTTTTAAGAGAGCTTATTCTGCCGGGCTGAAATTATTATTTTTGTTACAAACTGTAGCTGTCCCTACCGGTCTCCCTGGGAGCATTTTGCAGGTTATAAAATATAGCGATTACTATGGTAATCATATTGCAAGTATAAAATGGCTTTGACCTACTTGTTAAAATGCAGTGTGTATTAAAATAAAGACTGTGAGCTTAAAGCTAAATGAACTCAGAATAAAAACAGAATAGCAAGTCCAAAGTGCTGAGGAGATTTTCAAAGGAAAGGAGGGCATTTGATAAAGAAGATGCATTTTCCCTTATTCTCTTCATTTTCCCCTTGGTGTGGTGACTGCTGAAAAATGACACCAGTCTCAGAGAGTGTTTGTGTTCCCAGCCTGACTCGAAGGCAGAAATTTTTTTTTTAAATAATAAGAGCTACCATTTGCAGAGCCATTTACTGTGAACCAGGCAGTGTGCTGGGTCTTTCTACACACTCAGTTCCTCATCATGACATGTCCCTAAAGCAGAAATTATTTTTCTGCTTTTATAAATGAGGAAACTGAGGCACAGAGAGAATAAATGACTTGCCCCAAACATGGGAATTCTTTCCCTCAAAGGCTTAGATCACTGAGGACCCATGAATCAGAATTTTGTGAGAGCAAAAATAAGTTAGCCACAATTACATGAGTTGATTCAGTTTCCAGAGGACTCTATTTTGGGGACATTTTCATTGCTTTTGTCAATTGAATTATTCATTTATTCAACAGATATTCATTATATGCCTATGGTTTGCCAGACAGCATGCTAATTGCTGTGTTAGTCCACAGACAGGGCCCCTGAAGGGCTTTCCTGTGGTCAAAGAAGGCTTCCCACATGTCCAAGGTGGGACTTGGCATATAAGAAGACGTTACTCAAGGGTAAGAACCTATCTGTTTCAGGAAGCAGTCATAGTAACAGCAAGAACCCAAGAGGACCTGCAAACAGCTCAGTTTAGCAAGAATGTGGAGACCAGGATCTGTGGGACAATTTTGATAAAGTAAGTTGGCATTGTAAGCAAGAGTCATATCTCAAAGGGCTTTGTGAGTTGGGTTTCTTCATCCGAGAGCACAAGGGAGTCACAGAAGAGTTTGAGCGGAGAATGACATGATCAGATGGGTCATTTAGGAATATGACTACAGCCACAGTATATAAAATAGAATTGAGATGGGGGTGAAAAGAGGAGAGGAAAGATCTCTGGCAGACAGTCCAGTTAGTAAGACCGATTCAGCAGTGTCAGAGAGAGATGATGGTGCCTGGAGCGGGGCATTGCATCAAGAACAGAGAAGGGCAATAGAGAAGCAAAGAGCATTGGAGATACATGGAAGCTGTTTGGATGTGGAGGGGATGAGAGAGGTTGAGGATGGCATTTGGTGTCTGACATGGAGTCTTGGTAGATGGTTCCCCTAATGTAGGGAACTTAGAGGGAAGAAGATGATGCGTCAGTTGTGGAAAAGTTGACTTTGCACCTGTGGGGCTTCCAGGCAGACACACCCAGAAGATAATTAGGACACATGAGTATGGACCTTAGGAGAGATTTCTGGGCTGGAGATGAAATTTGAGGTTAGCAGCACTCTCTCCTCTAGCACTTCTTTGCCTTCCCCATCATCTCTGTCTCCTCATTGAGCTTCATTTTACCCTTGGAACTTATTTGCTTATTGTCTTTCTGTACCACAGTAGACTTTAAGTTCCATGCAAGCAAGGAATGTGTCTATGTGGTTCACAGCCACATCCTCAACACTTAGAACAGTGCCTGCCAGGCGCTTCAATGAGGGGTCAGCAGACAGAACCTGATAGATGCCACTGGAGAGAAGGAGCCAAAATGAGCTTGCCTTTGGAGAGTGGAGGCTCTGAGAAGAGACAGGGCCCATGGCAGAAACTTCTTTGAGAAGGAAGGGCAGAGAAAGAGGAGCCATCAAAGAAAACTGAGAAGAAGCCTCCTCTCTTTGCTCTGAGAGAATCTTCAGAGCAAGCGGGGAGGTTGAATGACAAACATTCAGAACTTTCAGGGACCCAAAAAAGAGTGGCTCTTGGGGACCTAATGATTTCTAAAAACAGTGGGAAGGACAGATTTAAGTATATACATGTTCTTCAGTATTTTTGTTCTATTTTCTCTTTCTCCCCCCACTATATTTAAAAAAGTTTTCAGTGAAATGCAAGTGTGGCTTTAGCGCACAGGGGAAGTGGGATGACTGTTACCACATTTAATTCAGCAGGAGGCAAATGGAGTTCATCTTGCAGGCCAGTGGGAATCAATTGATAAGGGCTTTATTTATTTATTTATTTAGAGACAGGGTCTTGTTCCATTGCCCCAGCTGAAGTGCAGTGGCCCAGTCACGGTTCACTGTAGCCTTGACCTCCTGGGCTCAAGAGATCCTCCCACCTCAGCCACACAAGTAGCTGGGATTACAGGTGCATGCACACCACCATACATGGCTAATTTATTATATTTTTTGTAGACATGGTTTCTCCCTATGTTGCCCATGCTGGTCTCGAACTCTTGTACCCAAGCAATCTGCCTGCCTCAGTCTTCCAAAGTGCTGGGATTGCAGGCTTGAGCCACTGCACCTGTCCCAAATAAGGGCTTCCTTTATCAGAGAGTTGTGTTAAGAAACATTCTGAGGCTGGTTCCAGGCCCAGCTGGAAAGAGTTCTGTGATCATGTAGTGGTATTTGCTATGGAAGCTGGACCTGGGTGGTGTCATAACTGACAGGCCTTTGCCACCCTCATCAAGAAAATGAGTTGCTATGAGTTACAGTTTTCCAGAAACACGTATACTCCGCCTCTTACAGTATATGTTTACCAGATGTGACTTCTGCCTTCCCAAGGCCGTAGTACTCTGCTTGGTAACTTGTGGACCTCTGTTTGGTCTCACTGGCATAACTCACTAGGGAGTTAAATCAGGACAGACTGAAGGTTGACTTTTTACAGCCTGGTAATTTTTATGCCACCCCAGGAAAGCTGTGAATCCATAGCTTTCAATTTTGTTCAGGCTTTCAATTTTGTCCATAATTATTTATTCTTTAGAATAGATAATTCTGAGAAATAACCCCACGCATTGCAATTACCAGAGTCATATAAATTGACCTGCTGATAATCACAGAAATGAAAGGAAATTGTACATTAGCTGGTAAATTCAGGTCTTACAAGCACCAATTCTAGAATTCATCTTGGAAAATAAATCTGAAGGTGAAAGCTTCATATTATAAATAGATTTTTTAAAAGTGTTCAATTATGAATTTTCAATTCCGTGGTAAAGAGCAATCGGGTCGGTAGGGATAAATGACGTCTTTGGATTTAACTTATTTTAGTTAATAGTTGCTCTACATTCCTCTACCTCTGCTGATCATTCTAGGAAAGGCAAATTCTTGAAATTCTTTTGTTGCTCTTCCAGATGAGGGCAGAGTGTTCAACAGGCAATGGAAATGTAAGGCTTTCTTTTGGAAACCTCCCAAATTCAGTCGCCTAACTAGGAGTTCAGTAACTGGAAACCTCAAACTTTATATCCAGAGGGGAGCAGCAGCAAAGAGACTAAAATGCAAAGAGCATTGAGACTTTATGATTGGCAGCTTATGGTAATTGTTCATCACTTGACCCTGAGAGAGAGTACTCTCTTCTGTAAGTAACTACTGATATATTAATAGTTCTTTGAATGCGAGCAAGTTGCTCCAAGTCATTCACTCTGAAGGTGGATTTTGGCAGTAGCATGCAATACCTCTTCTCCGCTTATTCAGAGTGGTAAGTGGGGATTCTATGGCCATCAATTAGTAAAGATTGAGTAAGTATCTACAATTGGCTTGGCGTTGTTACAAGCATTGTGAGAAATTCTAGAGAGCCTTGAAGATGTGACCTCTATCTTCCCAGTGCTGCTTTTTGCAGGGGGAAGGGAGGAGAGGAACAGATCAAAAAAACAAAATAAAAAGCTCCCCAAAGTGAAAAGTCATGCAACCATTCAGGAGATAGTCAATGGTAGGCAGGATAGTAGTTTATCAACATGAGACATCACATAAAGGAGAGTGTTTGGTGCAGCAGGTTCAGAGAGAGAAAATGAGAGAAAGAGAGAGAGAGACAGTGCACACAAGAGAGAGCCAGTGGATTCCCGTCAGCATGGCCAAATGTGGTGTACACCTCCAAAGTAATGTGCCTAAAAACAGAAGGCCAAAAACTCTTTCCCCAACTACCAAGAAAAGAGGCATCAAGATTTAGGCCCAGAAAATGCAAATACTGACACCTAGATTCCCTGCACATACAAGTTACCTCTTCTAGAAATGCTCTAAGAGCTTAAGAGGCATCTGTTTCCCCTCTGTCCTGGAATGTTTGCTTTTTCAATTTAGGGGCAGTCAAATTTAGATAATATAAATATTTCAATTTCCTCCCTCTTTCCCTCCCACAAATGTAGCCAAGAGATTCTATTCAGTCTTTAGAATTCATTATCAATTTACTAACCTACTTAATGATATAGTGGAGAAATAATAAATATATTAGTTGGGTTTTGAGAAAGCTTTAAAAATACAATTTCTAGATCCTGTTCCAAACATAATAAATTTGAATTTCCAAGAGTGAGGCCCAGAAATCTACGGAATTGTCAAATTCCCAGGGTAGTTCTTTTGTTGACAGTCATAGTGAAACATTTAGAAATGTATAGAATGGATGGTACATGGCAGTAAGAAGCAGACTGCAAATCCCTAATATCTGCACAAGTAGGGATGATCTAGGTACTTGCCCTTGGTACTGATTTGTTTATTGAAAGGCTGAATGAAAAATTTAAAAATGAGCAGAACTGCCCTTGAAGTCAGACACCCAATTACCCAGCTGTAGAATAGACAGTGTAGTGAAAAATGTGTAGAGGAAAAAGAAAACACACACACACACAACACAAATGAAAAGAAAAATAACTGGCCAGGTGTGGTGGCTCACGCCTGTAATCCCAGCACTTCGGGTGGCCGAGGCAGGTGGATCACGAGGTCAGGAGATCGAGACCATCCTGGCTAACACGGTGAAACCCTGTCTCTACTGAAAAATCCAAAAAATTAGCCGGGCGTGGTGGCGGGCGCCTGTAGTCCCAGCTACTCGGGAGGCTGAGGCAGGAGAATGGCGTGAACTCAGGAGGCGGAGCTTGCAGTGAGCTGAGATTGCACCAGTGCACTCCAGCCTGGGCGACAGAGCGAGACTGCATCTCACACACACACACACAAAAAAAACGAAAAGAAAAACAACTAATCTTAAACAGGTTTTGGTCAACTGTTCAGTGTTTATCAAATTAATATGATGTTCAAATCATGTGTTGGGAATGAGGAGGGCATAAACCCACTCCACCCTGCCCTGGACAAATCATGCTTGAAGGTTTTTTATTACTAAGACCATTTTCAAACATAATAAGAAATCAAAAGAACAGTACAGGCCAGGTGCAGTGGCTCACAGCTGTAATCCTAGACCTTTGGGAGGCTGAGATGGAGGGTTACTTAAGTCCAGGAGTTTGAGACTGGCCTGTTTAACATAGCAAGACCACGTCTCTACAAAAAATTTAAAAAATTCGCCAGATGTGGTGGCATGTGCCTGTGGTCTGAGCTACTTTGGAGGCTGAGGTAGGAAGATGGCTTGAGCCCAGATGTTCAAGGCTGCAGTGAGCTGTCGTTACACCACTGCACTCCAGCCTGGGTGACAGAGTGACACCCTGTCTCTAAAATAAATTAAAAAGAGAGAGCTGTACAATGTATCTCCACATAACAGATTTAACAATTATCGAAGTCTAGCTAGATTTTCTTCCTATGTCCAAATTTCCTGTTGCTTGACCTCCCTCCCTTTATCCCACCTTCCTGCTTCCTTCCTAAATGTTTCAAAGCACATCTCAGATGCTGTGTTATTTTAGCCTTACATGTTTCAACATGTTTCTCCGGAAAGCATGGATGTGTTCTTACGTAACTACATCTCACCTGACAATATTGACAATAATTCCTTGTTCTTGTTTAATTGGATGTCACATTTTGAGTGGCTGGGGTGGTAAAAAAGGTTTGAAACAATGTCCCACAAGCAGCAGTTAACAGAACTGAGTTGCTAGAAGACAAGGCTCAGGTTTGGAAGGATGTTGAGTGGAAGAGGGGCTGGACTTGCTCTCTGTGGAGCAATGCCGGCTTGTGATGAACTGCGCTGCCTCAGGAGTTTTCTCACCTGGAGGGTGGAGTGTGAGACACTGCAGAGAGGTTTCACATGCTCATTTTATGGATATTTATCAAGTGCCTGCTATGTTAGATACTGAGGATGATGTGAACAATAAGACAGGTGCAAACTCTTCCCTCATGGAGTTTTGGATCTATAGCACTGTTTCCCAAAGTGTGAGATGGGTGAGGGGGATGCAGGGTCAATTCGAGAACTGACATTGAGTTCCACGTAGTTACAAACATTCTCTTTTCAGTCTTCCAAACATTGTAAGGCATCAAGGAGGAGGTCTCATTTGAGGGTTAGGGTTGACACACCTCTAAAATTTCATCATTTTCCTTTCTAATGAAGAAAGAGCAACTTTAGGTTCACAGTTTTTAGTAGGCAACAGTACCTCATGAACTATTTTTTGAGCAATTCATTAAACATCTTTATAAGAGCAAGTAGCAAGTAAGATAACAGGCAAATATTTAATACAGGAATAATTAAAACCAAAATGTTCCGAGGGATGGTTTTAAGTTTTGGGGTTTTGTCTGTTTTTGTTTTCCACTTTTTATATTTGCAAACAATAAAATTAATTCTTAGTTTATACTTGCATGAGTTTTTGCAAATGCATATAGTAATATACAGTATGCATAGAGTAATATACTGTCATATAACCACTCCTACACTCAGAATACAAGTCAGTTCTACCACCTTCCAAGATTTTCTCATGCTACCTGTATGTTTATAGAAATTTCTGCCCTCCCCCCGCCGCCCCAGTGCATTTTAAATTCTCGAGCATCCTCACCTCCCATCCCCAACTCTTGGCAACTACTGATCTGCTTTCTGTTTCTGTAATTGTGCCTTTTTTGGAATGTCACATAGTGCCTTTTCTGGAATGTCACATAGTACAGTCATATAGTATATAGCCATTTCAGTCTATCTCATTTCATATAGCATAATATATTTGAAATTCATCTGTCTCATTGCATCTATTCATTTGCTTTTTTTTTTTTTTTTTTGAGACGGAGCCCCACTCTGTCTGTTGCCCAGGCTGGAGTGCAGTGGCAAGATCTCAGCCCACTGCAACCTCCGCCTCCCAGATTCAAGCAATTGTCTTGCCTCAGCCTCCCGAGTAGCTGGGATTACAGGCACCTACCACCATGCCCGGCTAATTTTTTTGTATTTTTAGTAGAGACGGTGTTTCGTCATGTTGGCCAGGCTGGTCTCAAACTCCTGACCTCAGGTGATCCACCCACCCCAGCCTCCTAGAGTGCTGGAATTACTGGCGTGAGCCACTACGCCCAGCTTTATTTATTTCCTTTTAACTGCTGAGTGCTATTTCATTGTGTGGATGTATCACAATTTGTTTATTCATTATAAATAATAATATAAGGTATATTCAATATGACAAATGACAAACATGGTACTTAGTGAAAGCAGATTTAGCAGATACACTGAAGGTGATATGCCAATGACTGAGTTTTGGGGGGGATAAAAACTAGTCTAACAAATGTATGTATTACAGAGTTGTTTGAGTAGGCCATCTTTTAATTTCTTATCCATACCTTCAACAGTGCATTTGACTGAAGTATAAATATGATTCCTGTTGTCTTAAGTCAGAATATACCTTTTGGGTTTTTTTGTTTTGTTTTGTTTGTTTGTTTTTGAGGCAGAGTCTCACACTGTCGCCGGGGCTGGAGTGCAGTGGCACAATCTCGGCTCACTGCAACCTCTGCCTCCAGGGTTCGTGCGATTCTTCTGCCTCAGCCTCCTGAGTAGCTGGGATTACAGGCGCCTGCCCCCATGCCCAGCTAATTTTTTGTATTTTCAATAGAGATGGGCTTTCACCCTGTTGGCCATGCTGGTCTCAAACTCCTGACCTTGTGATTCGCCTCCATCAGCCTCACAAAGTGCTGGGATTACAGGTGTGAGCCACCGCGCCCAGCCTTGATTCTTAAAGTAACCCAGGATCTCCAGAGCATCCTTTTCATAATCTCCTCACTTATTTTCATTCATTCCCTCCTTCCTTGCTTCCTTCCTTCTCCTTTTCCTTCCTAGCCTCCTTCTCACTCTCTGTCTCCTGTCCCTTCCCCCTAATATTTCACTGGAGTTTATATAACTGAATTAATTAGACCTATTTCTCAAGGAGTTGGTTTTCCAGAAAATTCACTTTGCAGTTGGCATGACAGAAGAGCTGGCATATTAATCAAATGCTACAATTTGTTCTTTGTATCTGAATGAGGCTGAGGTTGGACTTACTGCTTATCTGTTGTCCGTTTTTACCATTCTGTCCTTTGCAGCCAAGGAGCCTGGATTGGATTCTTTGTGATTGGACTGGGTGGTGGTTGTAAGTGTTGATAGATTGGGCATAGACCTGCTGAATGGGGACAAACCCTATCTCCTTAGTTACTGTTACAGAGTCCCCAGGATATAAAGTGTCTGTATGAAAATAAATAAGAGCTTTTCTTTTCCTTTGTTTGGCTGATGATATCTATACCATTTAATAGAATAAAATGATAAAAATCTTTGTCCTTTCTTAAATAACATGTTAATTGCTGTTTTATGTATTTGTTCATTTTGTGTTTCTGAAATATATTCAGTTTATAGACATTTCTGTCCCTCGATGCATTTTAAATTCTCAAGCATCCTCAAATTATGTATATTGAATATAATCTTGTATATGTGGAGGGGGATACACTTTGTAGCTAATGGGGAGATCAAAGTTACTAGCTTTCTCCATTTAGTCAGCTTGTTGCAGAATACAAAGGCTGCTCAAGGATTTGAGTTCATATCTTAAAAGCTCATCAGAAATATTCTAAGCTATAGATTTTTTTCTCTCTCAGCAACATTTCGGATATGGAGGTTCTCCTCGGTTGCCCTTGCAAGTGTTGCTGAATTTAAATGCCACAGGAAAAAAGAAAGATCTGTTCTGTTTTTTCATCTGTGGAATGAGGGGGTTGGACTAGATGGAAGATGTCAAATTTATAGCATTAGTGCTGTCACTCCTTATCCATCCACATGACAGACATCACTAACCAATCATAGTGTGCTTTCCTGCCAACGCAGCATGACTTCTTGTCAAGTCAGCACTCCAGGAAGCCACTACTAATCAATTGATGCTAGCCCAAGACATGAGATCTATTTCCATTGTGAAACAAGTGGTGTTTACTCCCAGGAGTATACTCAAGATGGTTACAAAAGTTAGGTACTCACTGGACAGTAGAAGGAAGAATGTCAGAGTGCCTTGTTTTTCAAGTAAAGAGGATCTCAAATTACTACATTTTATGCTCCTGAAGGCAGGGATTGTGTTTTAGTCTTGTTTCTCCCTGTATACCCAGCCTACATGGTAAACTATATCTCATAGTAGATACTATATAAATGTTTGTTAAGTAGTGCACGAAGGAATTAATGGAAGAGCATGCCCTTGCCCAATTCTTTCCTAAGACTTTACAGTTCAGTGCTTCTTCCAAAGGGCAGGCACAACCTTTGCCATTACTGAATTTCATTCACTTCAGTTTAGGCAGTTCCTCCAGGTTGGCTAGATAGCTCTGTGTTCTTCTCCACCAAGCACTGGCACAGCCCGGCAATGATTGGCTGGACTTCACAAGTATCTTCTCTATGTATCATCCCCATCATCCACAAACCTATTGAGTAATGCTGAGGAGGGTCCATTTAATCCTCCTCCTGCTTGACGCTGAATTCTTTCAACTTGATGTGTAATTGGGAATCTGAAGGTTTAATGATATGAACAAGAATTTTGTCACAGATTCAAGATTTAACACTGGAGAAAATCATTTATTTGACACTTAACATAGGAAGCCCTTATTAGTTGTATTTTGGGAAGTAGATTTGAAATTATTTTATGGAAAAGACTAGGTCTGATAACTCTGTATTTTGATGATGATATGTCTTTCATATGATAGATACTCAGTAAACAATTTATATTTCTCAGGGTAGTTTCATGAAAGTAGACTGAAGTCTCTGTCTTTAACTGTTAGAAGAGAATCATCTTTGAAAACAGAAGGTTTTTTTTTTCTACCCAGGCACTGGATTTTATCTAATAATAATATTGGATACCTATTTAGTAGAAATTAATTATGGGCTAGGCACTCTGCTACATGCTTAATATATATTCTCAAAACAGCCCCAAGACTAGTGATAAGAATTCCATTACAGATGAGATAAATGAAGCTTGGAGAAGTTACACAACCTGACCAAAGCCACAAGATAATAAGTGGCAGAACTGAGGTTTAAAGGCAGATCTGATTCTAATCTTTTCCCCTAAAGATACCAGGTCCCTCATGGTAGATGTGACTTCCTGCAAGAAGCCTTCCCTGAGCTACCACCTCTCCCCGCAAAGTTAGTTGAGACATTCTTCCTCTGAGTTTCCATAGCAGTTTCTATTCCCTTATTATGACGTTCTCCATTGTGTGATAGCTGCTTCTACCACCAGAGTAAGACCCCTGAGGGCAGGGACTTGGGGCTTTTTGTTTTATTTTGTTTTCTGTTTTTTACTGCTTTTGTTTGGTGGCTGAATAAATGCATCTTTCCCAGGAGATCTCTGCCACTTTGCCCTGGGCACCTGGACACCATAGAAAATACAAAGCTAAGTCTTCAAGAACATGCTATTGTTTTGTATTCCTTATATTTGGGGATGAAAATTTCAGGAAAATAGAGTCCAGCTTCAAATGTGGGATGGCAGAAGTTGCCTCTCTTCTGGACTACAAAGTGCCGTCTGCTACTTACCGCTGTCGTTGCATTATCACACCGCTTCATTTTTCCCCACTTCAGTTTTTTATTAACTGTTGTTTTTTGAATAATTAATACTTGCAAATGCTCTATGTTTATCCTGTTTGAGATGGCTTGTGCTTCTTGAATGGGAGGATTCATGATTTTTAAAAATTTCAGAAAATTCTCAGCCATCATATCTTCAGTTATTGGTTCTTCCTGATTTCTCTGGTCTCTCCCTATGGGAGTCCTATTACACAGACGTTGGGCCTTCTCATTATATTCTCCATATCTCTTTATCTCTCAGATATTTTTCAACTCTTTATCCTTTTGTGCTTTATTTGTGTAGTGTCGTGAGATCTACGTTTCTTGCTTTACTAGTATCTATTTAACCTGTCCTTTGAGTTTTTAATTTTAGTGGATCTATGGAGAGGAGTAGTCATCATGTCTTGTTCTTTTTAAGGGTTTCAATTTTAGCTTCAGTGTTTTAAATCCTTATAAACTTTCTCATTCCATGTTTCTTTTCAGAATGTCAATTGTTTTATGACCTGTAATTCTTGAGCCTCTTATTCTTTTATTTGTTGACTTGTAACATCAGTTTCTTGGATGTTGTATAATTTACCGTTGGGATCTCATGCTTGTGGGATTGGTTGTAGCCTGGGTTGTAGAAGTGGCCAGAGAAATCTTCATTTGTTTCTATAAGGCATTCCTGGCATGTCACGAACAGGACTAATTTTAATATTAATTTTTTTAGTCAGAGCTTCCTGATTTTGACTTTTGTTATTCCTAGAATCTCATGAAAGGCACAGCCCTAGGATTTCTCATTCTCAGTTAAAACATTTCCCTCTCACCCACAATACAGGTAGAGACAGACAAGTTTTACCTAGGTGGTTGTCAATTTTTCCAATCTATTTGTTCATTGAAGGTGCAGCCCTCAGTGAATATTTTTGGCTTTCTACAAAGGTCTTGTAACAGCTTCCTGCTTCTCTTTGTCCCAAGGCACTGTCTGTCTCCTGTGTGGGCATTACAATCCTAGCCCCTAGGGAACCAAGACAACCCTTTTGTCTGCCACCAACCACTCTTCCCTCTCTCTCATAGCCACAGCATAACTTTGCATGCTTCTTACTCTTGTTTTTAATTACCTCTTTATTTCTTGGTATTTTCCTGTGGTTTTTTTTTTGTTTTTTTTGTTTTTTTTTGTTTTATGTAAGGTCTCATGCTGTCACCCAGGTTGAAGTAGATTGGTGCCCTCATGGCTCAATGTGGCCCTGAATTCCTGGGCCGAACCAACCACCTCAGCCTCCTAAGTAGCTAGGACTACAGGTGCACACCACTGCAACCAGTTAGTTTTTTATTTTGTGTAGAGATGGTGTCTTGCTATGTTGCCAAGTCTGATATTGAACTCACGGCTTCAATGATCCTCCTGGTGTGGCCTTCCAAAGTGTTGGGATTACAGGTGTGAGCCATCGTGCCCAGCCTTCCTTTCTTTATTGTGAGTCAGCTAGGCATTTAAAATAATTTTTGTTATATTTTATCTAGCATGTCTAGGTATTTGAAGAGTTGGAATTTTCAGGTTGTCATCATTTGCCATTTTGCCAGAACCAGGACCTTGTTACAAGCTCATGGTAAAAGGTTCAAATAATATACAAGGACATATGATGAAACGTTAGTGTCCTTATCCTCTTAGATCTGCCTAGGCCTCAAATCACCTTGTCAGTAACAACAACCTTTATCATTTTCTTAGGCATGGTTCTAGAAGTACTTTTTGCATATACAGCATATGTATGTGCACATACGTAATACATGAAGATGTTTTGTGCAAGCAGAAATATGTTTTACTATCTGCACTGTACTTAGCAATGTATTGAGGAGCTCAGTGCATACTGGTGCACTTAGTTCTTCCTCTTCTTTCTCATGACTGTATAGTATTCTATCATATGGATGTATCATAATTTACTAACGTCCTGTATTATTGGATAATTATGTTTTCAGTTATTTTGATCTTATAAACTATCCTACAATAAACATTCCTTTACATATGTCTTTGCTTGTATATCATTTAGCATAATTCACTTCGTCTGTTTCCTTCTCTCCCCTCCTCCGCCTGCCACCACTATGGGTTACTTGTGGTCAAGGACTTTATCTTTCATTGATGATCCTAGTACCTGGCATGGGGCCTGGCACTGAGCTGGCACTTAACTCACGTTTGTTTCATTAATAACTGTGCTCACTACAAAGTCAGATCAGCAGTCAGACTCAGTCCAAATCTCCAGCAAATGTATTTTAATTGCAGTGATAACAACAGCTATTGACTGTTCAGTTGTCCGAGGTTATTGACTGAGTGCCTCCTCTGGACTAAACATGAGCTCATGCAATCTTTACTACAACCCTATGAGATGGTAAATTTCATGATCATGCTTTACAGACAAGGAAACTAAAATGCAGGTTACCTACCTGTAAGAGGGAGAGTCCATATATGAACACAGTTTTGTGTGAAATTAATGCCTGGCCTTTTGACTACTCTCTTAATTAACAATTGTACTGGCATAGCCAACATGGGACATATTTCCATTGTTCATTCTTTTGTGTATTCATTCATTCAATCAATAAACAAACATTTACTGAGAGCTCACGACGTTCCAGGTAGGGAGTGATATGTCTTGATAAAAACATTCCTACCTAGGTAGAATTTACAGTGTAAAGGGAGTGACAGATTAAGCAAAAAAGTGAAAATGTGATGAGTGGCTGAAAAGAGACATAAGCAAAGGCTTTAGGAGCACCAAGAGCAGAGAGCCACGAAGGCCTCCAGTGTCTGTGATAAACTGGATGAGCCTTGAAGGACAGCAGTGGGTTGAGGGGGGCACAGGAGGGGTGAAGCCTAGGATTCCAGCATGCCCCCTGTTCCTTGTGTGCGTGGCACAGTCGAATCTTTCTCTTCCAGCCACTGCCAGCTCTCAGGACCTCTGGTGTGAGGGCCAGAGAGCCTGTGTCCTTCTGCTTTTGAAAGGTGGCTCAGCACTCCATTAGCCCTTTCTAATTTTAAAGTAGTAGCTCCCTTGATTGAAATCTCAATTTGGGAACAGGCCTAGGATTGGCCTGTGGCTCGAGATTTTCACCAATAAGCTGAGTGGGAGGTGGGGAGGTGTCCCTTTAAGCAGCCGGGAGGCAGCCCAGAGAGCTTGGAGCTCCTCTCCCCAGGACCTGAGCGATTTTCCTGGATCCGGAGCTGCGCACAGAGCAGCTGCCGCCCCAGGAATGTTACCTGCCTTGTGCGGAGCCCCTGCAGGGCCCCCTTCGGCTCCGGGCAGTTGGCTGCCGACGCCCCGCTGGGTTCCTTAGCTGCGGCCGCTACCCCTGCCCCTGGGTCTCCAACCCCCTTTCCCCGGCTCCCCCGCAGTTTCCCGGGCCGGCAGAGGCGCCGCAGCGTCGGAGCAATGCAAGGCTAAGCCGGGTAAGTGGCCCCCCCATAGCCGGGGAGCACAGAGGGCGGCGCAGGGGCATGTTTGCTCCTGGTTTCAGGAGCTCCCCTGAAAAAGGGGCCTTGCAGCTGGAAACTAAGCTCTGGGAGAGATGCGCTTTGCCACCCAGACGCTGGGAAGTCAGGAGCCCCGCGGTGGGGACCTGGTGAACTGAGGGTCTGAGTGTCAGCCACCTTTCGCGCAGCCACTTTATTAACCAGCAATGGTAATCATAATATCACGAGGCGATGGTGGTATTATTGTATTAGGACTACTTAAGAGGGAACATGAAAACATCCCTGGACTTGCTTTTTAAATAGCCTTTATTCTCTTAGAATTCATTTTCCCCTAAATATTTAAAAGGTATTTACTGTTAATGACCTAGTTATTTTCTATTCAAAATATTTCTTAACATCTCCAGGAAGATCTACTTTAAAACATGACTTACTTCTTCCCACATACCTTTATATTTTGAGCTTATATCCCCGAAAAGATAAAAGTTGTTTATTTTCCCAGAACTTTAAAAATCCATTTCTTTGCTTCTTGGTGGACTTCGGTAATGAAGCAACTCTGGATTTGTTAATGTGTTCTTTCTGAATTGGGGTAGGTGGAGAGGGCCCTTCTCCTAGCCCTTCCTAGCTCTACATGGGGGAGTGTATAGTTTGGAGATGAGAGAGTTAATTCTTACTTTCCAAGTTGCCAAATGCACCCTCTCAGATGCTGGAAGAGTCAGGACTTGGTGAAGGTTGGGATTACAAATCTGGAGTGCCTGGGCAGCCGTGCCCTGGGAAATTTTAAAACCAAAATAATCAGGAAAGATTGTGGGTAGGTGCTGGGTAAGATTTAAAAGATGAGGTTTCAGCTCCCCCCACCCATCTGTTCACTTGTGTGTACCTAAGCAAGAGGTTGAGAATCGAATGCAGAGGGTCAGTTTACTTTTTTTTTTTTTTAAGATGAGGCAGCTGGAAGACATGCCTTCCAAAATTGGAGCAGAGTCTGATGTGTGGATTGCCAAATTCCATTTCCGCCCATATTAAATTATTTTGGCTTCTAGAAGCCCTTATTTTGCTGGGCCGGCCTTTATTTGCAGTTGTTTAGGTGGTGTGAATCATTTGTATACTTTGAGTTCCCTGCTTTCTGTACGCAAATGTTTTTATCTGTGCAGCTAGTTGAGTAATTAGAGACATGGACATGGCCCTGTCTGTACAGACAGAACAAATACCACTTGGGGAAGATCTGGGCCTTTCCTTTTCAAATCATCAATTGCCAAATCTTCCCAGCCTGTTGGGCAATTCAGATAAAGGTGTCAAGTGAGCTGGGCAGTGAAGAATTTATATATGCAGCTGATTCTGCTCATCCTACAATAAAGCATCTTCCCATGGGGCCAAAAAGTGGGGGTTAGGGAGGCATATAAAAATGATCCTGTGTTCTTAGTCACTGACTACCCAGCTCTCTCTGGATTTCTGAGAACCTGCCAGGAGAAACTGTTGACTGGATGGAAGTTTCAAGAAATGCAGAACAGAAATCAGGACAAGCCCTCCTTGAGCAACTTTTATTTCTGTTTGGAGGAAAGGAACACTTTGTTAGAATAACAAATTGTGGCTGCTTTTCAAGACCAGAAAACCGTTCTTCTTCTGAAGGCAGATTCGTTTTAAGAGTGTGAATCATTTGGTTTAGCTTTTTTTTTTTTCTTTTGCGGTGGAGGCTTGGAGATGATTAAACGTCCTGTCTGCAGGAAATTACCAGGAGATTTGAGTATTTTCCTGAATCAGCCTCAGATGGTACACAGCTTTGGGTGTAATACAAGAAAGCTCTGTTACAAGGCAGTCTTTCCTCAGTGATACCCTCAATCTCACACAGGCTTTCAAGCCTCTGCATCAACAAGCCTTTTATTTTTTATTTTCGGGGTTGTACTTCCATTTAAGAAACTGAAATAACTCTCTCATTCCCTCTGTGAGCTTAAGATGGAACTTATTTTTGAGACAGTTTTATCGAGCCCACTTCCCCACTAGCCTCCTCCCACTTAGCTTCAACAGGAAAAACTCTTGGCTTCTTTTCCCAAGATTTCTTTTAAGCCAGAATTGTTATCCTTAGGGACACAGATGTGTCGAGGAATGAGAGGTGCAAAGGTTTGAACTAGCACTCACCAATTTGGTGGTGACATTTATGGTCTTTGTGGAGCTGTTTGCAGAGCAGGCTAAGTGGTCTTGTGTTGGGTTTGCCCTGAAGTACATCAACAATATAGAAAATGGGCAATGAAAAGACGGTAAGAGGCAACTGAGGGACATGCGTGCTGCTTTGTGTAGCTGTGTATGCAGAGATCTGTGGGTTTTTAAAAATAATTTAGAAAACCAAATCTCAGAGATGCTGTGCTCCCCAGGCTGTTTTTCTTAATCTTTCCTGAAAAGTACTCAGTCACATTAAGCACTTCCTATCACTATCATAAAGTAGGAGAGCGCTAGGTGAATATAAACTCTGTGCGATATTCTGATGTCAATGAGAGGAAGCAGAGGGAATGATTTTTTTTAGCTACTAAAACACAGAATGGTAATCCTAGTTGAATATAATGAGACTTTATGGAAATTGTATTGAGGTTTAAATGTGATGTTCCAAAAAAGTTTCTTTGATATTTTTTATTTTCTCAAAATCTGAATGGTGAGGAATTCTTTTCTGGGATACTTAGCATTTGATTGCCATTCAGTTTTTTTTGTTTGTTTGTTTTTTGTTTTTCTTTTTGCTTTGTTTTGTTTTGTTGGTGATGTTTTTTCATATCCTGCTCCTCTGTGTGACCAGCAAAGGAAGGCTCATTTTTGCAAAGATTGTAATCTGGACAACTTCCAGAAGAATGGAAGATGTAGGGGTAGCGGAGGGAACAGACGCAGGTACTGTGGGACTCAATGTCTGGGAAAACTCATGAATGATCTCCCTGCAAGATTAGCCCAGAGGCCTTTGAGAATTGCTTCATATTTGACTTTTAACAGCCAGCCTGTGTAGAGAAATCCTTGTACCTATCACTAGGGTCTCTCCCTCTTCACAAAGCATCTTCCCAGGCAAGATGCCAATCCACAGGGAGCGTATACGTGACATTGCTTATCACATCTTTCAAAGGTTGCTTCTTACTACTTTTTCTTTAAAACAGCTACTATTTGATCTCTTGGGAACATTTGCAAAAGGTTACTCTGCATTCACCCAGGCTGCTGTAATTAGTCACTGGTTTTGTTTTATATTTTCTGATGATTGAGGCTCTGTTCAGGCTTCTGGGGATAAGCAAACATCTGTTGAGTTGGATGTTAGATAAATTCTAATTTTGAACACTAAGTTGTCCAGGCTGGAGAAGAGGTCTCATCTTGCCATATTATAAATGATAACATCAGTAAACAGAATGATGCCTGTTAACTTACTGAGCTTTTGCCAAGCACAGACTTAACGTCTTACCAGTCTTTCTCAGACTTTATAGTGCATAGGGATATCCTTCAGGGAGTCTATTTCATAGGTCTGTAGTATGACCTGGAAATCTGCATTTAAGAAATATCCAGGTGGAACTCTGGACTTTATCTTGAGAAGCACGTCGCTGTTTGCTCTTTATTACTGAAAAACCCTTACGACAACCCTATGAGGGTTGGTGCCATCAGCCAGCCTATTTCACAGATGATGAAGGATAAGCTCAAAGAGGTTTGGTAACTCCCCTGAGACACAAGGCTACCAAGTGGCCATGCGGGGGACCTGGACCTACAACTGTCTAATTCCAAGCATCTACCTGGGATGCTTCTTAAATGCAGCCTGTGCTCTCAAGCATTTGCTCTTGGTGGATTGTTGGCGGGTTGTGGAGTGGGGGGTGGGGTGGGCGGTCTTCTCTTTATAATTTATACTCAGTAACCACCCTTCCCACTGCCCTGCCGCCACTCTGCCGAAGCCTGCTTCTCTAGGATGCTGGCATTCTGTAGACAGCAGTCCATGAGGTCCCCATTTAGACAATCCACTGTGATGGAATTGAGGGAGACCACATGGGGCAGAGGCCCTCGTGGCAACAACTTGAGGAGTGTTCAGCTCATTTGCCTTGGGTTCTTTAAGTTCTGAACCAAGATGACCCAAGATAAGGCTGATTGACTGTGAAGTGCTTTTAATTCCTGCAGCTTTTGGAATTCTTAAGACAGTTATGTTTCCATCAAGGGCCCTTTCTACCTGGATGTAGGTGCCACTTTCTTGCCTCCAATCCATAATGCCTCCCACAGGATCCTTTCACAAGACCTCACCCTACACAGCCCCAGAAAGTTGAAGCCATTTCCTAATGCTCAAGGCCTGAGCTCACTTGCAGCCCTTCCTGCATTCTCTGTATATCCCCCCATTCTGAGTGTAATCCTGTGGAAAGTGAACTCAAAGGGAATATTGTAAAGAGGAGAGGCAGAGACTGAACAAAGCCTCATTTAAGCTTCTTGCCTGATTCTCCCTTGGCCTGACCTGATTTCTCCTAGTCTTTGGGGCACATGGACCAGGAATGATTTTTCTTGCTTAATTGCTGCAGAATTGTGGATACAGGACAGACCACTTAACCTCATGAGCTTCAGCTTCATTATCTGTAAAATGGTATGTTCATGTCGACCCTTTCTCCTTCGGGTACAAGTGATGTAATGTCCAAGAAGGCACTTTGGACTTTGTTTAAACACATTTTGAAAACTTACTCATGTTGCCTTCTAGCAGTGGTTCTCTTACTGTGATATTGGGAATACCTGTTTGGTGAATTGCTCTTCTAAAAAAGAAAACAAAAAAAGGCGCCATGTGTGCGTGGAACATACGATGTTTTACATCTCCCTCTTGAGCCATCACAATTCAAAGGCTATGAGAAGGCCTGGAGTAGAGAAACCCATTGAGGCTTGATGTTGCATGTTCTGTGCTAATGTGACCCTGGAACCCCCTTTCAGCCTCACCTCTTAATGTGCCACAGAACACACTTGGGGGAAGCTGTTAAACTTCAAAACGGTGGCTCCACCACTTATTAGCAATGGGACAAGTCATTTACATCTCTGAACCTCAGTTTCCTTGTCTGCAAAATGGAAATAATTGGGACACCTACCCTATGGAGTTTTAGGGAGGGTTAAATATGTTAAGAGATGTCAAGGTCACCCTCTGCCTGTCAGCAGGGTTTGTCCCAGTGGATCATTCCCTCCTCTTGCTTCCTTCTATAACTTTCTGTCTCCCTCTTACTTTATCTTCCTCCTACCTCCCAATTTCCTTTGCTGCTCTTTTCTCCTCTTCTAATTTTTTTTTTTAGGTCAGCCGCTCCTGCCTCCTTCCTGCTTGCTCATGTCTTTTTCATCTTTATTGCTCCCTTGTTGACGCCATCCAGCCCATGGCTTCTTGTTACACTGGACTCTTGACTAGTGGAGTCACATCTCCAGCCTGGACCTCTCTCCTGAGCTCCAGACTTAGATACACATCTCTTCTCAGCATCTTCATTAGATGTCCAATCGGCTTCTCAGACTTGCTGTGTCAAAACATAGCGCTAACTTTTTCCTTTCCTTAAGCCTTGACTGTGTCAACAAATGGCACCTCCAGCTACCCAGTTGCTTGAGCTAAAAACTTTTGGCACCTTTGATTGTTCTCTTTCTCTTACCCTCTCCCCATATCCTATCCAATGGGAATAAGTCCTTTCAGTTCTACTTCAAAAAAATAGCCCAAATTGTAGCAGGTGAGGGTGAGAGGGAGGGAGGACTGACTAGAAAGGAGCTTGAGGTAACTTCCTGGGGTGCTGAAAATGTTTGATATCTTGATAGAGTGTGCGTTACATGGATATAGGCATTTTTCAAAATTGATGAGACTCTACATATAAGGTCTATGGATTTTGCTGTATGTAAATCACACCTCTGTAAAAAATATGATAGAAAAGATACATATCTCAAACCTCCACAGGTCCAACTTTAGTCCATGCTGCCATCATTTTTCACCTTGATTACTTGACAACCTTCCCAAACACCTAGTGGTTCTGAAGCTTAAATCACATCATAACATGACCCTGTTTAACACCTTCAGACAGCTTCTCATTGCAATAAGGACAAAACCCAAACACTTTGCCGTGACCTGTGAGACTCTCCCACCTTAACAAGTTCTAGCCCGTGCCTACCTCTCAAGGGCATCTTCCTACCTGGCTACTGGCACCCGTGCTTCAGTCACAGGCCAGCCCAAGTTTCTGCCTACCTCTGGGCCTTTGTGCTTGCTGTTCTTTCTGCTTGGAATGCTCTTCCCATAGATCTTTGCCTGGCTAGGAGCTTCTCACCATTGAGATCTTAGCTTAAATGTCCTTCTGTCAAGAGAACTTCCTGCCTAGCCTTGCTCCATGACTACACTCCACAGCCCACATTTTTCTTGGCCACATTATCTTACCAACTTTTCTCCAAAGCACTTTCCAAGATCCAAAATATTTTATTTTCAATATGACAAGCCTGTCCCTGTCCCTTCTTGTCCCTTAAAGGCAAGGATTGCATCATTTAAATCCCATCTTCAGTGACAGTACCTTCCTTCTAGGAGGGCTCCCTAAACAAATTTTGACTGACTGATTAACTGATACCTGGGCCAGTGTCTAACACTGCAAGAAAATTATTAGGAAATTAAAAATTTTTAAGTTATTTTTATTACTCTCCTCCTTTCCTCATCTCCCTCTTACTTCCTGGGGGTTGTAGAGATTAATGTGCTTCCCAATGCTGCTAAGTCCATACACTTCACATTTCTGTGCCTTCTTTTTCTGTATTAATTGTAAACCAGATCAATTATAGTTGCCCCTTGTGGAGGTCTGTAAACCCCTTGGAGTGAGACATTATTTCAGCACTCTGTACAAGTGAGGCATGAGTGTCTCATCACCTTTTAAAAATTGCAACCCTAGCTAATGGTTTTCTCTGAAGACCCCAAGCTTCTGAACTCTCCTGCCTAGGAAGTCTGATCAGATGCAGCTGTCCTGGGAATTGATTTGGGATCCAAAAGTTTTTAAGATCTACTACAACTCCCACAAATGGCTTTGGAACTCAGAAAGCAGTAAACATATATATTTTTTAATCTGTCAGAGCTGATCTTTCCCAGGGAACAAAGGTTGAACTGTATGTTTAGTGCCCCAGACTTGCTCTTCTCTCTGGCCCCAAAAGCCACAACCTCTCACTGAATGTTATTGGTGGAGTACTAATTTAAAAATCAGAGCAAAGGGTTGCGTATTCTAAAAGTGGAAAAAAACATCAACAGATATTGGCAGGGAAGAGGATGTCCTTCCCCGGACGAGAGGAGAGTAATGCAGGCATTTCTGAAAACCCATAAGCCATGGTTTATTTATTTGGACTGTTCATTGAGTTACTAAGACAGGAATAGCACAGAGGTTTTATTTGCCTGCAGCTCTGGTTAAAAAGAATTAAAGGGGCCCCTTCAGGGCTTAGGGAAATAGTGCTGCGATTGATTAGCAGTGTCTGCCATGGGCAAGAACTGTTGTTGTACATAAAGAATTAGAGAATGTTAGATTTGGAATGAACCATGGAGATTATCTAGTGCAACTCTTGCCCTCGTAGCTGCTGCACTGTGTTAGGGGGCTTTAGAAGAATAATCATGAGCTTGGCAAAGTGATAACTCTTAGCTTTTCAGGCCTTTGTTCCCTCTTGGGTCCCGTTAGTGCGTTCAGTGTGGTGTACTGCAGCACTTCCTGAGAATGTGCCAGGGGAGCCTCACAAGAGAGTTCTGAGGCTGGTCAAGTTTGGGAAAGTCTATGGTACCATATCTCCTTCTCAAAGATTCATAAGGGACAATAAGCATGACATAGGGCCTGAGAAGTCCAATCATAAAGAAACCCACTTAACATTGTTTTCCAAACCTGGTGATTCTGGCGTGTTTTTCAAGGACACCTGTTGCCATTTTGTAGAACACTCTCTTTAGATGCTGCTGTGTTATGCTTAGGGAGAGTGTTCATTTCCTAGGGCTGCTGTACCAAATTACCACAATCTTGGTGGCTTAAAACCACAGAAATTTATTCTCTTACTGTTCTGGAAGCCAGAAGTTTGAAAGTCAGGGTGTTGGCTGTCTCTGGGAGAGAGTCTGTCCCGGCTTCTTGTGGCTGCCAACAATCCATCCTTGGCTTTCCATGGTTACAGCCGCATCACTCCAGTAGCTGCCTCCATCTTCACATTGCTTTCCCCTCTGTGCATGTGTCAAATTTCCCTCTGCCTCTCTAAGGATACTTGAGGTGACATCTAGAGCCCACTTGTATAATCTACATAATCTCATAATCTCTTCCTTTCAAAACCTTCAATTTAATTATATCTGCAAGGGCTTCTTCTTCAAATATGTTATGATTTTCAGGTTCTGGGGATCAGGACATGGACATATATTTGGGAGGCCATTTTGCAACCTACCACGGAGGCACATTGACTCAAGCATTAGGAGACTTGGATCAAGTTCTCACTTAGCTACGAGCTCCTCGGTCCCAGGAAGAGGCAGCAAGGGTGTTTAAACCAGGAGTCAGGCCTATTTCCTCACCCCTCAGAACTTCAGTGTCCTCAGCTGTTAGTGGGATATACCTGTATACTTCCTAGGCGTATTATAAAATTAAATGAGATAAAACTTGTGGTGCACTTAGCACAAGTGAATATCAAGTAAATATTGGCTTACTGTTATATATTTTTACTACTGCTGTGTTGCTGCCACTGTTATCATGTTCCTTCTCTTTGAGTCTTATTGTCAAATGAAGTGATTAAGGCTAACTCTGGCCCAAGAATTGTCAAGGATCCTTTCAAAATTAGCATACTGTGGGTTCCAGATCTCTCAAAGGTCACATTACATCTTCTAGATCTTTTCACTGAAGTGTAATATATCCATATAGGAGAGTGAACTTATCATAGGTGTTCAGCTGAATGAAATTTCATAAGCTAAATATACCAGTGTTACCAGCACACAGAATCAAGAAATAAAATATTACCAGTGCCCCACAATCCCTTTTTGCACCCCTACTTAATTCTAACCACTCTCCTGATTTCTTTCTTTCTTTCTTTCTTTCTTTCTTTCTTTCTTTCTTTCTTTCTTTTTTTTTTTTTTTTTTTTTTTTTGAGACAGAGTCTTGCTCTGTCGCCCAGGCTAGAGTGCAGTGGCATGATCTCGGCTCACTGCAAGCTCTGCCTCCCGGGTTCGTGCCATTCTCCTGCGTCAGCCTCCCCAGTGGCTGGGACTGCAGGCACCCGCCACCACACCTGGCTATTTTTTTTTTCTTTTTTTAAGTAGAGACAGGGTTTCACTGTGTTAGCCAGTATGGTCTCGATCTCCTGACCTCATGATCCACCTGCCTTGGCCTCCCAAAGTGCTGGGATTACAGGCGTGAGCCACCACACCCAGCCTCCGATTTCTAACATCATAGATTGTATCAGTTTTTATACCTTACATAAAGGGAATTATACAATATGTACTCTTGCATACCTGGCTGCCTTCACTCAACATTCTGTTTGTGAGATCCAATTGTTTTCTTGTGTATAGTTGTAGATCCTTCATTTTAGTTGTTGTATAGGGTTCCATTGTTAAATAGATCAAAATATATTCATTCAATTGTTGCTGGGAGTTTCCTTAGTTTCTGGTTAGAGACTTACAAAAAGTGCTGTTACAGACATTCTAGTACATATCCTTTGGGAGTGCATGCATTGCTGGGACAAAATCCACAGTACTTTCATCCAAGATGTCTTCCCACCCCCACCCGCTAATTGCTTGCTTCAGATGCTTTGCAACATGACAGTTTCTTATAACCAAGAGTATCTTAGTCTGTTTGGGCTGCTGTGACAAAATACCATAAACTAGGTAGCTTATAAACAACAGATTTTCTTTTACGTTCTGGTGCTTGGAGGTTCAAGATCAAGGTGCCTGCAGGTTCGGTGTTTGATGAGGGTTTGCTTTCTGGTTCATAGATGGTGACTTATTGCTGTGTCTTCACACAGTGGAAGGGAAGAGCTAGCACTTTGGGGTCTCTTTTATAAGAGCACTAATCCTATTCATGAGGGCTCTATCCTCATGACCTAATCACCTCCCAAAAGCCCCATCTTCTAATACTATCACTTTAGGGGTTAGGATTTAAACCTATGAATTTGAGGGAGAAGGACACAAACATTCAAACCATGGCAAAGGATAATAGCTGATTAGTAGGGATGATTCTCATCCTCTGGCCCACCCACTGCCCTCCCAAGCCATTGGCCATGCCTACATTCTCTTGATGTGTTGAAATCTTTTGAGCCACCACTCTTTCCATAAGACTTTCCCCTTGGCTTGCCTTCCAGTGGGCTGGGACTGGATGTGGTAATTTTGAAGGAGTAAACACCCAGCTAAAGACACAACTCCACCTTTCTGCATCCCACTCAGGGCCACCTCATTCATTTGCTCACACCCCCACTGCCATTGCCAAATCAGCCTTTTCTTCCCTGACTGCCTTAAGGAGAGACATGATGGGCTGCACATATGCCTTTTCTTCTCCATCAGGCCTCCACTGAACTGGTCCTACACTCCCCTTTCATACTCCCATCCCCAGTGTTTGGAACAGCCCAGACTGTCTTACAGATTAGAGCATGTCCAACTGAGGGTTGGGAACAGAAGGGTGGAGGGAGGAGTTGGCACAAACTGGCAGAGTGATGTGAACATGAGCCAGAAGCTTGGCAACATTGCCCAAAAAGGTTGGGAACCACTGGTTTAACTCAGCCAAATAATTTTTCTTATATAGGGGAAGGCTGAAACTCATGCTTCAACTGCTCCTGGTGATACATGTATGAGAGACTTTTCCTGGATCCCAAATGAATGGGTGAAGCATTACTATGATGTGTTGAATATCATGTATGTGACTTTGCCCAGGGTTCCATTAATTGGCACCAGGTTGGCAACTTATACATGTCAATTCTGGTATTGGGAAATATCTGATGGATATTAGGCTCAGTTACCAAACCATTCCAGAAAAATTTAAATGAAATTAGACTCAGTGCCAAAAAAGACTCATATCCATTTTGTCCCTTTGTGTTAGGTGGCCTTAAAAATGCATATGTGACTGATGGGATAGGGAGGGAGACATGGGAGACAGTGCATTCTAAGTGTCTTTGTTATGCTGTCATGTTTATTTTTTCTTGCCTGATGACCAAGAAGTAGGAAAGAAGGTGGAGATGCTTGGAAGGGGTGAGGTTGACTCTGGAAATTTTTTATCTCTTTAAGTCAACAAAGAGTTAAGCCATACTTTTCTATAGGATTATAATATCTCACAAAAATGAATAAATAGTTGAGTAACTTTGTGCCAGGCTTTTTTTGAGATTTAATTTTAGTAGCAGGTATCATTTATTGAGTTATTTTCTTTATGATCAGCAGCATGTTGGAGACTTTTCTACATCATGGGTCAACAAACTTTTTCTGTGTAGAGCCAAATAGTAAATGTTTTAGGTTATGCAAGTCAAGAGGCAAAATCAAGACTAGTATGTAGGTACTTGTGTAATGAGAAAACAAATTTCCACAGATTTTTTTTGACAAAATTTAAAATACAATGATAATAATTGAGTATAACCTTTCCGAAATACAGGTCTCCTAATGAGAAGAATGGAATTCATTTTTGAGGAAGTGAGGTTTAGAGTTACTGTCTCCTATTACCAAATTGATTGCAAATATTTATCTATAAAAATCACTCTTAGCTCCTGGGCCATATAGAAACGGGCTGTGGGGCTGGACTTGGCTTGAAGGTCATAGTTTTATTTACATTCTGGCTGAGCCTTATATGTAAGTAATGATCAAGTTGGACTGCACAGAACAGTGAAAACCTCCATAGTGGCATGAATGAGTCAAGCCTTTATTTGTCTCTCCTCAAAGAAGTTTAAAGGTGTCTGCCTAGGGCTAGTCTAGCAGCTTCACTATGTCACAGAGACCCAGCTTGCTTTTTTCCTGCCCTGCCAACCTCGGCATATGGCTCCCTTCCTCAGAGTCGCTCCATAGTTCAGCTGCTGCCACCATGTCTGCATTCCAGGCAACAAGAAGAAAAAAGGCAGGGAAGCAGTATACAGATACTTTCTTTTAAGGAGACTTCCCCTTGTCTCACCCAATGCTACTACCATCTCCTTGGCCAGAACTTTGACATATGACCACACGTCTTTGCAAAAGAGGCTGAGAAATGCGGTTGTTTACTCAAGTTGTGAGTGTGCTTAGATGAAAACTGGAATCCTGCTACTGAGGAGGAAGAGGAGATGCTGAGGTAAGTAACTAGAGTTCTCTGTTATATTCAACAAGGTAGAAAATGAGCGCTAGAGAGATTTCCATCTGCCCTGAGGCCTTATGGCAGCAGACTGGGATTTGAACTGAGGCCTGCTTAACTCCAGGCTCTCCTCTCCCTCTCCCTGCATCTGCCGTCAAGCACTGTGAGGAGGTCCATATGCATCCTGCTAGGAATGAGGTGTGGTCTTGATTTGTATAAACCCTTGCTCCCTCCAAAGATGCTCCCAAGGAACCTATAAGGAAGGATGGCAACATTCCCCTTTAGTGGAGGGCCCTGTAAAAACTGAATCAGGGCACATGGCTGAGGTTGAAGCCTACACAGGGCCTCCTGATCACTCCTAAACATAAATGCAAATCTTGAGATTCTACCAAACTTTTTCTCTAGTCACATGGAACAAGAAGTAAGTTCAGTGACCAGCAAGCTCAGGCATGCACACAGAGAGTAAACTTGTGCATGGAGGGAAGACATGGGACATGGAATGAAAGCAGTAAGTGGGTATGTGATCTTTTAAAGTGACCCTACTCACTACTATGGCTTGGAATTTGGCCAACATGGCTCACAGTTTTTTTATCCTAAATGGGAAAATGTGGGAGGTAGATAGGCGCTTTCAGGTTCCTTCTACATACATATGGGCATGTATATATCTAGCTGTTAGGGAGAATATCTAAATGCTTGCTAGGTACTGAAACATTTATCTCAGGTGATCTCACAACAATCCTGTAGGGGCATCATCATTCCATTTTTAAAGATAAGCAAATATGGTGTTGAGAGGTTAACATGCCTAAGACCATACAACTGGTAAGTGGTAAACCCAGGTAGTTGGACTCAAATCTTCATTTTCAACTGTACTATTTCTGACTGTAATACTAAAGGCAATCTGTGAGATAAAAGCTATGATAACCTTGTCAACAAAACATGTGGGTTTACAACAGAAGGAATGATTAATTTTGACTTGAGAGGAGGGATCAAGAAAGCTTCCGAGAGGTGATGACATTTGATCTGGGCTCAAAGAATGACTAGGACTGCGTGGGTGGAAGAACAAAAATCCATGAAGAGAAATTATTGTTGGTCAAATGTATAATGTACTCTAATAATAATTAGTCCTGGCCAGTTAGGAAGTGAGAAATAGATTGAGGGTCCCTGTCTTTTTGCTCACCTTCCAAATATCACCATCACCATGAAAACAGCTGATCCATACTCCTGGGGCTGTTTCTCATCTAGGTGGTTTCTTGTCTAGCTCTGTTTCAGTCTTGTCTGTCGCCTTGGGAGACAGGAACAATACCTCTTGCCAGAAGCTGAGTTGCACTGAGTTTTGATGCTCTGGTATTGAGTTGTTGCTTCCTCTTTCCACTGTATTCCTGACTTCAATTTATCTAAACCTGGCTGTGTGTTAGTGTAAAGGAATCAAGCTCATAAATAAAATAGGAGGTGAAAGTAGGTTTTAGTAATGAGGCTCTGGCTTAATCGCATCAGCAATCTAAGGAAAGAGCCATTAAATATTTATCAAATTGTTGCATTAACATTTTCACTGTGCTTGCTGTGGACATTAGAACACTCTGGAGAATGCAGCTGTCTACCACCAAGCAAGAGGAAGGGAGTTGTGGCTGCCCCGAAACATATACCTGTATTATTACAAACCTCCATCCATCTGAAGGCCCCAAAGAGACTACATTAGTAATCACTCATCTCACGAGGAGACTTTGTTGAGGTTTCAGAGAGTGCGACAGTGCACAGGCGTTGATGGAGCTCCAGCAGGCCCCTCACCTTGAAACTCCTCTCATGACACTGGCCAGCGGATCTCATGCACATTCCACGCTACCCTTTGATTTTTTTCCAAGGTCACTGTTTCTTGAGAGCTTTGTTTATGATTAGTTTAACTGTGATAAACTGTGGTAAGAAGTAAGTCCTTGAATTTCTTCCCCCTTCTTCTTAGTTTAAGAATTCTTTAAATAAGGCTGTGTTTGCCTGGATGAGAGATTGCAGATTCCGTCAGCAGATCCAGCACTTGTCTCATGGTTGCCTTCCAAATAAGGCATGTCGAAGGTATTCTACCAGTATAAGGTCTTGAGCCGGTCAAAGAACCAGTTATTATGCTTTAAAAAGCAATTCATCATCTAGAGTAGTGAACTTGGGTGTTATTTTTAGGCCAATCTTTTAATGTATGTGACATGCAAGAATAGGGTTTCTCATGTGAACTTCTTGAGGGTTCATGAGAGAGTAACTGGGGAAGTGGGTAGGGTGACCGGCAGAGGTAGGTGTCTGAACAGCTGTGTGATGGTCCCATAATTTAGTACTTTTGAACAAGAACTCAGGAGTCAAACATCAGTTCCAGTTTCAGCTCTGCCACTTACCAGTTATATGATGTAGAATGGATTACTTAGACTGCTGAAGTCTCAGCTTCTTTACTTATAAAATAGATTAACTATGGTATCTACCTCAACAAATTGCCCTGAGAATGAAATGAGATAAAGCACATTAAAGTCATTAGCATAATAGTTGGTACACAGCAATCACTTAATAAATGATAGCTGTTATTATTTCCAGAGCTTTTATTTTTAACCTAGGGCTTCTAGTCTTTAAGATTTTCTGTAAGGTCAGGTGGGAGGTGAATCTTATACAATCAAGTTATGGAAAGTTGGAACTGGAAGGTACTCATAGATCATCTAATCCAATGGTATGCAAATTATGACTCTCTGGCTGAATCCAACCTGCATCCTGTTTTCGTAAAGTTTTATAGGAACATATCCATGCCCATTTACTTTTGTCTTGTCTTCACTTGTCACACTACAAGGGCAGAGTTGAATAGTCATGACAGAGACTATATGGCCCACAAAGCCTAAAATATTGATCCTGACCCTTAATAGGAAAAAGTTTGTTGACCCCTGATCTAATCCAGTGAGGTTTTACCCCTGAGGAAATCAAGATCCAGAGAAAGGAAATGACTTGCCAAAATACATAAACCAAGTCTTTCACAAAAGTTTCCTGACTCCCATGCCTCTTCCCACCGTCATGCGTCCTGGGTCCTGGTTTAGTAGGGAAGGGCTGGGGGAAAAGCTCATGCTGCTTGTGTGTTGAAAACTGTGGCAAAAGTGCTATTGACCATAAATAACCAATTTTGCCATGGAGGAAACCACTTTTTAGAGGTAAAGAATCGATGTTGGGATGATGCTGGCTCATGCCCAGTACTCTGTTACTGCATCGGCTGAGAGCTTCCAATTTTATGTTCAATTTT